>NT_187576.1:0-600000 GCF_000001405.40 Homo sapiens
TCTAACGAGATGGGGTGCAGCGTTCTAACGAGACGGGGTGCAGCGTCCGTTTGGGAAGGCGGAAGAAGCCTGTGAGGTCCAAGAGGGCGGATGGAGAAAGTTCCCCAGCAGGAACTCCCCGCTAGGGAAGCTTTAGAATTTGCCCGGGAGAGCGGGGGGGTGCTGCGGTGGTCAGTGTGGAGCATTTGACCGGTGGAGGCCCGGGATGCACCGTCCTGCCGCCCACGCACTCGCGGCAGAGCCCAGGGCGGCCTGCGCAGCTTGCATAGGGCCCACGGGACGCCGCCCACGGGGAAAGCCGTCTGTAACCATCCGAGCCTAGATACTCCCTGTTTACCTGCAGACACACCCACCGCACGGCCCAGGAATACGGCCACTGCGGAAGTCAAGAGGAGACTGCTGCGTTCCCTTTGAAACAGCCCAGGGCGGCTCATCAAGGCTGCAGAAAACATTACAGCCCCACAGGCAGGGCTGCTCCGGCCTTCGTTTAGCAGCTTGATTGAGGCGTCATTGGCACACGGCGAACTGCGCGTCATTAACGTGGGCGGTTCAGTGAGTTCTGAGGAACGCATAGCAGGTGGATCCGTCGCCACAGTCGGGAAAGCGAGCACGGCCTCTCCGAAGCCTGCCCGGCTCCTCGGGAACCTGCCTCCCGCATGGCAGCTGCTGCCCTTCGGAGGCCGACCCGACCCATCCCTGGGTGCTGTCTAGGTCACTGTCCTTGTGTGTTTTTGTTTTACTTTAGAACTCTTATAAAGACACAAACCGATGAGTAGAGACAAACTCACACTAGGAAATGGACTGGGTGTGGTTTGCAAAGCGGGGAGCGCGGTCTGTGTCCGGAACCCTCTGAGCTCAGGCAGCGTCCTGGGCTGTTTCCTGGGGCAGCGGCCACAGCCGTCCTATCTGCAGAGCATCCTGCTTTCCTGGAGGGCATCTGCGATGGCCCCCAGGCTGTACTGTTCCCTGTAAGTCCCGAGCCCCCTGTGGGGACAGGCGCTGGGAGGGGTGTGGCCTGCTGGGGGCTCTCGGATGTGTTGCCCCAGGGAGCCCGGCCGGGTGATGCCTCGGGGTGACTGGGGACGGCAGGAGGGAGGGGAAGGCAGGGCGCGGAGCAGTGAGGTCGGCAGCTTCTTCCCAGCGCTCGTCGACACTCCAGCCTCTTCAGCCACGTCTGGGGTTGCGTGAGCCCAGACAGAACTCATGGCTCGAGGCTGGGAGGCTGAGAGGCCTGAAGGGGGCCTCTGATTTCCATGTACCCCCTGCACCCCATGTTCGTGTGGCCTCCGCACTTGCCCAGGGCCTCTGCCGTGTGACAGCCCCACCCCAGCCCCACGCTGCCCCAGGGTCTCCCTGGAGCGCCGTCTGTCCTCTGCCAGGCTGTACCTGGGTCCCGTGACTGAGCGGCACTGGGTGGAGACTCACTTCCTGGCTCTTCTCCCATCGCAGCACCTGAGCAGCCCCGTGACTGCGGCCTGAGGTCTGCCCCACGTGCGCTGTGGGCCAGGCAGAGCGCCAGGTGCACCCAGGATGCCTTCATCTTCACCGCCGCTCCAGAGCCAGGGACTGGTGACTAACCCTGTATCCACGAGATAGCAGGCTCAGTACGGTCAGGGACTTGTCTGAGGTCTCACATCCAGGGTTGTTCGCCGTCCCCGGGCTCAGTGTCTCGCTCCCCGCCTGCGGAGTGGAGTAGTTCTGAGATGTGTGCATGCCATCTCCCTTTCAATGGCGCCATCCTACAAGTGGCCTCAGCCAAGGTTCAGCCAGTAGGAGGCAGACCTGGAGAGATTTAGAGCCTGGATCCGGCACCACGATGGGGGCCTGGGAGCGAGGTCCAGGCAGGCAGGCCGTGGGAAGGGCAGGCTGGACCTGGGGCAGAGCTGAAGCTACCGCCCACAGCGGAATTTCTTCTCTGGAAAGCCTTTCCAGTGCTGAATCGGGCCCACCCGGATTGTCTAACATAGTCTTCCTCATTTAAAGTCCACTGTGATGGGTCTTTTGCACACCAACAGAACACCTCCACAGCCACATCTGGACCCATGTTGAATGAATTACCGGGGACTGTCACCTGGTCAAGGTGACATATAAAACTGACCCGCACAGTAGGTGCGAATGTCTTTCCAATTCTTTGCAGGAAACTGAGGCACAGCAATGCAGATAGCACAGCTGGTAAGGGAAGTGCCTGGGATGTGAACCCAGGAACTGTGCCCAGGAGTGGATACAAGCTTCCATCTTCGGACAGTGCCTCAGGCTCCCCCGAGATGTCCATGGGGTCAGGTGCCCTGACACCGGTCTCTGCACATGAAAGTGTTGAGTCTTCATGCTGCCTAAGTAGGTTTTGCTCTTGTTTTCAGTGAGGAGACTGAGGCCCAGGACATTGAATGACGCCCATGTTCATCCATATAGTGGTAAAAGAGGCAGAAGCCCCCGGGCCTATTTGATGATAGAGCCCAGGCCTTTAGGCCCTGCTAGAGCTGACCTCACGCACCCGCTCCGCGTGGGGCATGGAGACGTCTCTGGAGTAGAGGCGAGGCCTAGAACCAGGCAGGCTGTCTTTGCCATTTTTTTCCTTTCTGAATGTCCTAACTAGGGTATAGATTATCCCTACCCTCTGCATGGGCCTTGCACTTAATTTGCTTGCAATTAATTAAGGGATATTTTGTATTCCGTCAATAAAGGGAATCATTATTTTTTTAAAGGAACCCAGCTTTTAAAACCCCTTTTTGCTGATACATAACTTAATTTGTTCCTGCTACTGTAACAAAACACCAGAGACTGGGTCATTTATAGACAACAGGAGTTTATTTCTCACAGTTCTGGACGTGGGGAAGTCCAAGATCAACGTGCCAACAGGTTCAGTGTCTGGGGAGAGCCTGGTCTCTGCTCACAAGACAGCACCTTGAGCACTGTGCCCTCACTGGTAGGAGGGGTGAACAGCCCCCTGGCACTTCTACAAGGGCACTAAGCCCATCCCTCATGACCCACTAACCTCCTCAAGGCCCCACCTCTTACTGCTATCACGTTGGTGATGAACTTTCAGTCATCAAGGGGGATGCATTGAGGCCACTGTATATATCCCATGAAGTAGCTTACTCTTGTGTTCGGCTTGATTCTATTTACAAAGTGAACACACCCATGTGTCTGCAAATCAAATCAAGATGTAGTCACCGTTTTCATCACTCCCCAGAATTCCTTTGTCTTTTCTGAGACAATACCCCCAAAAATAACCACTGTTCTGATTCCTATTATTATAGGTTGGTTTGGCACATTCTTGAATTTCATAAAAATTGAATCATACTATATGTGCCCTTTTGTCTATGTTTTTCATGTTTTCAAGATTCATTGTTATTGAACATATCAGTTTCTTCCTTTTTATTACTGTATTATTAGTATTCTATTATTCTATGAAGATACAATACTTTATGAGTTCACCTGTTGATGGAATTTGGGTTGTTTCCAGTTGCGAAGTATTTGAACTGTTTTGAAGAAAGAATTCTTGTAAAAATCATTTTTTTTTTTTGAGACAGGGTCTTGCTCTGTCCACCCAGGCTAGAGTGCAGTGGTGGTGAACATGACTCATTACAGCCTTGACCTCCCAGCCTCAAGCGATCCTCCCACTTCAGCTTCCTAAGTAGCTGGGACTGGAGGTGGAGACTATCATGCTAGACTCCTGGGCTCAAGCAATCCTCCACCTTGGCCTCCTAAAGTGCTGGGGTTACAGGTGGGAGTCACCATGTCTGGCTGTAAAAGTCTTTTAAGGGACTTATGTTTTCACTTGCCTTGGGCAAACCTAAAAGTGGGATTGCTGAGAAATGGGCAAACAATTAATCAGAGTGGTTGCGCCATTTGCACTCTCATCGCCTTGTATAGTGGTTCCAGGGGCTCCACATTTTTACCCTTGCCATGTCGGTCTGCAGTTTCAGCCGTGCTTGGATGACGGTGGTGGCATCTCATTGTGAGTTTACTTTGGGTAACACTGAGCACTATTTCCTGTTCTTGTTGGCTATCAGTACATCTTTGGTGAAGTATTTACGTCTTTTGTTTATTTTTAAATAGACTTGTTATTGTTATTTACAGGCTTGTTATTGTTATATTGTTTTGTCCCTTTTGAAATAGACTTGTCTTGTTATTGTTCATTTGCAGGAGTTCTCTATTTACCAGGACTATGGTTTGAACGCGTTTTCCCCAAAGTTTATGTGTTGGAAACTTGACCCCCAATGCAGCAGTGTTGGAAGGTGCCTACTAGGTGGTGTCTGGGTCATGGGGGTATGACCCTCATGGATGGATAAATGCCATGACTGAGGCGGTGGGCTCCTTATAAAAGAATGAGTTTGGGTGAAACCTCGTCTCTACTAAAAATACAAAAATTAGCTGGGTGTGGTGGCACATACCTGTAATCCCAGCTACTCGGGAGGCTGAGGCAGAATAGCTTGAACCAGGGAGTCGGAGGTTGCAGTGAGCAGAGATCGCACCACTGCACTCCAGCCTGATGACAGAGCAAGACTCCGTCTCAAAAAAAAAAAAAAAAAAGATAAGTTTGGCCCATTTTGCATCCTCCCTCCCCACCTCCGCCTCCCACCTTCCGTCATGGGATGATGCAGCCCGAAGGTTCTTGCCAGATGTGGCTCCTTGATCTTGAACTTCCCAGCCTCCAGAACTGTGA
Source organism: Homo sapiens (assembly GCF_000001405.40). Taxonomy (NCBI): domain Eukaryota; kingdom Metazoa; phylum Chordata; class Mammalia; order Primates; family Hominidae; genus Homo; species Homo sapiens. Next base: position 4,667 of record NT_187576.1, read on the forward strand.
GAAATAAATTTCTTTTCATTGTAAATCACCCATTCCCAGGTATTCTGTTACAGCAGCACAACGTGGATTAAGACAAGCCATTTGTGGGATATATGCATTGCCCCTGTGTTCTCCCAGTCTGTGGCTTGCCTTTTCATTTTCTTAATGATGTCATGAGATGAGTAGAAATATTAAATTTTGATAAGCCATTTAATCATTTTTAAATGGTCGGTCCATTTTCTGTCTTACCTGAAGATCCGTAAGATCTTTTCTTATATTTTATCCTAGCAACTTTATAATTTTTACACTTAAGTCTATGATCCATCTGAAATTCCTAAATTCTATTTTAATCCTAATAGTTTATTTGTAGATAATTTTGTTTTTTAACATATATAATCATATTGACTGTAAATAATCAGTTTTTCCTCCCTCAATCCTTACACTTTTTGTTTTTATGACCTACAACACTTGTTAGATGCTGCAGGACAATGCTGAATAGACTACGGAGAGTCAAAGATTTTCATACACCCTTATCAGTACAAGTAGATAAAAAGTACAAGTAGATAAAAAGTACAAGTAGATAAAAAAATCAGTAACAAATATGACCTAATTGACATCTGTAGAACTTTATGTCAGTGAAAGCATGTTCTCAGCAAGTGCTCATAGAACATTTACCAAAATAGACAATGTTGGGCCATGAAGCAAGTGTTTGAAAATCTTAAACGACAAAAATAAAACAGCTGATGTTTTAAGGCCCGGTGGAATTAAACTTTAGTTACAATAAAAAGAAAACCAGAAAGTCCCCATATATTTGAAAGGTGAACCTAACTTTTCTAAATATCCCATGGGTCAAAGAGGGAATCACAATGGAAAATCCCAACTCTTCCATATCCGGGCTTACGAAAATAGGGATGTATCTGTGAGGAACGCCTGAATAAAGCAGACAGACAGGATCTATTGGAGCTCCAAATCAGGGGATTTTCTGCCCAACCTGCCTGGAAGGCATTGCTCTGTGGCCCTACTCAGTGGTGTCCCTGGCGGCCCTGAGTTTAGGGGCTCAATTTCATCCATTGAGAAAATGAGTTGTTTATTCCATACACAGGACTATTTCCTCTTATCTCTACCTTTTTAGAAAACACTACAAGTATCAGGATTTTCTCATCGTATTTAGGTAAACAAGAACTAATTTAGTTGACCTTCTTACTTCTGTTGATCAAGACCATTGATCTGACCATTGATCTGTGCAGAAGATCTCTGAATAAGGTACCCAGAGAACCCTAGGAATAGAAACCTGAAATAAGTTTTCTAATCTTAAGGTCGCTGAGAGCAAATACCTTTTTCAATTGATTCATAAAAACAACTCAGTCTGATTTCATAAAATTAGCAAGTGTGAATAATAAACATTGAAAAAATATCACCTTACCTACGATTATTTTTTCCAGCCATTGTAGTCTTTCTATGTTGGCTATGATTTTTACATAGTCCAAAATTTTCAGGGAAATAACTTATTCCAGAGCACACAAGCCTTAAGGGCAGTTAATGTTTAGATTAATTTCGTGATACTTAGCATCCCAAATAGCTGTTTGTATTTCTTCTATAAAACAAGTGAAAGGGGCTAGAAATCTCTAAGAAGTCTGACAGTTCTAAAACACTGACTTAAAATTACTTCTATGATTCGGAGATTTGGGTAGGAGAAGGCATAGAAATAAATCTAGCATCTGCGAACACACTTGTTAAATGTGCTGACCAGGTAAAAGATAACATCCTTTAGTTATTTTGGTTAAAAATGTCTTTGTTTCTCGTTTTTTTTTTTCTTTAATAGTAATTATAACGATAATCTGTTTCCTTTTTAAAAGTATAAGACAAATAAATGCTCAAAGTAAACAATTCCAATAACTCAGAAGGGGCCATTCCCTGGAAAGGTCCCGGGAAAAACGAGCGCTTCCTGGCAAGAAGCAAGCTTCAAAAACTGCCTCGGAAACGTGGCTGAAGTCATCGCATTTCCAAACGCCCAAGCCTTGGCTGGTCCAGGGCAGCTGGCGCGGAAGACCCGGAACGCCCTGTGGGCAGGGCCAGCTGCGGACGGAGGGACGGGGGCTCAAGGGCGGGTCGGGTGGGGTCCCGACGCCCCCTCCTCGGCTGGGCGCACCCCGGGTGTCCGCAGGGAGGGGCGATGTTCTGGGGGGGGGAGCGTCTGCCCGACGCCCCCTCCCTCAGGTGAGCTCAGCCCGTGGGGGTCCGCAGAAAGGGCGGTGCTCTGGGAGAGGGTTAGGGTCTGCCCGGCGCACCCTCCCCAAGGGGCGCAGCTCTGAGCCGGGAGCAGGCTCTGCGGGGAGGATCCAGATGTTGGGGGCGGGGAGGGCACTCGGTCTGCCCAGCGACCCCTCCCGAAGTGAGCGCGGCCCGGGGTCCGCGGGGCAGGAGATGATCCGGGGGCGGGAGCCTCTGCCGCGCGCCCCCTCCCACGCGTGCGCAGCCTGGGCCGGGCGTTGGGCAGCGGGAGGGGGCGCGGGCGGCCACGTGGCCTCGAAGGAATGCGCGGGCGCGAGGGCAGGGCGCTGCCGAGAAACCGGCAGGCTCTGCGGCCAATGGGCGCCCGGAACGGTCTGGGCCCGCCAATGACAGCATGGTGGGTGGAGCAGGCCGTCCGGGCGGGAGGGGCTGGGCGCATCCCTGTAGCCGGCGGGCGCGCGATCCGGGACGGACGGGGTCGCGGGGGACGCGGGGGACGCGGGGGACGGCGGGGAACGGCGGGGGACGGCGGGGAACAGCGGGGGACGGCGGGGAACAGCGGGGGACGGCGGGGAACAGCAGGGGACTGCGGGTCGCGTCCTGGCCGCCGAGGTGAGTGCGGGCCCCGCGGACCGTGGGTCCCCTCGCGGGCTTCTGGTTTCCTTTGAGAGTTGCACTTCTGCCCGGCTCCCCCGAAATCGCTGGGTCCCACCCGGAGGTGGCTGCGCCCCCGACCCCCTGCGCAGATGTTTCAGGGAAGGGGCTGAGACCCCCTCCCCCCGAGCAGCTCCCCCTTCCGCGGCGCCCCCGGCCCCTCAGGATAACGGCGCGGGCCTGGGCGGGGGGAGCAGGGACTGGCAGCAGGGACCCCTGGCCCCAGGGGCAGGAGCGAACTCCGATCGGCGGAAGGAGCCCGAGGGGCGAGCTGGCTTCGCCTGGGGGGTCGTGCAGTAACTTAGATTTTCCGGTAAAGGAGAAGAATGCGGTCCGCCTCAGGATGCAGAGAAGGACCGGTGTAAGGAAAGCCGGCGTCTTTCCCCCGCACCCTACCTGTCCCCCTACCCCACCAGTTCCCCGCACCCCGTGTACCCCGCCTGTCCCTCAGCACCCCCTGTTCACTCTGCACTCCACCAGTTCCCCGCACCCCAGCTGTCCCCCCGCACCCCACCTGTTTACCCTGCACCCCAGCTGTCCCCCGCGCCGCAGCTGTCCCCCCCACACCCCACCTATTCCCCCGCACCCCGCCTGTCCCCCCGCACCCTACCTGTTTATTCTGCACCCCACCTGTCCCCTCGCACCCCACCTGTTCCCCCTGCACCCCACCTGTCTTCCCCACACCCCACCTGTTTACTCTGCACCCCAGCTGTCCCCCCACACCCCACCAGTTCCCCGCACCCCGTGTACCCCGCCTGTCCCTCAGCACCCCATGTTAACTCTGCACTCCACCAGTTCCCCGCACCCCACCTGTCCCCTCGCACCCCACCTGTCCTCCCCACACCCCACCTGTTTACTCTGCACCCCAGCTGTCCCCCCACACCCCACCTGTTCACCCGCACTCCACCTGTCCCCCCGCACTCCACCTGTCCCCCCGCACCCCACCTGTCCCCCCTGCACCTCACCTGTCCCCCCGCACCCCACCTGTCCCCCCGCACCCCACCTGTCCCCCCGCACTCCACCTGTCCCCCCGCACCCCACCTGTCCCCCCGCACCCCACCTGTCCCCCCGCACCCCACCTGTCCCCCGCACCCCACCTGTTCACCTGCACCCCACCTGTCCCCCCGCACCCCACCTGTCTCCCCGTACCCCACCTGTTCCCCCGCACCCCACCTGTCCTCGCACCCCACCTCTCTCCCTGAACCCCACCTGTCCCCTGCACCTCAACTGTCCTGCACCCCACCTGTCCCCCTGATCCCCACCTGTCCTCTGCACCTCACCTGTCCCCCTACACCTCACCTGTTTACCCTGCACCCCAGCTGTCCCTCGCACCCCAGCTGTCCCCCCCGTACTCCACCTGTTCCCCTGCACCCCACAGCCCGCTGGTGCCCAAGAAGCCAAGGTAGATTCTGAGGAAACTGCCCTAGGTCCACAGACGCCCTGCCCACCTGTCCCAGCCCCACTCCCCTTCCATGGGCCCCTGGGCACTGAAGGTGAGGTCTGAGTACCCCTCCCGACTGTGGCCAGTAGGTCATGTTCCCAGGCAGCAGTAGACGAACTTGCTGTTGTCTGATATTGATTCCAGTCACTAACTTTGGCTGCAAGTAAAAATTCTCATTGACTCAAGATGTAACGGGTTTTAATTCTTTTCTCTGGTTAACCATAACCTGAGTACGGACTGGTCAGTATTCTAGATTCTGTGCAGGAGTGACTTAATGTCCATATGGGTGGAATGCTGCAAGGAGGAACAATTTCACTGTTGCTGATTAATAATATGTTTTGAACACCTGCTTTATAGAAAATAATTTTTATTCGAAAAGAGAGATGATTACTGAGGTTTACACGTCATGTATTTTTAAAAACACACTTTGTCCCTGTCTGTCTCTCACAGCATTTATTTGCTGGCTTTAGCAGCCAACATCGGCAGTTACGGATGCATAACTCTTTATAGACAGATGAGACCTCCAGGATTTCTCAGCAGTAAGAAAAGTCATTTGTATAAGGTGCTATTTGTAATTCATTAGTTGTAGACAGTTGGGGGTGAAGTGAAGTTAAAAGTTATTCAGAATAGCTTTTTATGTTTTTAAAAGTTGATGCTTGACTTCCAGATGTAACCACATTTGTCTTCTGGGTGCTTTGGTGTGCTGCCTTTCCTCTGCAGTTTGTGTGTGCATACGTGTGCGTGTGTCTTTGTGTATGTGTTTGTGTTTGTATGCATGTGTGTGCGTTTGTGTGTGCGTGTGTTTGTGTGTGTGCTGTGTGTGTGTGCGCTTTGTGTGTGTGTGTGTGCGCGTGTGTGAGTTGTAGATAGAGGCGTTGGGTGGTGTGGAGGGTGTGGAGTTACAGACCTGGGTTGAGGTGGGGAAGCTTTTCCCTGGCCCTGTGAGTCCAGACTTCTCACGGGACTTGAGGGTGCTCACTTACGAAGTTGCTAGAAGGCGTTGTATGGGGAAGTGCTGCTTAAAACAAAGATGTTTGGCATAAATTAGAGCAAACTGGAAATGCGCTAATGACGGTTGTATTCTGTAAGCGATGTGAAAACGTCATAGTGAGATGTAAGAAAGCGCTGTTGTAGGCCCGTCATTGTTTACTGCACAGTGTGTGGCAGGAAGCATGCAAAGAACAGCTCGGATCTGGAGATGCTCAGAGAATCTGTGTTTCATGCGTGCGTTGCTTATAGTTTGCCTGGGTAGAAAGGTAAGTGGCGTGAAATAAGACAGAAGGGAAGCGTAGCTGTTAGTCATTCATGAGGGAGAACTTCAGCTCTCTCCCTTAACCAGGCTTTCTGGGAGTGTAATTTTGGAAGGTTCTGGGAGCTCTGCAGTGGAAAGGGGTGGGCCAGGCCCAGGGGCTGCCAAGGGTCTGAGAGGCAGGGAGAGCAGAGGCCGGTGACCAGCAGGGGTCCTTGCCTGGGTGGCAGACAGGGCCACAGCCCCAGGTCCGTCTAGGGAGGGGCAGGGTTACCTGTAAGGACAGGTGTGGCAAAGGGGCCCAGGGAGAATGCCCTGCCACCAGCCCCCACGCTGATACACACACACTTCTGCCACATCTGCCACCCTACTCTGCTTCAGCCTGTTCATAGTTGTCAGGTTTGGACATTGGTTTTGGTTCTGTTTGTTTGTTTTCTGTGAGTAGTTTTCCAAATTTTGATAAAAAAGTGATCTTTTTTTTTGAAATGGAGTATCACTCTGTTGCCCAGGCTGGAGTGCAGTGGAGAGATTCGGCTTGCTGCAGTCTTTGCTTCCCAGGTTCAAGCAATTCTCCTGCCTCTGCCTCCCAAGTAGCTGGGATTATAAGCACCCACCACCGTGCCCGGCTAATTTTTGTATTTTTAGTAGACGGGTTTTGCCATGTTGGCCAGGCTGGTCTTGAACTCCCGACCTCAAGTGATCCACCTGCCTCAGCCTCCCAAAGCGCTGGGATTACAGGCGTGAGCCACTGCATGCCCCGTCAAAATGATCATTTTAAATCGTGGATTTTTCCTTTCCTTCCATCATTGCCATTTCCTGCTTTTTGTTGTATCATTAGAGTAAAGCAGGCCTGCCAGTAGAAAGTGCTATATGGGGGTTGTTGGTATTTTATATTTTTGTTAAATGATGTGAAAAAGGTGTAAAATATTTTTAAAAATGTTTGGGTTCAAAGTTTTTCTCTTCCATGGGTCACTTCTGATAGGGGAAATAACTGTGTAAAGTAAAATATGGTATCCAGAGCTGTGACTGGTGCGGGGGCCCTTGTGAGGGAGCGATGGGGAAGCATGCAGGTTGTTAACAGGCACATGTAGAGATGCATGGCTGTCTGCGTAGAATAGGCCTGGCTGCATCAGCATTGGCTAGTTACCAATCTGGCCATTCTAGGTTCCAATATCTTAATGACCGTCAGTCCCTGGGGACTCACAGTGGGGGTTTAATGAAGAAAACAGAAGGAATGGTTGTGGTACCTCAACACTCTGCCTCCACTGATAGCTACAGACAGCCGAGGCCCTTTTCGGCACCAGGTGAGTCGGGGTGAGTCAGGCTCCTGCAAGTCGTAGGTGTTGCTTCCGTGCTGAGATCACGTTCTTTGTTTTGTTTTGTGCCCGTGGCTTGTTGTCCAGCTGTGGGGAACAGACCCTTACACTTGGATGTGGTCGTTATTATGTTGTGGAAGAGCAGTGCCTTCCTCTTAAAGTGCCTTCCTCCCTTAAAACCGTGGCATGCACACTTAACGGTTTTAAGGAATTACATTTTGATAAACCGTGGCATGCACACTTACTGTTTTAAGGAATTACATTTTGATAAACCGTGGCATGCACACTTACTGTTTTAAGGAATTACATTTTGATAAACCGTGGCATGCACACTTACGGTTTTAAGGAATTACATTTTGATAAACCGTGGCATGCACACTTACTGTTTTAAGGAATTACATTTTGATAAACTGTGGCATGCACACTTCCTGTTTTAAGGAATTACATTTTGATAAACCGTGGCATGCACACTTAACGGTTTTAAGGAATTACATTTTGATAAACCGTGGCATGCACACTTACTGTTTTAAGGAATTACATTTTGATAAACCGTGGCGTGCACACTTAACGGTTTTAAGGAATTACATTTTGATAAACCGTGGCATGCACACTTACTGTTTTAAGGAATTACATTTTGATAAACCGTGGCATGCACACTTACGGTTTTAAGGAATTACATTTTGATAAACTGTGGCATGCGCACTTACTGTTTTATTCTATCGTTTGCTTATTTTTTTTTTCTGAAAGGAAAATAAAGCAGTGATTTCAGTGCAGTGTCTGATTTTCTGTAAGGAACATGAGAAAAGTGAGTCCAAAGAGCATTACATAAGCTAGCGTGGTATTCAGTGCGTATCTGAGCGGACACGGACGGGGAGTCCTCGAGCTTTGGAGAGGAAGCAGGCGGCAGGGCCTCCAGCACACCTGGGGGGCGGCCAACCAGCCCGGCCAGGCCGAGCGCTCCCCGCCTGCACAGTTGCACTCATGTCGGGCCTGAGCTGAGTCGTCCCGACAGGATACCTGCGTGGGCCGTGTAGACACAACCCAGGGAGCTCCAGAGTTAATGACCCTCCTGGTTCAGAAGCTCCGTATGTTTTGTGTGAGAAGCGCTGAGCTGTGACGGAGGGAATGCGGTGGGTCTTCCTGATGGTGCGTGCAGTTCTGAGCCTGGCGGGGTCAGCGGCATGGAACCAGTGGGACGTGGTAAGGCCAGGCCTGTGGGCGGTTGCCCTGTGTGGGCCGGGCCAGCTTGAAGTCCGCTGAGGGCTGGAGCCAGCCCCTGACCCTGGCCAGCCTGCTTGCTGCAGGAGTGATAAGAAAGTCGACTCATGCTTTGTTCTCAAGCACTTGACTCAGCAGGCCCGTGGGAAGCAGCCCACACGAGAGGCCCTGACCCACGTCCAGCTGCCTCCACGGAAGCCGCGGCTTCGTGGCTTTCTGTCGTTTGTGTGGGCTCTGCATTCAGCCAGCAGAGGCACTTCTTGCAGAGCAGGGCTGAGGAGAATTCCTTTCTCTGGAAGCTGTGGTCCTGTGTTATGTAGAATAGGTCACTTTTCAGCTGCAGCTGGAGTCTAAACGAGCGTCATAGGTGCCCAGCGCTGCACGGCGGCGCAGCGCTGCATTCGTGGTCCCGAATCCGGGGTCTGCGGAGGAAGAACGCGCGGCGAGGCCCGGGGAGGCTGCTGGGACGGCGGCAGGCACCCTGCTCCTGGAATGGCGTTTAGACATGCAGGTTTCTCCATGATTTAATAGGAAGGAATGAAAGGTGCAGCGTTTTGCCAGCTGATGAAAATATCTGGGGAGCGAGTCATAGGTAGCGGTAGCAAGAAGGAGAGGGTTAGGTTCTCCAGTGTGCAGGCTCCGAAGTGCTCTCTGCCAGCCGTCAGAGGGCTGCAGTTTGGAGGCAGCTCCCGCTTGCTCTAAAGAGCCACTTCCCCGCTCCGTTCTGTCTGCAGACGGCCCCAGAGGGCAAGGACTCCTGGTGACAAGAGGAGTATCAGACGAAGGCAGGGGAGGGAGGCTGTGTGCGCGCACCTGTAATCCTGGGAGATTTCCACTGCAATCCGCAGGCATGCGTGGCAGGCGGCTCATTTCCCGTGGGGCTCAGGCGGCTCATTTCCCGTGGGGCCCAGGCGGCTGTCCTTGGTGGGCGCTTGACTCCTGGGCGTGGCTTCTGTCCAGCATCCAGGCTGCCAGGAGCCTCCGGGGGCCGTGCAAACACCTGCGAGCACCTTCTTGGTCCCTTGAGGCCTTTCTCTGTTGGCTTAGGTTTAGTGCCCTTTTGTGCTTATGTGTTTTTTGAATCAAGTTTTTATACTTGATTTAACTTCTATAAAAAGAAACAACCTTTGCACATGAAGAAAATCTACCTGTGGCCATATGACAAGCACCGGCAAATCTGGAAATGACCTATTAAGAGACAGGTGTTTCATGAATACCGCTGCGTGCTAAGTACTAAGTGCTCTCACGCCCCAAGGCAGGGTGTGAACCGCAGAGACCATGTGCTTGCCCTGGGGGGCTGGCACCCTTGTCTTCAGGAAAGATGATTTAAGAAGTAAAGTAATATGATGAAAAGCTGCGGAAAGAGAAGGCATACACGGGGCTACAAGGTGGAGAAATAAGGCATACACGGGGCTACAAGGTGCGGAGAGGAGGGATTTGAAATTGAATAGGAGCCATGGCAGGCGAGGCGCCAAGAGAATGGGGTCATTGCCTGAAATGCCACTGGAGCCGAGAGATGAGCTGAGCCCACGTCCACAGAAGCCCATTCCCAGTGGGAGGAACAGCGTCTGCGCGGCCCTGAGGTGGTGCACCCAGCATGTCCAGGAACAGCAGGTCGGCCAGGGCTGGAGGGCCGAAGGCAAGAGGGGACTGGTGAATGCCAGGGCAGCGGGGGAACTGCATGGGAAGAAGCCTTGGAGGCTCTGTGTGTCAGAGCGGCTGGAAGGGCCACGGGCCAGACCCATGGAGGGACAGTGTGGGAGAGCCACGGAGGGGCCATGTGACAGAGAGCTGTAGCAGACAGGGTGATGGACATCCATGGAGGGACAGTGTGTGGCAGCCGTGGAGGGACAGTGTGACATCCGTGGAGGGACAGTGGCAGCCGTGGAGGGACAGTGTGACGGCTGTGGAGGGACAGTGTGACATCCATGGAGGGACAGTGGCAGCCATAGAGGGACAGTGTGACGGCCATGGAGGGACAGTGTGACATCCATGGAGGGACAGTGGCAGCCGTGGAGGGACAGTGTGTGATGGCTGTGGAGAGACAGTGTGACATCTGTGGAGGGACAGTGTGACGGCCGTGGAGGGACAGTGTGACATCCGTGGAGGGACAGTGTGACGGCCGTGGAGGGACAGTGTGACATCCGTGGAGGGACAGTGTGACGGCCGTGGAGGGACAGTGTGACATCCGTGGAGGGACAGTGTGACGGCCGTGGAGGGACAGTGGCAGCCGTGGAGGGGCCGTGCACAGTGAGTGGTGAGCGAGTTGGGACGCGAAGGCTGCTCTGTGCTGCTGGGATTGCTGGTGTCAGCGCCCACTGCAGAGTCCTGTGCTGCGGCTCATGTACTGCTGTGCGGGTCGTGCACTGCTCGCTCCTGGACACCTGCACAGGGTGCTCCTGATGGAGTCACTTTTCAGTGTGTTGACTTTCACGTCGATGACAGGCAGCTTTTTCTCATTCTCACCATGGGATCCTATGGGGCTGTGGCCCTGGGTCAGGAGTGCCCTGGAGGGTGGCACATGGCCGGGTGGAGTTGGATGGGCTCCCTTCCCGCAGCTGCCTGTGGAAACCAGCACGTTGGCAGGAGGGGAGGGTGGTGCCCGAGCCTGTGGGTGTGGCCGCTGGGGACTGGGTGTGGGGACAGGAGTCTGTGGAATGCGGTGCTTCCTCCTGACTGTGGGGCTGGAGGAGCAGCGGTGGGTCGAGGGTGGTTTAGTCCACCCAGGGGGTCCTGTGGCCCCGCTCTGCTGGTGCCTGTCGAAGGGGCAGCTGCAGTCGAATCACCACGCTGCTCCAAGGGAGTCTCCCAAGGGCTCCAAGGGATGGAGCGTCCGTAGATGCCCGGAGGAGTTGCGGTGGGCGGGGGGCGCGTTGTGTCCAAGGCTGTGTCGAGGGTCATGTGCAGCCGCCCTTGCTGTGGACAGAGAGACAGGCAGAGGCAGAGACAGAGACAGAGGGAGAGAGAGACAGAGACAGGCAGAGACAGAGACAGAGACAGAGGCAGAGGCAGAGACAGAGAGAGGCAGAGGCAGAGACAGAGAGAGACAGAGGCAGACAGAGGCAGAGACAGAGACAGAGGCAGAGACAGAGGCAGAGAGAGACACAGGCAGAGGCAGAGACACAGGCAGAGACAGAGACAGAGGTAGAGAGACACAGAGGCAGAGGCAGAGACAGAGAGAGACAGAGGCAGAGACAGAGGCAGAGACAGAGACAGAGACAGGCAGAGGCAGAGACAGAGGCAGAGAGAGACAGAGGCAGAGGCAGAGACAGAGAGAGACAGAGGCAGAGACAGAGGCAGAGACAGAGACAGAGAGACAGGCAGAGGCAGAGACAGAGGCAGAGAGAGACAGAGGCAGAGGCAGAGGCAGAGACAGAGACAGAGGCAGAGACAGAGGCAGAGACAGAGAGAGACAGAGGCAGAGGCAGAGACAGAGGCAGAGAGAGAGGCAGAGGCAGAGACAGAGGCAGAGAGAGACAGAGGCAGAGGCAGAGACAGAGAGACAGAGGCAGACGCAGAGACAGAGAGACAGACAGAGGCAGAGACAGAGGCAGAGACAGAAGCAGAGACAGAGGCAGAGGCAGATACAGAGGCAGAGAGAGACAGAGACAGAGGCAGAGACAGGCAGAGAGAGACAGAGGCAGAGACAGGCAGAGAGAGACAGAGACAGAGGCAGAGAGAGACAGAGACAGAGGCAGAGAGACAGAGACAGAGGCAGAGAGACAGAGACAGAGGCAGAGAGAGACAGAGGCAGAGGCAGAGACAGAAGCAGAGACAGAGGCAGAGACAGAAGCAGAGGGAGGCAGAGACAGAAGCAGAGACAGAGGCAGAGGCAGAAGCAGAGGGATGCAGAGGGAGACAAAGACAGAGGCCGAGACAGAGGCAGAGGCAGAGACAGAGGTAGAGACAGAAGCAGAGACAGAGGCAGAGACAGAAGCAGAGGGAGACAGAGACAGAGGCAGAGACAGAGGCAGAGAGAGACAGAGGCAGAGACAGAGGCAGGTGCAGCGACAGGGGCAGAGACAGAGACAGAGGCAGAGACAGAGACAGAGACAGAGGCAGGGGCAGAGACAGGGGCAGAGGCAGGGGCAGAGACAGGGGCAGGCTACAGCCCGGGGCCTTCAGCCGCTGCCACTGCATCCGCCCCAAGCACGGCCCTCACGGCTGCCTCTGGCTCTTCTTTGGCGCCCTGTTACCGCCTCCAAGCCCCCACCCCCAGGATGCTCACCATGCTCTCTGGTCTCTTCCCAGCCCTGGGTCAGCCCCCTTTCCATGCCAGGCCCCGGGCAGTCCCCAGGCCGCTGCTGCCCTCATGCCCGGCCCAGCTTGTTTCCTGAACCCTTTCCAGCAAGCATCTCCTTTCCTGCAGATCCCGGCCCCACTGCCTTCTTTAGGAAGCCCTCCTGGCCGCTGACCCCCATCCCCAGCTCCCTGTGCTGCTTCCCTGGGAGGGAGTCTTAGCTGGCACTGTGCACCTCAGCCTCCATTGCGACCATGACCCCTCCCCAAGTGTACGGCACACAGCATTGTTGGGGAGCCGTGTCGGGGCTGCTGGGAGCCCCCCAATGACCACTCCTGCTCGGGGGCACTAGAGGAGAGGAGACAAGCAGACACATGCAGCTCCAGCCCTCCCGGGGAAGGGTAAGCAGGGCTGGGCTGCCTGCTGCGACTGCAGAGGCCTGGGGCACGCAGCTGTCTGGACACCACCCTCACCCATCGGGGTGGACTCTCATGGCACGGACAGTTCTGCCTGGGCAAGTGGATACTGTGGTGGCCGGTCCGGGGCTGCTTGTCCCCTCCCCAGCATGTGGCGCAGAGAGGGTCACACCTGCTTGGGGCCCAGGCGGGTTGATTCTGACCCGGTTAGCTCGTGACTGACTGTGTTATAAAGCCCTTGCGAGACTGAATGCATTTGCTTCTCTTTTCACTGTTTTTTCTTTTCTGGGAGCGTGCAGAGGAGGGGAGAAGATCCCACGGAGACGGTCTCAGTCCGAGGTGAGCAGAGCGTAATGGTGAGAAGGTAGCAGAGCTGGAGACACAGGCCCAGGGAGGACCCTGGAGAGAGGGGCTGCTGGGTGCCATGCGCCCTGAGACTCAGTCACAGCTGCGCTCTGAGGCCAAATCCAGATGGTCACAAAACACAAACCCAGGACAGTGGGGTTCTCCCGAGTCTTAGAGAAGAAGGTCTTTCCTCCCTCCTTCCCTCCCTCTGTCCGTCCATCCATCCCCTTTCCGTAAGCATTGAGTGTCCTCACAGACCTCTGGAAACATTCAGTGGAAAGGACTGGCGTGTTTGGCTTGCTGCGGTGTTTGGTTGAGTTAACCATGACATTCCAGAAGGACTCCTGCCGTAGACTTTGCGTCCTTTTACGTTTCCTCCTCGTGGATTTATGTCTTGAGTTGGAACCTTATGAATGTGAAATCAATCGGGTGCAGAATGCCGGGGCCACAGGGGTTTCCTGGCTCCCGTGGTGCATCAGGGGTGGGATGTCCAGAGACCGCGCAGCCTTGGACACCGGCCACCCAGCAGCCGGCTCCCGGCCCCAAGCTCCCGGGGTCTGTCCGCGGGGCCACTTCACCCCCAGGTGGGAGGATGGAGGAAATGGCCCCTGCATCATTCGCCAAGCGGGTCCGCCACAACGCTCTGAGCTCGGCTCGGTCGGGGAGTGCTGGGCGCTGATGGCCCCCGGCCCGTGTCTGCCAAGGCACTGGGACATCCCACGCTCCTGCATTCTGTGGCGCAGACACAGGATGTGGGTGGTTCAGCCTGCCGCCCCCACCTTTGCAGGGCCATGGAGGCCGGAGGAGTGGACGATAGGAAACCGACCAGGGGGCCCAGGATGCTCGAGGCCCGAGTGCCGGACAGGGCTGAGCAGTAAGTGAAGAGCGGGGCACTTCACAGGCACAGAGCCTGTCCCTGCCCCAGGTGCATCTCTGAAACCACGCGGCAGCCCTGTGAGTCGGTGCCGTCCCTGTGCAGCTGAGGCCGTGGGGGTACAGGCAGGTCAAGGGCCTGTGTGGCTGGGAAGTGCTGGGCTGGGGCAGATGCAGACAGGCTCCCGGCACAGGCTTCAGCCCTGCCGCCCCTGCAGCTGTTTCCCAGGTAGAGGCCCTGGGTCATGGTGACTTCCTCCCACGCAGGAGTCAGCATGACAGCTCATGCTAGCACGCTCATGCCGTCCCGAAGCACTGACTGTGGAATGGTGCCTGTGGAACGTCCCTGGGTCTTCGGCCAGCGTCCTTCCCACCCTGCTGCTGGATGGGCTCCCCTGACCTCCTTTTGCAGGCCTGGGCACACGGTGAACGGCACAGACAGCACAATTGCAGCACAGGTGCGGGTGTGTCCCCACAGTCACGCTGAACAGCGTCAGGGAGCGCAGTGGCTGTGCTGTGTGTAAACACTTATAGAAGGTGGGGCTGCGGCCTGACGCACACGGCATGAAACGGTCCTTCAGCCTCGGTGTCTCTGGGCTCCCTCTCTGACTGAATGCATCATCTTTTTGTTTAAAACCACAATCCAGGCCAGGCGCCGTGGCTCACACCTGTAATCCCGGCACTTTGGGAGGCCGAGGCGGGCAGATCACGAGCTCAGGAGATCGAGACCATCCTGGCCAACATGGTGAAACCCCGTCTCTATTAAAAATACAAAAAATTAGCCAGGCGTGGTGGCAGGTGCCTGAAGTCCCAGCTACTCGGGAGGCTGAGGCAGGAGAATGGCGTGAACCCGGGAGGCAGAGCTTGCAGTGAGCCGAGATTGTGCTACTGCATTCCAGCCTGGGCGACAGAGCAAGACTCTGCCATGGAAAAAAAAAAAAGAAAAAAAAAAACACAATCCAAATGCACAATGAAATCTTTCATTAAGATGCTTAAATTGGAAAATGACAGCAATCATGAAACAAAGCCTGCAGCCCAGGCAGGTATGAGCTCATGCTGCACGCTCCTGGGGATAGAGTGTTTTGAAAGCGGAGTCTTCTGCTCTGCCCCCAGGGTCCATCTCACCTGCACCAGGGCAGGGAGAGTGAGCCCCAGCCCAGCCCCACCATTGAAAACGATGCCGGTGAGGTCCAGGTGAGTCACCTGTGGGGAGTTGCCAGCCACGTGGGCTGACGCCGGTGGAAGACTGCACACAGAAGACAGGCTCTAGACCCCCGGGCTTCAGGGGGTGGGATGTTTTGTGTGGCCTGGAGGTTCTAGGGACACAGATACTTCTCACAGCAGGTCGGAGTTGGGGGAGCAGGCTGTGGGGGGGAGAAGCGCATGCTGCCGTGGGCTGTGTAGGGAGCACAGGCAGCTCTGAGTCCAGAAACAAAGGCGTGGTTTCTGTGTCAGCCCCTGATATGGTTTGGCTGTGTCCCCACCCAAATCTCAACTTGAATTGTATCTCCCAGAATTCCCATGTGTTGTGGGAGGGACCCAAGGGGAGGTAACCGAATCATCAGGGCTGGTCTTTCCCGTGATATTCTCCTGATAGTGAATAAGTCTCACGAGATCTGATGGGTTTATCAGGGGTTTCCACTTTTGCTTCTTCCTCATTTTCTCTTGCCGCCGCCACGTAAGAAGTGCCTTTCACCTCCCACAATGATTCTGAGGCCTCCCCAGCCATGTGGAACTATAAGTCCAATTAAAGCTCTTTTTGTTTCCAGTCTCAGATACATCTTTATCAGCAGCGTGAAAGTGGACTGATACAGCCTCATAGAAATTTTCCTTCTTAGGAATGCAGTTTTTAAGGGACACTAATTTGGAAGGAAATTTTTGGAGTTTACAGTCTGCCTGAGACTTGTGTATGGGTCAGGATGCCGGTGGTAGGGCAAGGCCTGGGCCAGAATCTGACAGTTGCTTCCCAGAGCCAGGGGCTGCTGTGCGCTGTGCGGAGCCGCAGGACGGTCGGGGGCATGCTCTCTGCACAGGGCTGCCCTGCAGACTTGCAGAGCTGATGCAGGCAGACGCCATGGTCGGTGCTGGGTGAAGTGTGAGCTGTCACCCTTAAAAAGGGCCAGGCATAGAAAGGAGTAATGCCCAGTGTTGTTCATCTTTCCGTTGGTCCTAAGATTATCAGTGGAAAAATGAGAAATCAATTTGACTCATTTTTATGCATTTTTGTAGAGAAACAAATAGCATGAATGAGATTTACACAGTGTGGTTTAAAAAATGGAGAGTAAACAACAGGGCTTAAGGAAACAGAATTCTCGGAAGACACACAAAGCCACGTGGCTGTTAGGTAGAGCGTGCTGGTGTTGTGTTCATTCTTGAACAGACGCGGCAGGCGTACAGCTGGCCTTGTCTAGGGCGGGAAGGGGGAAGAGTGTGCTTCTGGCCCTGCCACTTGCTCACCACCTTTGAGAACAGAGCGTGGGTTACCAGGGGAGGGCGCTGATTTTCTCTGAAGCCCGAGGCTGCCTGGCTCCTCGGCTGCGTCGTATTACTAATGTTGGGCAGGTGAATCTGTGACCTTTGTTTCTTCAGCAGTTGAGAAACTGAGGGATACCACGTTCCTCATGGTGAGTCAAGGTGGTGAGGACTCGGGGTCGTGGGGACACTGCTCCTCACTCTCACAGGTGCTCTAGGTTTCCTCACAGGTGCTCACAGTTTCCTCCTCTGTCTCCCCTCAGGACTGCAGAGTTCAAAGGGGTTTATTCATTGTCTCCTCCATAGAGTTCAGGGCGTTTATTCATTGTCTCCTCTTCGTATGGTGGATGCGTCTTTGTCTGTCCTGTTCCCCGAGGTCCTGGTGCACCGTGGAAGGAACAGACCTTGGGCTGGGATCCACCGGGGGTGCCGGGGGTGCCTGGTGCCTTCCTTTCTCTAACAGGCCTGGACTCCATCTCCAGCGATCCTGATGCGTGAGGTGGCATTGGCCCTGGTGCCAGCGTCCCAGGGAAAGATGACATCAACCTAAACTCTTGAGGACTCATAGCTGTATTGGAGCATTGTTAATTTTCTTTGTTGGGAGATGCTCCAGCCATGGAACGTACTCTTCTTCCATCCGTCTCTGAGGCTGCAGAGTCATCCAGGCCAGGCTGACGAATGAAGGAGTCTTCTCCTTCCCACAGCCACCCGGCACCCGCCCAGCCTGGGGAGAAGCCATCCCTTTCTCTGCACTCAGGGCAGCAGTCAGCGTCTGGTCCTGCTGCTGTGTGCACGCCGGAGGCAGTCCTCTTCAGACCTCATGTGTTCATTCCTTCAAAGAGCCACGCACTCTTCAGCACAGTTGGTGTTGGCTGAATATTTTTGACTGAGGCTAAAGGGTCATTTTGGGTTTTGTCAGGGTCTCAGAGCCAGTGTGGTCCTCTCTGTCCATGGGATCCGATTGTCGGAAGCATTGATGCCATCTGGCGTGGAGGCCGTCCACCGTGGGGACTGTGCAGCGTGGGGGCCATCTGGCATGGGGGCTGTCTGATGTGGGGGACATCCAGCTTGGAAGCTGTCTGGCGTGGATGCCGTCCAGTGTGGTTGCTGTCTGGCATGGAAGCTGTCTGGTGTGGGGACTGTCCAGCGTGGAAGGTGTCTGGAGTGGAAGGTGTTTGATGTGGGGACCATCCAGTGTGGGGCTGTCTGGTGTGGGGGCCATCTGGCATGGAAGCTGTCTGGCGTGGGGACTCTCTGGCGTGGGGGCCATCTGGCGTGGATGCCGTCCGATGTGGGGACTGTCCAGCGTGGAAGCTGTCTGGTGTGGAAGCTGTCCGATATGGGGACTGTCTGGTGTGGAAGCTGTCTGGTGTGGGGAGTGTCTGGTGTGGGGACTGTCTGGTGTGGAAACTGTCTGGTATGGGGACTGTCCGGTGTGGGGACAGTCTGGTGTGGGGACTGTCTGATGTGGGGACTGTTTTGTGTGGGGACTGCCTGGTGTGGAAGCTGTCTGGTGTGGGGACTGTCCGCTGTGGGTACTGTCTGGTGTGGAAGCTGTCTGGTGTGGGTACTGTCCGGTGTGGGGACTGTCTGGTGTGGGGACTGTCTGGTGTAGGGACTGTCTGGTGTGGGGACTGTCTGGTGTGGAAGCTGTCTGGTGTGGGACTGTCTGCTGTGGGGACTGTCTGCTGTGGAAGCTGTCTGGTGTGGGGAGTGTCTGGTGTGGAAGCTGTCTGGTGTGGGGACTGTCTGGTGTGGAAACTGTCTGGTGTGGGGACTGTCCGGTGTGGAAGCTGTCCGATATGGGGACTGTCTGGTGTGGAAGCTGTCTGGTGTGGGGAGTGTCTGGTGTGGAAGCTGTCTGGTGTGGGACTGTCTGCTGTGGGGACTGTCTGGTGTGGAAGCTGTCTGGTGTGGGGACTGTCCGCTGTGGGTACTGTCTGGTGTGGAAACTGGTGTGGGGACTGTCCGGTGTGGGGACTGTCTGGTGTGGGGACTGTCCGGTGTGGAAGC
The DNA here is from genome assembly GCF_000001405.40 of Homo sapiens. Lineage (NCBI taxonomy): Eukaryota > Metazoa > Chordata > Mammalia > Primates > Hominidae > Homo > Homo sapiens. Next base: position 23,115 of record NT_187576.1, read on the forward strand.
TGTCTGGTGTGGAAGCTGTCTGGTGTGGGGACTGTCTGGTGTGGGTACTGTCTGGTGTGGGGACTGTCTTGTGTGGAAGCTGTCTGGTGTGGGGACTGTCTGGTGTGGAAGCTGTCTGGTGTGGGGACTGTCTGGTGTGGAAACTGTCTGGTGTGGGGACTGTCCGGTGTGGGGACTGTCCGGTGTGGGGACTGTCTGGTGTGGGGACTGTCCGGTGTGGAAGCTGTCTGGTGTGGAAGCTGTCTGGTGTGGGGACTGTCTGGTGTGGAAGCTGTCCGATATGGGGACTGTCCTGTGTGGAAGCTGTCCGATATGGGGACTGTCTGGTGTGGAAGCTGTCTGGTGTGGGGACTGTCCGGTGTGGAATCTGTCCGGTGTGGGGACTGTCCTGTGTGGAAGCTGTCTGGTGTGGGGACTGTCCGGTGTGCAAGCTGTCCGATATGGGGACTGTCTGGTGTGGAAGCTGTCCGATATGGGGACTGTCTGGTGTGGAAGCTGTCTGGTGTGGGGACTGTCCGGTGTGGAATCTGTCCGGTGTGGGGACTGTCCTGTGTGGAAGCTGTCTGGTGTGGGGACTGTCTGGTGTGGAAGCTGTCCGATATGGGGACTGTCTGGTGTGGAAGCTGTCCGATATGGGGACTGTCTGGTGTGGAAGCTGTCTGGTGTGGGGACTGTCTGGTGTGGAAGCTGTCCGGTGTGGGGACTGTCCGGTGTGGAAGCTGTCCGGTGTGGGTACTGTCCTGTGTGGAAGCTGTCCGGTGTGGGGACTGTCCGGTGTGGAATCTGTCCGGTGTGGGGACTGTCCGGTGTGGAAGCTGTCTGATATGGGGACTGTCTGGTGTGGAAGCTGTCCGATATGGGGACTGTCTGATGTGGAAGCTGTCTGGTTTGGGGACTGTCCGACGTGGGGACTGTCCGGTGTGGGGACTGTCCATTGTTTGCTGCACTTGTCTTTGAGGTTTCCTCCCATGAGCGTCATTCCCTACATTCACTGTTGTGGTCCAAGCATGTCTGTCTGACCTTAACTTGGATATGACAGCTTTCCCTCCAAGGATAACATCCTTTGTCATCCTGTGGAATCACTGCTGGGCTGGAGAGGGTAGGCACCTCCCGCCTCACGGGTGCTGCTGGGGTGGAGAGGGTGGGCCCCTACCGCCTCACGGGTGCGCTGGCCGGCACTCGGACCCTGTCTTGCTGCACAGAAAGCTCACCTGCAAGGGCACCCGATGTGGATCCTGTGACTCCCCACATATTCCAGGTGGAGCGATGACCTCACTTGCCCCCTCTCCCGGCCGGTGGGTGGAAGGGCAAGGACATGCCGTCGGGGCCTAGGCTGGGCTCTGGGTGCTCGCATCAGCCACCCGCCCTCAGCTGTAGCCTTCGCGTCAGCCAGCTGCCCTCTGCTGTAGCCTTGGGTGAGTGTCTCAAGTCTCCCAACCAGTGGTTTCTCCATTGAAAAATAATAACAGTACCTACGTCTTGGAGTTGCGCTGGCGAGGTGGACCTAAAAGGAAAAAGCTAGGGTAAAAGTAATCTATGTAGAAGGTTATTTGGGTCACGTGTGAGGCCTGCAGCCCAGGAGCCTGGATTCAGGCTGCCCTGAACGCACACTGATGAGCAGCGCCTCCAGGGCGATTTTGGAAAGCAGAAAGGGGGTCAGAGAGGCGGATGGAAAGCTGTTTGTCAGGAATTCTCATTAGTTTATGGAAACCATTGGTTTATTGATTAGTGATGCCTGTGCATTGTTAAGCTACAGAGTGTGTTACGGTGTCCAGAGCAGCATCACCAGGCTCTTTCCCAGCTACCGGGGGCCACAGTGGGCCATGTTGAGTGAACACGCGGCTCCCTGGGGGCAGGGAGTAGGGAGCAGGGCGTGGTTGTGGCTCGTCTGCTCATCTCTCGGGGCCTGATGATGTGAAAGGGCTCCCATCCCTCAAACCGAAGTTCCGCTCTTTTCTCAGCAGTCGTGTTAACAGATGAGACAATCGCAGCTGCTGCTCGTGGGGAGCCCCAGTGCGTGTTGAGCTACTCGTGTGCCATGTTGGTGAAATGACCTGAAACCTAGGAACTGGGGCCGCGGCGGGAACTGGGGCCGCGACGGGAACTGGGGCCGCGGCGGGAACTGGGGCCGCGGCGGGAACTGGGGCCGCGGCGGGAACTGGGGCCGCGGCGGGAACTGGGGCCGCGGCGGGAACTGGGGCCGCGACCGGAACTGGGGCCGCGACCGGAACTGGGGCCGCGGCGGGAACTGGGGCCGCGGCGGGAACTGGGGCCGCGGCGGGAACTGGGGCCGCGGCGGGAACTGGGGCCGCGGCGGGAACTGGGGCCGCGGCGGGAACTGGGGCCGCGAGGCGCCGAACCACGAGGCCAGGTGCTGGGGATGGGGCGGGGGTGGTGGCACGTGGCAGGCACCTGAGCAAGTCTGGGGGATGGAGGGAGAGCAGGTTCAGGGCTGGGAATACAGGAAGGCAGAAGGGCGGGCACTGGGCTGGGAATACAGGAGGTGCCGCATCTGAGGTTGGGGGCAGGGTCCCACTGCCATCCTCATTGGAAAGTAGTGTCTGTCTGCTTCTGAGAGTGCCAGAGCCAGTGGCCAGCTCTCTGCACTAGGATAAGGGAATTCGCCGGCCTGGTGGCGTCCTGGGTGTGTGTCAGGCAGAGCCTGGAGCTCTTGGCAGCCTGCCATCCCCTCGCGTTCCCCTCATTGAATAGTACGTGAGGCCGGTGACCACCCTGGGCATGGGCCCGCCTGGCCTCGGAGGAGCTGGCCTGTGGGTGACACTCAGGGACCATGCCCCCTGTGGTCCCATGTGCTTTTCCTGATGCGGCGAGGGCCTGGAGCTGGTGCCTGGTCCCCGGTGCTAGAGCCTGGTCCCTGGCACTGGAGCCGAGGCAGCTGGAGAGTTCCCTGAGGACAGCTTATTTCACCCTGGATGGCTCTGGCGGGAGCCAGGCCCGTGTTTTGTGGTCTTAACACGAGTCACCAGGAACTGGCCTTCCCGGGACTCGCTGGCATCTAGCTCACACTCAAACTGGTGTCCTCGAAGCAGGGAGGGAAACACGAAGTGTAGACAAGAATCACAACAGCAGGCAGGCCGGGACCCAGCCTCGCCCCGAGAGGTTAGCCACATGCTTACCAAAAGGAGTGGAGAGGGCCCTAAGCACCACGCCTAATCCCAGCTAAGTCTGGAAGAAAAAGGAGTGGAGAGGGCCGTCAGCGCCGCACCTGATCCCAGCTAAGTCTGGAAGAAACCCATTTGGTTTACATGTTGACTTCTCCCTTTAGAATACAGTGGGAAATTCAGCAAGGAGTTAAAGCCAGTGTCATTTTGGGAGGGCCTGGCTGGCGAATCCAATTTGCAAAATAAACTTCTGGCTACATTTCAAGGTGAAGTCACTCCAACACTGAGAAGTCTCTTTTGTTTTGCTCTTGAATGTTGTTTCAAGGGAGATTTACAAGTATTCATGACTAATAGGTGGTGAGTCTTCTAATTATGGCTAGTAATGACAGTTAGCTCTTCCTTTTTGCGGGGTTCTCTGTCGACAGCCCTACACCTATTGAGTGCATGTTTATCCACCTGAACGGTGACAAGCAGTGTCTCTCCTTCTTGCAGGAGCTCCTTCCCTTAACAGAGCTGAGAGAGGCATCTGGAGCTGCAGCATGGACCAGCGAGAGCCCCTGCCTCCCGCTCCTGCAGGTAACAGCACTCAGTAGGTGGGCCTGTGGGTCAGGTTGTGCTGCTGCTCTCATCAAGGACGGGGTACTTCTGGAACCACTGAATTGCTGGTCACTGGGGTATGGGGTGGAGTGAGAGCTTCTTGGGAGAAAGAGAAGGTTCTGACGTGAGCCTGGGTGCCCCCATCCTTGCCTTGCCACGGGGGCATCCTGGGTGAGCCTCTTGCGTTCCTCACAGGTGCTGCTGTATTGCTCTTGGGGACCTATGGTCAGCATCTGAAATTCCCTTAAGATTCCCCTTAGCCTGATGCAATCGGAGATGGAGCGGGAGGGTTGTTACAGAATGGCGCCTTCCAGTGTTGAAGGCCTCGCTCAGGCTTAAAGCTCAGCTCGCCCATGGCGGGTGCTCGCCCAGTTTCCTTTTCTGCCTCCCTCCTCTGAGCGGCCGCTCAGGGACAAGCACGCCCTCTCTATCCATATGCTCCAATAAGGGAGGGCCTGCTGATGAAAGATTTATCTTCATTGTCACCTCACCTGAGTTAAATTGTTGCCAAAAAGACTATGCCAGGGTTGCCAGCTCGCGCTCCGGCCAGTGGAGAAGGTGGACACTGACCGACGTTTCCATGGCAGGTCGTCTGCAGGGCCTGGAGACCTGGCCTAGGTCCTCCCGGGGCCTGCCGGACCACATGTTGCACATGGGCCTGGTGTCCGTTGCAGGTCTGGGGGGTGATGGAGCTGTGGAGGTCACGGAATTAACTGTGTGGGCTCCAGGCCCCTTGGCACTGTGGGTGTGGGTCTTGGGAGATGCTGGGATTTGGTCGTCTGTGCCCCCCAACTACGTGGACACTCTGGGCCCTCAGAGATTGTAGCTGGATCAGAAAAGAGGCAGCCTGGAAGTCAGGCTGTTCATAAGCAAGTCAGTCACCGGGGCCTGGTAGATGACAAAGACAGGAGAATCCAGGGGTCACCGGGGCCTGGTAGATGACAGAGACGGGAGAATCCAGGGGTCACCGGGGCCTGCTGGACGACAGAGACGGGAGAATCCAGGGGTGAGCAGTGGCCACCCCAGAAACAGCCAGCGACACCACAGGGGCCAGAAGGGATGCCCACTCCTGCTGCCGGGGGTCTGCGGTGGGGAACCAGGCCTGGAAGTCCAGCTCCTGGAGTTCTCCGGAGCCGCAAGACCACGGGGTACGGGACCCGGTACCGGAAACCCGAGGCCACAGCTCCACTGCTTCTCTTCTGGGGGTGACGTCGGCCGGTCTCCTTGCCTTTTTGTCGCCATGGTGCTCGTTGTCGCCACAGTTCACTTACGTGTGGATTGCTGGCATTCAGGCTCTGCCAGACTAGGTTGTTTTAATTGAAAATGAGGTCGGGCACCTCAGCTCACACCTGTAATGCCAGCACTTTGGGAGACTGAGGTGAGTGAATCACTTGAGCCCAGGAGTTTGAGACCAGCCTGGGCAACGTAGTGAGACCCCATATCTGCAAAAAGAATAATAATGTAATAATAATTAGTTGTAATAGTTGTAATAATTAGACCCCATCTCTGCAAAAATAATGATATGATAATAATTAGTTATGCATGATGGTGCATGCCTGTAGTCCCAGCTACTCATGAGGCTGGGGTGGGAGGTTCACTTGAGCACGGGAAGTTGAGGCTGCAGTGAGCCGAGATCCTTCCACTGAACTCCAGCCTGGGTGGTGGGACTGAGACCCTGTCTAAAAAATAAAGGTGGAACATGAGGCAGAGAGCAAAATCTTTTACTGCTTTTCATTCCTATCAAATGAGATGATGCCCCAGCAGAGCAGGGCAGTGGGCGTCATCCTGTGGCCTTACCCTCCACGGGCCCACTTTGGGCGGCTGTCCCTCCAGGGGCCCCCTCCCGCCTCCCTGCTTTCTTTTTGGCATTTCTTGGAAATGAGTGGTTGTCTTGGATAGTTTTCTGTTTGAAGGGGTGAGCACCAGAGCTTGCGTGCTTTTCTGTTGCCTCCCCTCCTTCCCACACACATGTAAGATGGCACACCATTAATATGGTGCCTTGACATGCTGAGGAGGCGGGTACAGTTGTTGGGGAAAGTTAAAAATGAAAGAAAGGCCAGGAAGCTGTCTCTGCAGGTAAGCGTGGAGGACGTAGGACCCGTTCAGAATCCCGTGGCAGATGGATGCTGCCTTTCACCCTGTTTTGCCCTCTGTTTCAAAGAAGGCGGAAACACCGTTTTCTCATTAAATTTATCTCCAGCATTTGCTGACGTCGTCATCAGTCCTGGCTAGTGCCTGGCACCCTGAGGAGCTCTGCCCAGCGGTACCACCACCTGGATTGCATGAAATGCCCATCCACCCATGGTCTCCACGACCAGAACTGGCTTCTGAAGAAGGTTCCTGGGCCCATAGGACTCCACTTTGTGTGTAGTTGTGCTAATCAGAGATGTGGCCTCTGATGGAGGCAGGACTGGGGGTGCCCAGGGTTCCCTGCAGCAGGACACTCCTCTGCTGGGGCTGGGGGTGTCTCCATAGCCCCTCCCTCTGCCCAGATTTCGACCCAGGGGAGAGTATGACAGGTCCACGCCCTCTGGGTGCAGCTGGACTGGCCAGGCCGTCCTTGGGCCAAGGCTACTGGATCCAGCCTCAGGGCTGGTCACTAGCTCCAGGCTGCAGGAATGTGGAGCTCTCCACAGTTCGCCACTGTTAACATTTCACCCAGGAGGGTGTCCTCGGGAGACCCTGGCGGGAGCCCGGGAGCCGCGGAGGGGCTGAGGAGCCGCCCAGCCCTCTGGCGGGTTGGGAGCGAGGCCCCTGCCCTTGCTGACAGGCCACATGACCTTGGTCTTTGATACAGAAAGCCACCATTTAATGACAGTGCTCTGGCTTGGAAACTTAGGTGAGTTTCTAGCCAATAACTTTTACGACAAATAGAAATAGGGATAATGGCCTGGTGTCTTTTCTGAGGATTCTGTGGTACTTTAATTATAATTTCCCCCATTATTAAGTCAACCGTCCACTTAAAAGTGCCCCTGAAGATCAGGATCCAGCAGGAAGTTACTGCGACCTCATTTCTTCCCTGCGTGGGGACACAGTTGGTGCTGTTACTTTAGATCATCACTTTTCTGGTTTTTTTCCCCATATTTCTTTTCTACATAATTGTAGTCATTGAATATAAATTTTTAACTTTTTTTTTTTGAGACGGAGTCTCGCTCTCTCACCCAGGCTGGAGTGAAGTGGTGTGATCTTGGCTCACTGCAACCTCCACTTCCCGGGTTCAAGGATTCTCCTGCCTCAGTCTCCTGAGTAGCTGGGATTATAGACACCTGCCACCATGCCCAGCTAATTTTTGTATTTTTAGTAGAGACAGGGTTTCACCGTGTTGGCCAGGCTGGTCTCGAACTCCTGACCTCAAGTGATCTGCCCACGTTGGCCTCCGAAAGTGATGGGATGACAGGCGTGAGCCACCACATGTGGCCTGATTTTTAACATTTTGAGTGTAGGTTTTTATACCGCGTTAACATTTGTGTTTGTGAGTATTTTCAGGCTGCTGCTCGTTTTTCGTAAGTGTCCTCCTCAGTGGCTGCTCTTGGGGCCTCCTGGCAGGGGTGCTGTTGTGTGTTCCAGTGGAATCATTCTTTAGTCCATGCCCATTCCTCACCTTTACCAGGTCCCTGTGCCTTCTCTAGAAATGTCTTTGGCAACACGTCAGGTCATCACAAGGGGAAGTGGTGTTGGAGAGGCAGCCTGTGCACCAGGAAAGATTTCAGGCTCTGCTGCCCAGCTGCTGGGGTTCAAATGTTGACCCTGAGGTGTGTGAGCTGATGACCTAAGCAGCCTTCAATTTCTGTCATTCCTGGAAAAAACAGAACCCCTCTCATAAGTTTGGGGAGGATTTGACAAGTTAGCATTTATGAAGTACTTAGACCTAGCTGGTAAGCACTCAGCAAATCCATTCAGAAGATGATCTGGGATTTCTCAGAATGCAAAACAAGTCACACTGCCAGCTAAAGCCTTTCTCTAATTAGTAGCAAAATTCCAATGCAAATTACATTAGGGCAAAAGAAATAAGTACAATTGGCATGTTAATGTTGGTTCACAAAAAATCATTTACCAAATACCTGGTAACTTCCATAATGAGCTCAGACAGACGCCAGCACTCACACTGGCATCGTCTCTGGGGGCAGCTTTGTTTCTGGGGGCAGCATTGTTTCTGGGGGATGGCACTGTTTCTGGGGAGGCCTCCTTCAGCACAAGCAGCTACAAACCGCAGTGACACCCAGAGCCAAGAAGTGGTTATGAATAGCCTCTTGTGGCTGAAGCTGTTTGCAGCCTGGTGCTTTTTAAAGGACTTTTCTTTAAACAATAGAGCTAAAACACAAACAGCCTTCATTCAAAATAAGAGAAAATCATATCCCGAGTTAAACCTTCATATGAGAATCAAACATGCTCTTCCAAGCCCCAGGAAAAGTAACACTTAGCTTTTATCTCTGATCTTAAAAAATGAGTATTACTTTAATCTTGTTCTCAGTGTGTTAATCGTTGCATGTCTTTAAAAGTTCTTCATGGACTTGGAACAGTCAGAGCGCTGTCTGCTCACGAGGGAAGGTGGCCCGGGAATGGGTGGCCTGCTTCTCCAGGGCTGGCGGCCAGTTCTCTCCCACTCAGGGTGCTGGGACCAGAGCCACCAGGTCTTGGTAGCTTGTAGAATAAATATTTCGCTAAAGAAAACAGAAAATTGAAGTGTTCTATGCGTCTTCTTTTGCATCGTGCATATTGTATTTGTCGTCCTCTCTTCAGTATCTCTGTAAAAAGAGGTACGCGGGGTCCTCCGTCTTAGTCCTCAGGTTAAGTGGCTTTGTACGCGCCACACGGCGTTTCCTACTTGTTGCAACATGCCCCAGGGAGGGATTCTTTCCATTCTGTGATTCCTTTCTATAGACGAGGGATGGGGTCTCGTGGCCAGCAAGCAAAGTTTGAACTCAGCTCTCCGACTCCAGAAGCCGTTCTCTAATCCACGACTCTGTACTTAGCATTTCTTGTGTAGATTTGTCCGGGGGCTTCAGAATAACACAGCAGGATGGGAGATGTGCTGCGCAGCGATGGGTGTGTCGTGGTTTCTGTTTGTTGTTTATTCAGTGAATGTTGTATTCACTATTAAATGTATTCACTATGTAAATGTAGGGAAGCTACATTTCAGGTACTACAAATGACTTTACAGTTTATAATCTAAATTGGGTAATTAAAAAAATTACAATGCATGTTAATTGTAGAATAAAAACTAAAATATAGACAAGTCACGAAAAAGAAAATACTTCACCTCTGGGAGATTAGTACTGTTAAAATTTTATTGAATATTCTTCCAGTGTTTTAGAAGTAGTCTTTTTTTTTCCCCTTGAAGCAAACTTTTAAATGCCGTTAATATAAGTGATAGTATCTGCATGGTTATGTTTCAAACATTAGCAGTTTTTTTCCCTGACAAACCTAGGCAGCACTTGTTTTTATATGTATAGTTTATTTAAAGTGAGAGATTAAGTTTTTTTATTTATGGCTTTATTAAGATATAATTCATATCTTAGTACCGTTTACCTATTTAACTTGTAAAGCTCCGTGGCTTTTACTGTATTCACAAGCATGTAGGACCATCACACAGTCAGTGCTGGTCACCCCTAGACACCGCTCCCCACCCCGGGCAGAGGGTAACTAAATTTTAAACTAAACTTAGATACTTTATTTGTACCCTTTTGCTCATTAAGAAAAGAGCACTTAAAACTAACTTCAAATTAGAATAGCCAAAATCCAGAACACAGATGGTAAATGCTGAGAAGGGTGTGGGGCGGCTGCGGGGACACAGACGGCAAATGCTGAGAAGGGCGTAGGGCGGCCGTGTGGACACAGCAAATGCCGAGGAGGGCATGGGGCAGCCACGTGGACACAGACAGCAAATGCCGAGGAGGGCATGGGGCGGCCACGTGGACACAGAAGGCAAATGCCGAGGAGGGCGTGGGCCGGCCGCGTGGACACAGAGGGCAAATGCTGAGGAGGGCGTGGGGCGGCCACATGGACACAGACAGCAAATGCTGAGGGGGGCGTGGGGCAGCCACGTGGACACAGGGCAAATGCTGAGGAGGGCGTGGGGCGGCCACGTGGGCATGGACAGCAAATGCTGAGGAGGGCGTGGGGCCAGCTGCGTGGACACAGACGGCAAATGCTGAGGAGGGCGTGGGGCAGTCGTGTGGACACAGACGGCAAATGCTGAGGAGGGCGTGGGGTGGCCACGTGGGCATGGATGGCAAATGCTGAGGAGGGCATGGGGTGGCCACGTGGTCACAGACAGCAAATGCTGAGGAGGGCGTGGGGCGGCCACGTGGACATAGAGGGCAAATGCTGAGGAGGGCGTGGGCCGGCTGCGTGGACACAGGGCAAATGCTGAGGAGGGCTTGGGCGGCCACGTGGACACAGACAGCAAATGCTGAGGAGGGCGTGGGGCGACCATGTGGACACAGAGGGCAAATGCTGAGGAGGGCGTGGGCCGGCTGCGTGGACACAGAGGGCAAATGCTGAGGAGGGCGTGGGCCGGCTGCATGGACACAGAGGGCAAATGCTGAGGAGGGCGTGGGCCGGCTGCATGGACACAGAGGGCAAATGCTGAGGAGGGCGTGGGCCGGCTGCGTGGACACAGAGGGCAAATGCTGAGGAGGGCGTGGGCCGGCTGCATGGACACAGAGGGCAAATGCTGAGGAGGGTGTGGGGCGGCCACGTGGACACAGAGGGCAAATGCTGAGGAGGGCGTGGGGCGGCCACATGGGCATGGATGGCAAATGCTAAGGAGGGCGTGGGGCAGTCGCGTGGACACAGACGGCAAATGCTGAGGAGGGTGTGGGGCGGCCGCGTGGGCATGGACGGCAAATGCTGAGGAGGGCGTGGGGCAACCGTGTGGACAGACGGCAAATGCCGAGGAGGGTGTGGGGCGGCCGCGTGGGCATGGACGGCAAATGCTGAGGAGGGTGTGGGGCAACCGCGTGGACACAGACGGCAAATGCTGAGGAGGGTGTGGGGCAACCGCGTGGGCATGGACGGCAAGTGCGGAAGACGGCATGGGCCACCCGCGTGGACACAGATGGCAAATGCTGAGGAGGGCGTGGGGCAGCTGCGTGGACACAGACGGCAAATGCTGAGGAGGGCCGGGTGCTGGCGGGTGGCTAGAGGGCGTGGGGCAGCCGCGTGGGAGGGCAGTTTGGTGGCTTCTTCAAACCTGAGCACACTCTTACCGTGTGACTTGCAGCCATGCCCCGGCGTATTTATTTAAATGAGTTGAAAACTTAATGTCCACTCAATACCTGCCCATATAGGTGTTGATAGCAGCTTTATTCATAATTGCCAGAACCCAGAAGCAGCCATGATGTCCTTCAGGAGGTGAATGGATGGATAAACTGGGGCCCATTCAGACAGTGGAACATTCAGTGCTAGGAAGAAATGAGCTGCCAAGCCGTGAAAAGACATGGAGGAGCCTTAAATGCATCTTACTGAGCGAGAGAAGCCAACCTGAAAAGGCTGCGCCCGGTGCGATTCCAACCACGTGACATTCTAGAAAACAAAATTATACAGTAACAAGCTCAGGGTTGCTAGGGGTTTGCGGGGGGGAGGGGTGACAGGCGGAGCACGGGATTTTTAGGGCCACGAAATTCCTTGATAATGGTGCATCCATGTCATTACACGCCTGTCCAAACCCATAGAAGGCACAGCACCAGGAGCGAGGCCTCACGCACACCGTGGGCTTTAGTTAGCGACGTACCTCAACATCATTACACGCCTGTCCAAACCCATAGAAGGCACAGCACCAGGAGCGAGGCCTCACGCACACCGTGGGCTTTAGTTAGCGACGTACCTCAGTGTTGGCTCCTCACACAGAAGGCACAGCACCAGGAGCGAGGCCTCACGCACACCGTGGGCTTTAGTTAGTGACATACCTCATTGTTGGCTCCTCACACAGAAGGCACAGCACCAGGAGCGAGGCCTAACACACACCGTGGGCTTTAGTTAGTGACGTACCTCAGTGTTGGCTTCTCAGTTGCAACAAGTGTTCCACTCTGGCAAAGGATGGGGGATAGTGTTGGGGGAGGCTCTCTTTGGGGGTGGGGAGTATATGAGAACTCTCTGTACCTTCCTCTCAATTTTCCTGTGAACCTAAAACTGCTCTAAAAAGTTGTATCTCTTAAAAGCAACCAAACTGGGGTGGGCACGTTGGCTCTTGCCTGTAATCCCAGCACTTTGGGAGGCCGAGGCAGGAGGATCACTTGAGTTCAGGAGTTTGAGACCAGCCTGGGCAACATAGTGCCACCTCGTCTCTATTAAAAATAATAAAACTTAGCCAGGCGTGGTGGCTCATGCCTGTAGTCCTGGCTGCTTGGGAGGCTGAGGTGGGAGGATTGCTTGAGCCCAGGAGGTCAAGGCTGCAGTAAGCTGCGATCGCAATACTGCACTCCAGCGCGGGCAACAGAGCATGACTCTGTCTCAAAAAAAAAAAAAATTAATAACCAAATGGAAATGAATCTCTGCTGCAGACCATATGAAGACAGACACAAGCAGAGGGGCCCTGTGGGTGTGGGGACGGCTCTCAGGCTCAGACAGGCCGTTAGCCGTCTTGATAGCTCGAGATTCAGGCCTGCGAGGTCCACTAGGCTCAGGTGTCTACAAAACTTAGAATTGATAAGAATTAAATAACAACAACAACTGAGGCTCTTGGTCACACTGGCCACCCCAAGTGCAATAGCCATGTGTGACTTGAGCTGTCCTGCGGGCCCTCTAGAACCTCTCCATCATCCTGGAGAGGACCGGGGAGCAGCACCGTTTCTGTCCTGAGGGCCCTCTAGAACCTCTCCATCATCCTGGAGAGGACCGGGGAGCAGCACCGTTTCTGTCCTGAGGGCCCTCTAGAACCTCTCCATCATCCTGGAGAGGACCGGGGAGCAGCACCGTTTCTGTCCTGAGGGCCCTCTAGAACCTCTCCATCATCCTGGAGAGGACCGGGGAGCAGCACCGTTTCTGTCCTGAGGGCCCTCTAGAACCTCTCCATCATCCTGGAGAGGACCGGGGAGCAGCACCGTTTCTGTCCTGAGGGCCCTCTAGAACCTCTCCATCATCCTGGAGAGAACCCGGGAGCAGCACCTTTTCTAGCAGCAGCATTTCGAAGATTGGATTGTCAGGTAACTTCCTCGCCCTTTTTTGCATATAGGCATAACTTAAAATGGGCATGGTCATATTATGTCATAATGATTGGAAACGTAATGTTTCTTAAAGTTTTCTATTTCATAACTTGTTTTAGAAATGTGTGCCTTAATTGATGAGCCAATTACCTGCATACTCACAAGTGTAAAAAGTCAGGTTGGTAAGAAGTCAGTGCCACCAAGGCAGCCCCAATGGCCCTGCTGTGACGGAAACAGTCTGAATCCTGAGGCTTAAATGGCTGCTGCTGTCGGTCAGCATTAGGGGTGTCGTGTCAAGCTGCCGGTGACCCACAAGGGCTGGCCCCTGAATGCAGCAGAGCCTGCAGTTTTCCTGGGAAGTGCAGCTGTGGCCAGAGGGCAGCCTGTCCTGGGCAGGCCAGAGGAGAGGGGCAGGGGAAGAATGGTCCCCAGGTTAGATTTGGGCCGGGCGCTGGCGGGTGGTTAGATTTGGGCCGGGCACTGGCGGGTGGTTAGATTTGGGCTGGATGCCTGTGGGTCGGCACGGGCTGCACTGCCGTCTGTGTTTCCTCCTCCGTGTCATGGCCTTCATGGGTGACTCTCAGAACCTGCCGTCCTGAGTGGGCAGGAGGGGCACAGAGCCTCTCCCTAGGTGCAGCCCTGCCCAGGCCGCCCTTCCCTGCTTCCCTGCCAGCTGCCTACCCAGAGCGCCGGGCCCTTCCCGCCCACCTCCTGGGCTCCACAGGGACCAACGGGCGGAGAACACTGGGCCATGGTGTGTCCAGCGAATGACGGCTACACTGCAGATTCCCCAACAGCTTTTTGAAAGATCCATGTCGTCTCAAACTACAACACGTTGTATCTCCTGAGATGCTTTCAGCAGCCCTTGAGCATCTTTTCTAGTTTGCAAATTGTAGTTTTTCTCATCAGTGTTCTCCTTCAGCTGAATGGCTGGGTTCTGAAGCTGGGGTTTTGAGAAGCGGGAATTCCTTCTGTGGCTGCAGCAGGAGTGTTGTGGGAACCGACCCAGCCCAGCTTGCCTGGCTCCCGCCAGGGCCCTGAGGATGGCACAGGACCTTTTGTGTTGGAAAGGGCTTGGCCGAGCTTGCGGGGGAGCCTCCTGGGTTGCAGGCCGGAAGTCCCAGGTCAGGGTGCTGGCAGGCTGTGTGTGCTCCCCGGGAATGTAGGTCACAGCCTTCCTTGCCTCTTCCAGCGCCCGCCGGCTGTGGGCACTCCCGGGAGTTCCTGCAGCTGCACTGCCAGGTGGCTCCTCGTCCCTGTGCTGGCCTCTGCTGTCATGAGGACACTGCCACACTGGGTTAGCCGAGCCTGCTCTAGCACAGCCTCCTGTAAACCAATTGCACCTGCAGTCACCTGTTTGCAGACGAGCTCACCAGCAGACTGGGGGTGAGGATTTCAGCACAGGGATTTAGGGGACACAATTGAACCTGTCAGGGCTGGTGTCAGAACTAAACTTAGGACCCCAAATGCTGGGATTTTTAAAGGCATTCTGCATTGCACTTCACTAAGGGACCTGGGGAGCTCGGGTGGGGTCTGTGATGCCCAGGATCCCCCAGGGCCCAGGGCAGTGTCTGGGATGGACATGCTCAGCACACACCACCTTGAACGCCCGGCCCCATGCTCACCTCAGAGGGCGGCGCAGCCTCACCATCGATGGAGGCCCCCTTGGAGGTGGGGGTCAGAGGAGCAGCCCAGCTCCAGGCGGCCTCGCCCTCTGTCCTGGGCGCCCGCCGTGGGCACAGCTGTGGGCACCCATGCAGGCAGGGGTGCAGCCTCAGGTGGTTACATTGAGCACAACTTCTTTGAGTTCTTGTAGAAAGGCTATTTTTTTCTTACTGGAACTGAATTCTGAGAGGAATTTGTAACACACATCATTCTGCAGAGTCTATATAACTTGAAAGTCTTTCCCTGCAGTGTTTGCAGAGGATGGAGGGCAGCTCCGCCAGTGTCTGCCAGTCTTTCAATGACAGCAGAGAGCTCTTGAATTCCAAGCCCCAAGCCCCTTCCAAGCCCCTCCAAGTCTAAACTAACAAGATTTAAACTTTTGGAGGAATTTCTTGATTGCTTTGATTTCCCTTGTATAGTAGAATTCTACTTAAATTTTACTAGGGGAAAAAGTGAGTTATTTTGGCAAAAAACAGTTTGAAGCTTGCTCATCTGCTCGTCATTCTCTCATTCATTCGCTCACATGATGTGCGTGTCACACATTGCCGCCAACCAGGTTTCCCACTGCACCTTGCTGGGCGGTGAGCAGAGGTGCCGGCTCCGAGAACGCATGCGGTTCTTCTCAGGGTCATACCTGTACCTGGCACACGGGACATGCACTGTCCCAGGTAATCCCACCGGTCTCCCGGGGCTGGTGTCACAGCCCAGGAGGTGGCGTATGGGGAGGGAGTGGAGGGGCCTCGGTGTCTCCTCAGGGCTGTTTCCTGCACACACGGGCTCCTGTTCACGGCCTTCCTTCCTGAAGACTTTAAAGAGAATTCCTTCTTCCTGTATGGGGTACAGTGTGGGTTCCGGTCCCAACAGCTCATGTTTCTCCCCTTGCAGATATTTGAGAGCCTATTTTGTACCAGACATTGTCAAGCTTTTTTAAAAAACAATATTTATAGACTCATGTCTAGGTGTATTTTATCTAATTGTTTGAGTTCAGCGGTAGTAAACTATAATTTCCAAAAAAGAGAGTTGACAATATAAAAATCTAGTGTGATTGTGTCACCGTCTGGATGAATCTGAACATGTGCCTGGCAGTGACTTTTTTTGGGGTGGTCAGAACAGAAACTTTTTTTGGGGTGGGGGACAAGGTGTTGCTCTGTCCCCCAGGCTGCAGTGCGGTGGCGCAATCTCAGCTCACTGCAACTTCCGCTTACTGGGTTCAGGTGATCCTCCCACCTCAGCCTTCGGAGTAGGTGGGACCACAGGTCCACGCCTTCACCCCAGGCTAATTTTTGTACCTTTTTTTTTTTTTAAGAGACGGGGTTTCACTATGTTGTCCAGGCTGGTCTCAAATTCCTGGGCTCAAGCAATTAGTCCTCCTTGGCCTTTGAAAGTGCTGGGATTACACGTGTGAGCCCCTGCGCCCAGCAATACATAAACATTTTCACTGATCATTTTCGTCACGGCATTTAGTCGGCATTGTTTCCGCAGCACGTTTATTTGGCAAACATGATTTTTTCTCCCCAAACGTGAATTCTGTGGAAATGACAGTTGCATTTGGAAAATATTCCAGAAAACAGTTTTTTTGTTTGTTTAACTTTTTACTTTAAAAGGTATTCACCAGTTCATTTCCATAAACTGACTACTTAATGATATGGCAAAAAAAAAAACCCCTTCTGAAATAGGTTTTGTTTACGGTCGCTTGGGAGACAGTGAGGACTGGTTTGAAAGTACATAGTTAACAAGGCTCAAACTCTGGAAATTAGCGGTTCTGTCCATTCCAGCTCTCCCCCTGCTTCGATTGTTTCATTTGATTAGGCTTAAATTCAAAACTTTGAATTTAGAGAAGTCTTTGACCCTCTAGGAAGTGGGTGAGGCTTTGGTATCTGGGC
Source organism: Homo sapiens (assembly GCF_000001405.40). Lineage (NCBI taxonomy): Eukaryota > Metazoa > Chordata > Mammalia > Primates > Hominidae > Homo > Homo sapiens. Next base: position 39,528 of record NT_187576.1, read on the forward strand.
AGAGCAGAGTTCACCATCCAGAAGGACAGCAACACACACTCCTATCAGACGTATGTTTTAAAAATAACACATTTCTGAATCCTTTTTCTTGATTCAATTTTAGTATTTGTCATTCTCATACTTGTAAAACTCGTGAGTGTTGGTGGAAGCAGTTCCAGAAAGCTCGTGGGGTCCCCAGGTGTCATGGTCAGCTGGGGGTCTCATCCCCACCGTCCTTGCAGTGGTAGCTGGATCCAGTTCACGCTGTCGTGGGCCTGGGCCCCTCTGTGTATTTGTGGTGACCTAAAAATCTGTTTCCTTCAAAAGGCACTCCTAGAATGTATGACTAGTTTAGGAGATTCAAAGGAAAATGAAACACCTCAAATTTAAAGGTTGTTTTTAGACCGCTAGAGTTCCCCGGGAGGCGACTTCCCCAGGAGGCTCGGCAGAGAGCGCCTGGAGACTGCGTGGAGTGTAAGTGGGTTGTGTGTCTGTGGGTTGCTCCCTAGCAGGGCTCCCCCTCAGCCCCCTCCGGAGCTGCCTGCAGCCGAGCTGGGCCGTCCTGCTTGGGTGCATCTCCCTGGCCCACGGGGGATTGTCTGTGTTGGAGGGGCTTGGTTTGGGCTGACCCAGGCTCTGTCCCGAGGTGCCACCTGCTTCTGTGGATTGCCGGGCATGGCAGCAGGAGGTTTCCTCAGGAACGTGTGCTGGGAAGAAATCCCAGCCCTTGGGAAAGGCTGGCAGGGGCTGGGTTCCTCTCGCTCCTGGGTGTGCCGGGTGGTGTTGTCCCAGCACATGGGTCTCCTCTGGAAAAAGGAGAAGCACCTGTCTGCTCTGATGGTGGCACACAGTCCTAGCACGCCGTCTCTGCAAATGATGCACACGGCAGGCTGCGCCATCAGCCGTAACCCCGGTCCAAGGAGACCTGTGACTCGCCTCCTGCAAAATGTTTCTTATCAAGCACTTACTTGGAACAGTTATTAACCATGCTCTTTAATAATTATGGAGGTTTGTATTTTAAGCTATATATCGGTGTTCATATTTGACACTGATTTTCTAACCATCAGAGATATTTAATTAAAATTGTAAATAAGAGAGGCAAAATGAAAATAAAAGGAGAAGAATTCTAGGGAGAGATGCAAGGTGTCAGAAGTTATTTCTAAAAGTAAAGTGGATGATACTGAATTCTCTTCCAGACCATCAGCCCAGCCGGGTGATGTTCATCTGCTGGGTGCACAGATTTAAAATGTGAAAAGCTCTTTTTTCCCCTTACTTTCTCTTGTTTTCTTTTCTTTTTTTTTTTTTTTGAGACAGAGTTTTGCCCTGTCACCCAGGCTGGAGTGCAATGGTGCAATCTCGGTTCACTGCAACCTCCGCCTCTCGGGTTCAAGCCATTCTCCTGCCCCACCTTCCTGAGAAGCTGGGATTACAGGTGCCCGCCAACACGCCTGGCTAATTTTTTTATTTTTAGTAGAGATGGGGTTTCACCATGTTGGCCAGGCTGGTCTCAAGCTTCTTACCTTGTGATCTGCCCACCTTGGCCTCCCAAAGTGCTGGGATTACAGATGTGAGCTACCACCCCCAGCCTCTTGTTTCTTCTCTGTGAGTTGTAGATCCTATTAAAAGAAAATAAAAACCAGTGACTCAGAATTCTAATGATACTTATTTTGCCCCTTAAAAAGGTTAACTACAAGCGCAGTACAGCACAGAGGAACTTAGTCAGTGTCTCTGGCTAACATAGATCGATCGATCTATCTATCTATCTATCTATCTATCTATCTATCTATCTATCTATCTCTCCTTGATGTGGTTTTGGTTTTTCTTTTTAGAAAATGAAATGAAATATGATACCAATAATAATGAAGAGGAAGAGGGAGAACAGTTCGATTTTGACAGTGGAGATGAAATCCCAGAAGCGGACAGACAGGCCCCATCCGCCCCTGAGACAGGAGGTGCTGGAGCCAGTGAAGCCCCTGCACCCACAGGTGAGTTTCCAGGAGGGTCCCCAGGTGAGTCCCCAGGTGGGTCCCCAGGTGAGTCCCCAGGTGGGTCCCCATGTGAGTCACCAGGTGAGTTCCCAGGTGAGTCCCCAGGTGAGTCCCCAGGTGGGTCCCCAGGTGAGTCCCCTGGGGGGTTCCCAGGTGAGTCCGCAGATCACCGGCATCAGGGTCACCTGTGCTCAGCCATCGGACTCGCCGATTTTCTCCCCATTCTTACGGCCCAATTGGAACATTGTAGGGAAAGGATGATTTCTAGGAGCCAGAGAGTTATGATTTCTTCATGATGTACCTGAAAGGACTTAATTTAAGATTGGCTAAGTTTCTTCTCTTTGTACTATTTTCCATAATTTTCAACCTTTTCACTCTACCTTTGTATTTTGCAAAGAAAAAGTATTGCTATTTCCCAATAAGAATGACCTCATCATTGTATCACTAGATTAAAAGAAATATTCAGAACATGTGGGATGAAGTAGCTGTAGAGGTTTCGCTTTCTAAGTTTGGAGGTGGGTTGGGTGCTTTCATTCGCTGACCAGAGGGACTGCTCAGGTCAGGCAGTGGTGGGAGAGCCTGCACAGTGTTTCTTCCTGTGTAGCACCCGCCTCTCAGCTCGCACGGTGTTTCTTCAGGTGTAGTACCAGCCTCTCAGTTTGGCAGCGTTCCTCTTGGCTCGCACGGTGTTTCTTCAGGTGTAGTACCAGCCTGTCAGTTTGCACAGTGTTTCTCTCTGCTTGCACGGCATTTCTTTGGGTGCAGCACCAGCCTCTCGGTTGTTTGCATGCCGTTTCTTTGTGCATAGCACCCACCTCTTGGCTTGTACCGTGTTTCTTTGTGCGTAGCACCAGCCTCTCGGTTCTTTGCATGGTTTCTTTGTGCGTAGCGCCAGCCTCTCGGTTGTTTGCCCGGTGTTTCTTTGGCCATAGCACCTGCCTCTTGGTTGTTTGCACGGTGTTTCTTTGTGCATAGTACCCGCCTCTCTGCTTGCACGGTGTTTCTTTGTGCGCAGCACGCGCCTCTCTGCTTACACGGTGTTTCTTTGTGCACAGCACCAGCCTCTCGGTTGTTTGCCCGGTGTTTCTTTGGCCATAGCACCTGCCTCTCGGTTGTTTGCCCGGTGTTTCTTTGGCCATAGCACCTGCCTCTTGGTTGTTTGCATGGTGTTTCTTTGTGTGCAGCACGCGCCTCTCTGCTTACACGGTGTTTCTTTGTGCATAGCACCAGCCTCTCGGTTGTTTGCCCGGTGTTTCTTTGGCCATAGCACCTGCCTCTCGGTTGTTTGCACGGTGTTTCTTTGTGCGCAGCACCCGCCTCTCTGCTTACATGGTGTTTCTTTGTGCATAGCACCAGCCTCTCGGTTGTTTGCACAGTGTTTCTTTGGCCATAGCATCAGCCTCTCGGTTGTTTGCATGGCGTTTCTTTGTGCACAGCACCCGCCTCTCAGCTTGCATGGTGTTTCTTTGTGTGTAGCACCAGACTCTTGGTGAGGGGAGCAGCTGCCCTCCTCCGGCAGCTTCTCCCTGACTTAGCTCATGGGATGAGCCTCCTGTAGTGACCAGGCTGCATCCGTCTCACCTGTGCCCAGAGGTGATGCTGGGTTCCCCATGTGTGAGTGCTCCCTCCGAGGCCACCTGATGACCTGGGAACGTCTAGGGGTCCTGGCATGGGATGATGGTGGGAGCTCATACCTGCTTCCCACTTGCGCTCCAGGAGGGCATGCCTGCCATGCCCTTGGTGATGTGTCTGCTGACAAGTCCTTTCTGCATCCCCAGGAGGTGAGGATGGAGCTGGAGCAGAAACCACCCCAGTGGCAGAGCCTACTAAGCTGGTGCTCCCGATGAAAGTCAACCCATATTCTGTCATCGACATCACGCCATTCCAGGAGGACCAGCCGCCCACCCCCGTGCCCAGCGCTGAGGAGGAGAATGTGGGTCTCCATGTGCCCTGCGGGTACTTGGTGCCTGTACCCTGCGGCTATGCGGTGCCCTCCAACCTGCCCCTCCTGCTGCCCGCCTACTCCAGCCCGGTCATCATCTGCGCCACGTCCCTGGACGAAGAAGGTACTGCTACCCTCCTCTCCACGCCCCCGAAGTGGCCTGTGGTTCCCTCCTCTCCACGCCCCCGAAGTGGCCTGTGGTTCCCTCCTCTGCATGCCCCGGATGTGGCCTGTGGTTCCGTAGAGTCCGGGCCTGACCTTCCCCCCTCCTCCTCCTCTCCATGCCCCCGATGTGGCCTGTGGTTCCGTAGAGTCCGGGCCTAACCTTCCCCCCTCCTCCTCCTCTCCATGCCCCCGATGTGGCCTGTGGTTCCGTAGAGTCTGGGCCTGACCTTCCCTCCTCCTCCTCTCCATGCCCCTGATGTGGCCTGTGGTTCCGTAGAGTCCGGGCCTGACCTTCCCCCTGCCCCCACCCAGGTCATTAGATGTTTGTTTACAGAGTTGGAAAATGAGCCCCTAGTTCATCTTCAGTGACAGGAACACCACTGAGGGAAGGCCAGGGTGTATGGTTTGGAAATTTTTGAAACAACGTCTGGTGCCGAATGTGTTGCCCCCTCATGTCTGGGGTGCCTTGAACTTCACCCCGATCTCTGATTCCCCCACCAGCTGCTCACGGGAGTGTGTGCAGTTTTTGGCCTGTATGACTTACTGTGCTAGATGACAGTTACCGTTATGTATGTCCCGTGTCACCTGCTTGTCTATAGACTCAGACTCCCTGGGGTCAAAGCGTGTGTCTCGCTGTCTTCATTCCAGAGGATGGAGGGGTGGTGGGGGTGGGAGAATTGCCTCAGGGGCTCCCTGTTTCCCACTCATGCTTTTCCTCGCCGGGAAGATGCCGCAGGATCTCAGCAGAGTCCTCAGTGGAAGGTCAGAGCCACCTGGGGCAGCACAAAGGGCTCAGAGTCGGCCACTGAGGACGGTGTTCCCTGTAGCCAGGACATGCTCCGAGCGAGGACTGTGGGTGCCCTCGTGGGTGCCTCGCTCACCTCCGGTCTCTGTGTCCTCAGCGCTGACAGCTCCATTTCGAGTCTGCTTCCTCCTCCACTTAGTGAGAAGGAGTGGCCATGTGCTCTAGAAGGGGCTTGGTTGGTGGAGCCCGTTCTCTGCTGTCCTTACATGGCCCTGCCATGTGTAGTCACGCACCAGCTGTGTCTGCAGAGCCACAGGGTTCTGCTGGAAGGACAGCGTGCAGTCCGTGGCTGCTTCGACTGCAGCCCAAGGGCTGGGGCCTCCTGCCGGCCCTGCTGTAGGGCCAGGCGCCAGGGTGAGGGTAAGCACATACCCTGCCTCTGTCTTCAGGAGCGACCCAGTCGAGGCGTCTCAGCCGAAGTTTTCCTTTTTTGCCCAGATCTGTTTCTATGCTGTCTTTCCCAGGAACGCGCTGCAGGATTCCCAGGGTTCATGGGATGTTCCTCTAATGGAAGCCCACAGCCTCTACGCCTGAGACATGATTCTTATTCCTGTAAAGGTTTCAGTGGAAGCAGCCTTCCCTTTCCAGTTAATAACAGTTGAGAAAAAAAAATCCTTAAAGAAAAATCTCAATTTTGGATTTTGGGAAACACAGAGGTTTCAGAATAGACGGCCTCCTGTGCGTTTTCCTGTTGAAGTCGGCCAGAGTCCTCGGAACTCACCACGGTCTGCATGATCCACGCTGCTGTTGTCACTCTGTGACCGCGGAGCATGAGAACCCCCTGGAAATGAGGGCGTGCAGAGTGTAGGATTCTTGGCTGAAGGAAAATACGTTTGTTTTAAAGTGATTTTCTTATTTTAAAATATTATTTGATTATTTAAAATAATTGCATATCATTTAATTTATTTTTAAAATAACTTAGCATGAATTTAAAACAATTTGCTTATTTTTGTTCTGTCAACCTAGAGCCAGTAATAAAGCCTTGTTCTAATAAAGACTATTTTAAGTCCCGGAGTAGAGGAGCAGGTGGTTCTCCGGTTGCGTTTTGATCATTGAATGAGGGATGTGAACGCAGACCTCCTTCCTGGGAGGTGGAAAAGCGTGGATTTGGTGTTAGGCCCGGTCCCCAGCCTGGCCCACACTTCCTGCCTGGTGGCACTGCTGGCTTTTCTGTTCCTTGCTCTGGAGCCTCCCTGGGGCGGGGCGGCCGCCTGGCTCTGCAGGGCTTCCCCGGGACGTACAGCCCAGCCAGGATCCCCAGGCCTGCGGTGGGAGGTTGCAGAGCCCTGCCTGGAGCTCCCAGCTGGCCAAACTGGGATGACCAGATTCCGTTATTTTTCCTGCCTACCGAAACCAGCTCTCAAAGACGTCCACAGGCAGGTCCTGCTCTTGTTTACGCACGGGCTGTTGTGGCCAGAAGCCTCTGGGTGCGCTGCTGCTCGGAGCTGTTTAGGCGACTCCCTGGCCAGCGTGTCTGCCTCCTTCTGACCTTGACAGACTCAGTTTGCACCTTAATTTCCCGGAAGGCGGAGGAAAGAAGAGTTTCCTGGGGTGGAGCCCTGAGAGGGCTCATGTGTGTGCTCTGGGGATGGGAGTCTGTGCTCCTGGACACCCCCGTGGGGGAGACATTTCTCACCGTGCAGCGAGATTGCTGCTGGGCAGCACGTCCTGCCTTTGTCCCTCTGCAAAACACAAGTAAAAGCTTTGTGGCTCTTTGGGTGTTTCTTTTCCTTTTTTTCTTCTTCTTTTTTTTTTTTTTTTTTTTTGAGACAGAGTCTCGCTCTGTCGCTCAGGCTGGAGTACAGTGGCGGGATCTCGGCTCACTGCAAGCTCCGCCTCCCGGGTTCACACCGTTCTCCTGCCTCAGCCTCCCAAGTAGCTGGGACTACAGGCGCCCGCCACCACGCCCGGCTAATTTTTTGTATTTTTTTTTTAGTAGAGACAGGGTTTCACCATGTTGACCAGGATGGACTTGATCTCCTGACCTCGTGATCCGCCCGCCTCAGCCTCCGAAAGTGCTGGGATTACAGGCATGAGCCACCGCGGCCAGCTGGATCTTTGGGTGTTTCTTTGAGGCAGTGTGGCAGTGTGGGAAGGGCAGTTTTTGGAGCAGGCAGATTGGATTTCAGATCCTGGCCCTGTGTCTGCCCTGACACCTGCCACTCAGGAAGGTGGCCCGGAACACTGAACCAGCAGATGCATGTGGGATTTGCAGCGCTACCCGCAGATCCACCCCCCCAGCCCCTCGGGCATCTCGTGTCTGTTGCTAGTCAGCATCCAGCTGTGTGGCAGCTCCTGGTGTGACCAGGGACCTGTTTTCAGGGATGAGACCTCCAAGCAGGTTACATCGAGCTCAGCTGTCTCCGACTTTGAGCCAACTGCTGCGGTTTGAAAACGGTTGAGAACTGTTGCTCATTCCAAAGATAAATTCCCTTTAGAAAGTGTTTCATGGACAGCTGCCAGTGTGGCGATGAGCAGCAGCCGCTGAGTGCTGCTGGCTCTCCTTCCCCACATCATTCTTGGTGCCACGCGGCTGGGCGGTGGCAGATTCGTCAAGGGACCACGTGGCCCGCACCCACGCAGTACAGCCATCACAGACTCTGGCTGGCTTCTGCCCAGGAGCCCTCCGAGGTGGGAGGGTCTGCTTCTTCTGCACTGGCGTCTCAGGCTGTCCTTGGATGGTCTAAGTTCGTACCCCACCTGTGTGGAATGTTTGGGAAACCTGCACTGCGGCTTTGCTCACGGCTCACCGTTCACCCTGGAGAGCCACAGACAGGCAGGGAGGAATCGTCAGGCGGGTCGGACTGCGCGTGTATTTGCGTGTGGAGGGATGTGAGCGTGTGCCAGTGAAAGCTGGTGTCACATGTCACAAGCGTAACCACTCCTCTCTTGAACATCTTTTGAGCGTGCCAGGCGGATGCCCCTTCAGGCCAGTCACAGCCGTGGCTCCTGTGGACACATGGAGTGGGAGAGAACATCCCGTTTCTTTCTAACTCTAGCCTGATGCATCTGGGTGCCGGTCACAGCCGTGGCTCCCATGCACATGTGGAGTGGGAGAGAACATCCCGTTTCTTTCTAACTCTAGCCTGATGCATTTGGGTGCTGGTGCAGTTTATTTCTGGCTGTTTCACAAGCCCTCAGTAGATCACATTTTATTAGATTCCAGTCTTGAATACATTTTATCTAAGAGCTAAAAATTTTTAAGTTTATTAATCACCCTTATGCTAAGATAAGCCTCTGATTGATAGGAAAGTGTGAAACCATTTTTAAGGGTAAAAACATCAACTTCATGAGCATTTTTGTCAGGCGTAAAGCAGCATCACATATTTTCTTTCCCAGCAGAAACACCAGAAGTCACAGAAGATCGCCAGCCCAATTCTCTGAGTTCCGAGGAGCCTCCAACCAGGTATCTGCATCCGTCTTCCCACACCTGCTGAATTCCCGCCTTTCTCCTGAGGAGCTGGACGTGGGGATCCTGGTGTGTGTCCCTGCCCGCCATCCTCAGCTCTGCGCGGCGGGAGCTGTCCCAACCCCACCTCCTGCCTCGGGTCCCTCCCAGGCGAGTGTCCCTGGAAATGTAGGGTCAGGACGAGTGGACTGAGGGTCTGATAACTGGGTCTGATTTCAGGCGTCCAGGTGTGTCCAGGCTTGGCCCTTGTCACGGCCCTGCTGTTGCTTTCCCTCATTTGCTTTTCTCCTTTCTATCATGAAGGCGGCCTTTGCAGGGTAAAGCGTCCCCCGTGAAACCGCCTGCAGGCGGGTGGGGTATCTGGGGAGCAGCAGCCACTAGAGCAGTGCTCTTGCCCCAGTTTAAACAGAGTTGTGCCACCAGGTAGGTCCAGCCACGGTTCTCCATTAGAAATTGCAGATTTTATGTAAAATTAAAAATTAGTGGTAGCGTGTTATCACTGGTGATCTAAAATGTATTGTGAAAAATATGTGCATTGAAAATAGGAATTATTTTGAAGAAAATGTATATAGAATGTAGTGTGAGGAAAACCTTAAATGATCTTCAAAAGGATGAAATTTTTCAAACATAGAAATAGTTATGAATAGTTTAAAATAGTGTTTCTGTTTGATTCAGATTTTCTTTTACCTTTTTAGGTAACTTTTTGTTTTGATATTATTTTAAACTTTAAAAGTGCAAGAATGCTCCTTGGTGATGTGATAAGTTCTCAGAGCAGGGGGCTGCATCCTAATTTCACAGGTGCACAGCACAGCACACAGGGCGACCCCAGCACCCATGAGGCCATCACCAGGACATGGGGCATCCCCCAGCACCCAGGGGGCCGTCACCAGGACACAGGGCATCCCCCAGCACCCATGAGGCCATCACCAGGACACGGGGCATCCCCCAGCACCCAGGGGGTGGTCACCAGGACATGGGGCATCCCCCAGCACCCAGGGGGCCATCACCAGGGCATGGGGCATCCCCCAGCACCCAGGGGGCCATCACCAGGACACGGGGCATCCCCCAGCACCCATGAGGCCGTCACCAGGACACAGGGCGTCCCCCGGCACCCAGGGGGCCGTCATCAGGGCATGGGGCATCCCGCAGCACCCACAGGGCCATCACCAGGACACGGGCTCTCTTCCCTCATCCTCAAGGTCCTGCAGGTACCTTGGGGCCTGTTAGAGCTTTTGCTTGAGAAGTCGTCATCGTGGGGTGCTCTGCACGGATTATCACGTGATTCCGTTAGTGACCCTTCCCATAGGAACATTTTCCGAGGCCTTCCATACACGTCTCTGGGTGCTCACTCTGCTTCCGGTCTTGGCCTTCCCAGCAGTGTCTCTGCGCTGCCACCGGGCTCATCCTTGCACAGCTCCCCACAGGACGCGGTGTCGGGACGACTGATCCCTGGTGCATCTCATTTGTCAGCAGTGGTGCCTCTCATGGGGCGATGCTTGGTGTGTGCAGTGAGTCTGACCTCATCATCCTTCCGAGTGGAGCATTCCCGTAGCTACCCATTGCAAAGGATGACACCGCAGTCCCTGTGTGTGTGGGACTCTGGTGGCCCATGTGACCACCCGCTGGGGGCAGAGCACCATGGTTTATGCTGGGTGGCCTTGCATCTCTTTCTCCCACTGACCTGCTCCTGGACATGGAGACGGCCCATTGCCCGCTGGCATCTCTCCCACCCAGCGTTGTGAGCAGGGCCTAAGAGGTCCTCAAAGGGGTGGCTGAAAAACCAGAAGACAGTTCAGGCCTTCTAGGGCAAGGACCGTATTGCGGCTGTATTGCCCTTGCCCGTGTTCTGTGCCGTGCGTAGGCCAAACATCTGGAATACTTATTTACAGAGTTATGAGTGAAAGCTTGAACTTGGGATGTCCTATAATAATAGCTGGGAAAATATGTGATTTCCTGTATAGTAACATATATATATATATTCTGACACACACACACACACACACACACACACTCTGCAGGGCAGTTGGCATCCTAGTGACTTGGGCTGTGCCTGGATATTCTGACTTTATGGTTTGTTTTCTTTAAGTGAAGATCAAGTCGGTCGAGAGGACAGCGCACTTGCCCGCTGGGCCGCAGACCCGGCCAACACAGCCTGGATGGAGAGTAAGTTCCCCAGCTGCCCACAGCCAGAATCCTCACCACGCTCCACAGACGTCACTGCGGCGGGGCCGGGTCCCTGAGTCTCAGGTCCCATCAGATCTAAAACTCTAAAAAGATGTTTATTTACTGAAAATAGTAACATGGGCTGACTGTGCAGAAGTTTCCCCGGGTTCCCTGAAGCTGTCACTTCCCGTGAGGCCACCCCAGCTCTCCACGTCCACGCACTCACTCTTCCTGGTCGTTTCTTTCTAGCACAGGCTTTATTATTATGGTAACAGTGAGATATGTGGGTAACAGAAACTCTGACCTGCAGCCATGGTCAGCCACCACCCACACGCCCACCCTGCGCTTGCCTGTGATTCCCAGGGAGATGCAGTGTCTGGCACCCGTTTTGAAGAGGGGGCGGGTGGGCCTCCCTTTTTTTTTTTTTTTTGTCCCATACACACTTTATTTTACATAACTTGGTGTTTTCTTTTATCTAATCGTACAAATTTAAATGGGGATTCCCGAATAAATGTTTTGTTAATTTACCTTTGGCAGAAACAACAGATTCCAAAACATTTAGTAGCCTCTTATTTATTTGTAACTTAAAAATAAGTTCTGTAGCGTATTTTTCCAAAACAATAGCCTGAAGCAAATGTGCTTGAAAAGCTAATTGGTAATGATCTGATTAATATCACAGCTTATTTAAGAGAACTATTACTTAAAGGACAGACTAGACATGTATTTTGACAAAAACACAATTTTTGGTCACGTGAATGATTCGTGTTTAGATTTCAAAAACAGGAAACATCCAAAAGTGCATCATTTTATTTATAATCTCACTCCTTGAAATGAGAGCAGTCTGCAACGTAAACAGAGCAAAGAATTCCAAACTCTATTTTTATGTACATTTAAACCTGTAGGATTATGTCCCGTCTCTGTGTGGATTAAAGCGAGCGCATTTCCAACACGCGGCTCCAGCTTCCGTACAATTCAGAGTAAACCTAAAGGCATTCTTTCTCCCTTTAAGTTGGCTGAGCCAGCCCCCCTCCAGGTGGCCAGATCTGCAGTCCCACCTGCGGCTTCAAAGGCTGAAAGATTTTTAGCTAGATTTACTTGTTTTTTTTAATTTTTAAAGGAAAAGCAAGATTACTTTCCTGATTATGCCTCTCATTATCCACTGGCTCACTAATTTCTATGTTACTGTTTCATATGATCAACTTACAAGGTAGAACCATCTTAGTTACCTCCTGATTATTAAACTGCCTCCTGGAAGTTTTCATTCTGGTTTCAATTATGACGTTGTTAAAACAAAGATCTTAGTGTAATTAGATGATTCCGCTGTGTGCCTATTAAAGCAGGATCGTTACAGGATTAAATTATTGTCTTGGCTGTTTGCTAACAGTTTTATTTCCGAGGTAAAATTTGTCTGATTTTTTTCTCATTACTCATTTTTATTACCCAGATGGCAGTGAATTGGAATAACTATATTTGGAAATATGATCTCTAAACTAGCAGTCTCTGAACATTATCTAAGAGGAGTAGAAATCTTTACTGTGGTTGCAGATAGTAAATGCTATTAAAAGAAAGAGCGTCTGTAATACTGGAGCTTGACAACAGCAGCAGATAAGGAATTTTCCTGAATTTTTATTTCCTGCTAGTGTGGGGACAGGAGTGGTGGCTGGATGTCAGGGGAGAGTTCGGGTTTGTTGGTCTCATTTTCTGTCTTATGTGGCTGAGGAAGCGGTTGTCTGTATGTTTTTGATGCAGTCATATGTCATAGTTTGGACGTTCTCTTGCAGGGAGGGCACCGCTAGTCAATGAGTGGAACCTCGATTTAAAGGTCTTTTTATGAAACGGATTTTCATGTGAAGCGTGTAACTCTTACAGATATTTGAGTAAACCTCAGGCTCATTGTTGGTGTCCTGTGTGGTCATCTCATACAGCACGGTTTTGCTTACAGAACTTGCCTTCTTTTTTATGAAACGGTTTCACTTTCACAGAACCCCAGTGTTGCACGTGATACAGATTGAGAAACACTGTCCTATATGTTTAGCATTTTGATACTTGCTACTACTTTTTACTTTCAGTGGCACAAAATTATGGTGTCATTGGTTTATTGGGATGGTTTTCCATTGTATCCAGCACTGATGGGCTCTTTTCTTATTTCTGGAAGTCTGTGTGCCACCGTTGTATTTTTTTGTGCGTCAGAACGTCAACTTCATAAGCTTAAAATACTCGTCAGAGAGCCATATAGAAGTGTGTAATTGAACACAAAATCATAGAATAAGTTTGACCTGGAAACCATAAAACTCCTTCCTAGTGACATTTTACAGCTGGTCCATTTAAAGAGACATCCTTCATTCCCAATAAATTATTCTGCCCTAAAAATAATGCTTATGCTTTGGTAAGGTGCTGTTAGCTACCTTACAGCCCTCATTGTCTACTAGTTGGGACAAAGAACGAAAAAGTAAAAAATAAAAAAAAAACTACCCTTATAAACCAACTTTTTGAATAATCATGACATCATCGGCGACTGTGGCCCTGTAAAATTTAAATTGCACTAGGTTTTGTTGGTCACTGTTTAAAGTGTTTCTCCCCGTTTATTGCAGATCCAGAGGAAGCAATTTACGATGACGTTCCAAGGGAAAACTCAGACTCTGAACCAGGTTTGATTTTGTCTGGAATTGATTTGAGGAGATTCAGCTCAGCAGCCTTTCCCTCTGGATGCCAAAGTGACTATTTAGTGGACGGCCCAGACGTTTTCTGTATTCATGTTTTGTATGTTGCTTCTAGAATGGCTTATTGATGTGTGGTGGAATATTGGTGTTTGTGCACATATGTGTGTGTGCTTATAACCCTTGAAATAGGGCAGTTTAATCTTACTTATCCCAAGCAAACAGAGGAGTAAAGGTACAGAAAATGCCGGCAAAGAGGTAGGAAACACAGAGGCTGAGAAGCAGCAATGTATATCGAATAAATGACATCAGTGAGAAAGTAGAGAGAATCAGGCAAAGGTAATAGTCAAAGAAATAACTAAGAATTCTCTACAATTAAAGAAAAACATAAATTCTCAGATTTTAGACATAGAGATTCAAAGCAAGATGAATTACACGTTGATCCATACCTAGGCCGATGCAATGGAGGCCGCGGAGCACCAGGCCCAGGGTGAATCTCCCGAGAGCAACTGGAGAGAAAACATGGCTGCCTACACAGGAACCGCTATTCCACTGACCCACAGGCTGGGGGCGGGTTCTCAAAGCGAAGAAGGACGTGGCTCTTTTAACCTGAGCGGCCACGTCCAGCAAAGTACAGTCCTTTAGAAAGGGCGATGGGCCGCAGGAGGCAGAGCGGGGGAGCTTGCTGCCCATAGAATCTAAGGAAATAGTTAATGATGCACTCGCTGCAGGGAAGAGCACACTGAACCACGGAGGAGGTGACAGGGGCCCGGAGGGAGTGGGGAGCCCGGGAAGTGTCGGGCGTGTGGAGAGTCGATACCAGCACCGCTCAAGACAGCGCTGATAGTGCCGATTGAGTTTCAGATGCAGCCGGAGCCCCAGCCAGTGCCGACTGAAGAGGAGGGTGACCGTTCATGCCGTGTGTTCTGAAGTTCTGAAGTCGGCATTTTTCAGGGGGAGGATCTTGTTACCGATTTTTTTTTTTTTTTTTTTTTTTTTTGCTATGGATTGGTCCAGTTTGCGTTTTATGGGTAACTGCTAAGAAAATAGGAATAGATTATTTTAACTTTGAAACCAGTAGTGCAAAACCCAATCTGGTAAATGCAAGAAAATATAAAATAAGAAAGCTTTGCAAATCATATGAGAAAAGACTGCAAAATAAGTACAAACATATTGGTACGCATAGTAAAGTGCATCCTATTGCCAGTAAAAGAAATCCTCAGATTGGATAAAATAGCAAAGCTAGCCATAAATTCTTGTGAGAGATACATAAGAGTACAGAAGATTTGTAAGTAAATGGATGGAAAAAGAAATATAATGCAAATTCTAACCAAAGTATTGTCAGTATAACTATAATAATACACTAAATGTTAAGCCATAAGCAAGGAATAATTCATGAGGAAGATATATAACAGTTCTAAACTCATATGCACCTAACAGCATAGCCTTAAGATATATAAGCAAAATATAACAAGGCTTAATCAGAAATATGTAAATACGCTGTTGGGGTGAGAGATTTTAAGAAAACTGTCTCTGCTATTGACAGATCCTGGACATAAAATCAGTAAACCGGCCAGGCACGGTCGCTCACGCCTGTCATCCCAACACTTTGGGAGGCCAAGGTGGATGGATCACTTGAGGTCGGGAGTTCAAGACCAGCCGGGCCAACATGGTGAAACCCCATCTCTACTAAAAATACAAAAATTAGACAGGCGTGGTGGCGGGCGCCTGTAATTCCAGCTACTTGGGAGGCTGAGGCAGGAGAATCACTTGAACCCAGGAAGCGGAGGCTGCAGTGAGTCGAGATTGTGCCACTGCTCTCCAGCCTGGGAAATGAGTGAAAACTCTGTGTCAAAAAAAAAAAAAAAAAAAAAATCAGTAAACCATAAAAGATTAGAACAGCAATGTAGTATGATTGACTTGAAGGTCATATACAGATCTTTGAAGCAAGTAGTTCCAGAATATGTATTTTTTTAAACACATGAAATATTTTAAAAAATTAACTATATAGTATGCCTCAAAACAAATATTAACAAATGCCAAAGAATGGATGTTCAGACCTTATTTCCTCATAATAACTGAATAAAATCAGTAAAAAAAAATCAATACAAACATTTAGAAATTAAAAATGATATACTACTCTGTAACTCATGGTCAAAGATAAAATGGAAATGAAAATATTTTGTCTTGAATAATAATAAAAACATTACATAAACTATATGGGATAGATTTTAAAGTCTAAGGAATTATAGACATAATGGCATATGTTAATAAAACAGAATGGGCGCGGTGGCTCACACCTGTAATCCCAGCACTTTGGGAGGCCGAGCCGGGTGGATCATGAGGTCAGGAGTTCAAGACCAGCCTGGCCAAGATGGTGAAACCCCATCTCTACTAAAAGTACAAAAATTAGCCGGGCATGATGGTAGGCACCTGTAATTCCAGCTACTCGGGTGGCTGAGACAGAGAATTACTTGAACCCGGGAGGTGGAGGTTGCGGTGAGCCGAGGTTGCACCACTACACTCCAGCCTGGGCAACAGAGCGAGACTCCCTCTGAAAAAACAAAACAAAACAAACAACAGAGAGCAGTGAACTGAGTATCCAGCCAGCTGCACGAAAGAGCAGCAGAGTCAAAGGAAGTGGCAGGAAAAAAATAATGGGCAAGGCAAAAATGATGAAATAAAAATCCAGGAAGCAACATAAAGTATTAACAAAACCAAAGGTTGGTTCTTTAAAAATAGTACAAAAATAGACAAGCCTCTGGTTATATTAAGATGACACAGAGAAAGAGGGGAGAGGGATGGAAGAAGGAAGGAAGGAAAGGAAGGAAGGAAAAAGTTGATCAAGAGGATGTAACTGCAGTAGAAATTTGTAAAAATCATAAGAGGATGCTATAAATAACTTTTTATCAAAAAGTTAGATGAAATTAAAAATTGCCTTGAAGAATCAACTATACCCAAAATAAAAACCATGAATAAACCTATAATGATCCAACATAATGAATGGTTTGCTTAACTACTGTGCAGAACAGCCCACCAGGCTCAGATGTTTTTATGCTGGGGTTTATTGAGCCTTCAGGGAGCGGACAAACCCCTCAGTCGCATGCACTGTTCCAGTGAATAGCAGAAGCAAGGATGAGGTGAGAATTAGTTTATAATGTTAGCAGAAACTTGTAAACTCCCTCACCTGCGAAGGTTGATGCTACATTTCCTTCCAGAAATGTCAGGAAGTTGAATCCAGCATGACCCTAACAAGTAAGCAAGAGCCTGTTTTAACCTTTTACATTCATGGCAGCAGTTCAAGGATCCTTTGAGAAGCTCTTGTAACACGATTTCCCCAAATTGATGGACATAAACCCATATGCTTATCTCAGCATGTGTTTAAAAAGCACTTGCTGAGATTCAGTGACCATCCAACATTAAAAACTGCTGATAGAAGGAAACTCACTTAGCTGAATTAAGGACGTGTTCTTAAAATCTACCGCCAACGTAATGGGGAGGAGCTCACGGCGTTCGTTAATTTATTCATTCCGCAAATATGTTTTGGGCAGTTACATACCGAATAGTAGATGGAGGTGTGCCTGCTGTCATGGAGATAGGGTGATTTCATCCTGTTGATCAGGAAAACTCCTAGGTGCTTGCAGGTAAATGTGCCACAAAGAAAGTGAGGACCAAAGGTTAGTTGATGTAAAAACAAGTTTGAAATGCATTTTGGGGTAATTTATCCGGTCGCTTCGGGCATTCCTCGCGGAAGGCGTGGTCTGGTGACTCAGAAGCCAACACACTGCGGGAGTCCAGCCGTCGGCCCCCTGCCGTGTGGCGAGGCCCAGTGTGTCCCCTTTGTAAGGACAGCACAAGCAGGAGTTAATGGACCGGCCATCCATAGCGGTGGTGGGGCAGGGAGCCAGTTTCCGAAAGAAACTCACGCCGCCGCAGGAGGGCCCTGTGGGATGCTCTGTGCAGAGCTGTTGTGCGGACCGGGAGACGGGAAAGCCTGGTGGCTGCAGGAGGGCACCGTGCAGAAGTATCCAGTAAACCACCCACAGCACGGCAGCAGAAAAACGAGGAAATTATATGTGTGTATGTTTATAAGAACTCAGAAGCAATGGTGAGCAAAAAGCAAAAGCAAGAGGAGAAAGTCACAGTGTGCTGGCATCAAGTTGCATTGAGAGGAGCCCGCGGGGTAGTGCACCCGCATTTCCTCGTTGCGTTGAGAGGCGCCCGCGGGGTAGTGCACCCGCATTTCCTCGTTTGAGAGGCGCCCGCGGGGTAGTGCACCCGCATTTCCTAGTTGCCTTGAGAGGTGCCGCGGGGTAGTGCACCCGCATTTCCTAGTTGCCTTGAGAGGTGCCCGCGGGGTAGTGCACCCGCATTTCCTAGTTGCCTTGAGAGGTGCCGCGGGGTAGTGCACCCGCATTTCCTCGTTTCATTGAGCGGTGCCCGCGGGGTAGTGCACTCGCATTTCCTAGTTGCCTTGAGAGGTGCCGCGGGGTAGTGCACCCACATTTCTTCACTCGTTTAGAGTTCGGGGCTCTCAGAACACAGGGAGAATATGGGAGAATTCCTTACTAGATGTTACAGAGGCCACACAGGGCCACTTTTTTCTTTTTTTTTTATTGTGTCAGGTATACGTAAATATTCCTTTCGGTCAGTTCAGCACGTAGGACTGAGTGGCATTAGGTACGCTCACTGTACAGCCAATGCCTCCATAGGCCACTTTTTAAATACGCGGGGCTAAGGGCCAACGACAAGATTGTCATCGAGGACAATAAGTCGATGGCGCTGCCTGGTCACTGGCTTGGTCAGAAAACACATGCCAGGGTGACTGGATTTAACGTTCAATTTTAGAACCACAAATCTGCCAGCCCAGGCATTCAAGAGGAAGTGAGTAATTCACTGAATTGATGGTTAGCAAGACCCTTCAAAGTCCTTGGAAGTTCCGTGTTTGCTGGGGGTCACAACAGCAATTGCGTTTCTAAAACATTGAAAACCACCCGTTTTTCACACATCTGAATAGCCTGAGTTCTAACAGACCTAAGTAAAGGCGTCCAAACGTGCCTGATCCTGTGGCTGGGTCCCAGGAGCCTTAACAAGGCATTGAGAGAGCTGGATTGATTGATTAGACTCTTGCCAACTGCTGTGCGGAATACAGAAAATGCAGCTCCAGCTCTCAAAGGGCTGAAAATCTAATTGAGGTGAAAAAGGTAACATGTGTGAAAACCATGTCTGTGTAGACTTGTTTTGTATGGACCAGAAAAGTTGGAAGTCCAGAGATGGATGCGAGGAAATAGGGGATGGAGTTTCCTTATAACCTCTGGAGGGACAGTCCAGATACATACCGGGGTGTGTAGCGGGTGGAGGTTCTAAGACAGGCTGGAGGAACAGTGCAGACACACACCAGGGTGTGTAGGGGGTAGAGGTTCTAAGACAGTCTGGAGGGAGAGTGCAGACACACACCGGGGTGTGTAAGCAGTGGAGGTTCTAAGACAGGCTGGAGGAACAGTGGAGACACACACCAGGGCGTGTAGGGGGTAGAGGTTCTAAGACAGGCTGGAGGAACAGTGGAGACACACACCACGGCGTGTAGGGGGTAGAGGTTCTAAGACAGTCTGGTGGGAGAGTGCAGACACACCCGGGGCCGTGTAGGGGGTACAGGTTCTAAGACAGTCTGGTGGGAGAGTGCAGACACACACGGGGCTGTGTCGGGGATAGAGGTTCTAAGACAGTCTGGTGGGAGAGTGCAGACACACACCAGGGCGTGTAGGGGGTAGAGGTTCTAAGACAGGCTGGAGGAACAGTGGAGACACACACCACGGCGTGTAGGGGGTAGAGGTTCTAAGACAGTCTGGTGGGAGAGTGCAGACACACCCGGGGCCGTGTAGGGGGTACAGGTTCTAAGACAGTCTGGTGGGAGAGTGCAGACACACACGGGGCTGTGTCGGGGATAGAGGTTCTAAGACAGTCTGGTGGGAGAGTGCAGACACACACCAGGGCGTGTAGGGGGTGGAGGTTCTAAGACAGGCTGGAGGAACAGTGGAGACACACACTGGGGAGCGTAGGGGTGCTTTTCTCTGAGTCCCCTAGTACATGGTAGAGGCTGTAGACCCTCCGCTCTTGGGCACGTGGGTAGGCTCTCAGGATGACTCTTGGCTCTTGGGCATGTGGGTGAGCTCTCAGGATGATGCCCAGCCCCAAATTTCAGGCAATTGTGCAAGGACTTGACCCATTCATCCGCTGAGCTGAGTTGCTGAGACTGCTGGGTGCCCGGGTGGTGATCATTGTCCGTGGCACACAGAACACACTGCAGCTTCTGCAAAGTGAGCTCATTTCACGCATTTTATGGCTTTGCCAGGCTGCTGTTGACCTGCCAGAACTTTTAATCAGACATTTGGAGGACCTGTTTTGTAGTCAGTGGAGAAATATTACAAGGATAGGGTAATTTGAAATATCTAAGGATTGTAAGTGACAAGTTCATGTCTAATTTTGCATTTCCAGTGAAAGCAAGTGTTGGCTTTGAATGTTACTTATGTGCTGAGATGTGTATATTCCTCAGTGCTTAATTACTAAGGATTTTTAAGGCCAAGTTTTGTTACAGTGAATGACTGTGGATGCATAAAGAATAAATTTAATATTTTTAAGGCATGGAGATTATTTGTATCTAAGAAACCAGGTAAAATAAAGAAACATTTATGCTTGTGTGACTGATAAAAGAGTTAGAGAGACACTCATATTCTGGGAGTTTGAAGAATGTCATTTTCATTCTCTAAAAGTCTTGTTAGTGTCACAGCATTGAAAATTTAAAAATCCGTGTGTATTTTCTTGCTAGTGCTGGTACTTGAATATCTGTATCATCCACCTATCCATCCACCTACCCATATTTCTATAATCCACCGTCCATCGACATGCCTATCATCTGTCCACCATTTCTCTCTGTCTAATTTTCAAAACATCCTGTAAGTTTATATAAAGGAAGATTTTTCTTCTTGTGAAGTTCTCTAAGGCTGACAAGTTACCTGGCATGACTGTGGCGGATGCCCATAGCCAGGTGGTCCTCGGGGTACAGATGGGGCAGGGGCACTTGTGAGAAACACCTGAAGTGCTTTTCCCCAGCCTCCCCGGCCCTGCCCGGGTGGTGGAGGCGCTGCACGGTGCCTTCCATGGAGCAAGCCCGGGGCTCCGCAGGGTCCTCAGCATGATTCAGATTTCCTTCCACCCCCAGCTCTAGATGATTTGGTAAAACCACAAACAGGCACAAAACAGCCCACATGGAATTCTAAAGTTTTAATTTCATTTTGGAATTTATGCACTCAGATGAAATGATTTATGATGATGTTGAGAATGGGGATGAAGGTGGAAACAGCTCCTTGGAATACGGATGGAGTTCGAGTGAATTTGAAAGTTACGAAGAGCAGAGTGACTCGGAGTGCAAGAATGGGATTCCCAGGTCCTTCCTGCGCAGCAACCACAAAAAGCAAGTACGTGTTCCCTGCACATGTGAGGGATGGTTCTCTCGCGTTAACACGGACAGGGGGCTGTGAATATGATTGTGATCCACCTAGTACTTCATAGTGATTTGTTAAGATGCTGATAAGTAGTTTGGGGAAAGCATAAGATATTGGCAAAGGAGAAGACGTGTCTTGTTTCATATAGTTAAGTATCGTCATGGAAAGATGGAGAAATTAAGCTTCTATAATCCACTTAAAAGGTCTTAAATGAGCTCACCACCTTGAATAAGAAAGTAGTTATTCTCTGAATTGCTTGTGTTTTAATGTATTATGTGCTTTGCACGTAGCACCGTTTGCGGAACACTGAATAGATGGGATCGGGGTTCCCTAAGACACAGCACATCTGCACTTTGCTTTAAGTGAGGTTTCAACTTTAGCATGTTCAGCATGAAAAGGAAGACGTAAAAATAGAAGATGTTAAGGGACAAAAGCTTCTAAACTGACCTGTGACAATCCTTTCTTTTTTCTTTTTCTTTTTTTTGAGATGGAGTCTCGTTCTGTCTCCCAGGCTGGAGTGCAATGGCGCAATCTCAGCTCACTGCAATCTCTGCCTCCCAGGTTTAAGCCATTCTCTTGCCTCAGCCTCCCAAGTAGCTGGGATTACAGGTGCCTGCCATGACTCCTAGCTAATTTTCGTATTTTTATTAGAGATGGGGTTTCCCTATGTTGGCCAGGCTAGTCTCGAATCCCTGACCTCAGGTGATCTGCCCACCTCGGCCTCCCAAAGTGCTGGGATTGCAGGTGTGAACCACCACACCCAGCCGGATGATCCTTTCTTACAGGGAATTTTTATTTTACTTTTTTTGTGGAAAAGTCTTGAGATTAGGGTGTGAGGTGGGATGTCAGAGCTGTAAGGCGTGAATTCTGGAATTGGGTGGTTGTGAGTCATGGAACCCAGGAACCATTCAGCTGAGGCACCTCCCAGGTCTCGGTGGTGCCAGGCCGTGCCACCGGTGTTTTGTTAGAGTTTTTTTTGACTGTTTGTAAAAGGATAGATTTGTGCTCATCTACAGTGATGTCTGTGTACTTTCTGTGTGAGGCTGAGATGGAAGCCACACGCAGTCCTTGTCTGAGGCTGGCGAGTCCCGTGTTACTGATAGAGATGGTGAACGGATGCCCGCCATAGTGACAGTTGTCGATAACCGGTGTTATCCCTCCGGTCCCCTAGTAACCCCCAGTAAGCGGAGATTTCATTCCTGGACCTAGCTGCCACGTCCCTATGGTTTACAAGTGATTATGGGCTGCCTACAATTCTCATATTCTGTGAACCTGGCTCGTGAAACTCAAGGAGAATCTACTAGATCTTGGCAGTCAGCTCACCTACCCAGTTTCATTCACAAGTTCTTCCAGGAATTAGATCTTTTCTGCCACCGTCATCATTACAACTGCGATTTAAACAACCGATGAAGCTGCAATTGTAGTTTTTCGGGTTTTTTTTTTCTTTGAAATGGAGTCTTGCCTGTCGCTCAGGCTGAAGTACAATGGCGTGATCTCGGCTCACTGCAACCTCCACTTCCCAGATTCAAGTAATTCTCCTGCCTCAGCCTCTCAAGTAGCTGGGATTATAGGCACCTTCCACTACCAGCTAATTTTTGTATTTTTAGTAGAGACGGGGTTTCACCATATTGGCCAGGCTGGTCTCGAACTCCTGACCTCGTGATCTGCCTGCCTCAGCCCTCCAAAGTGCTGGGATTACAGGCATGAGCCACTGCACCCGGCCTGCAATTGTAGTTTTTAACAGCTGATAACTGAGGTGATATTTCGCTTGCTGTAGCTGAGTCAGACACTTGATTTAAACTGAGATTTAAGAAGAGTGCTGGGCTCTGACATCACAGATGGAGGCTCGGTGTGTGCCTCGGAGCGTGGGTTAAATGCTCTTCAGTTTCGCCTTCATGGTGGGCTGTGGACAGAGGGGCCAGGCCACTGAGGAGCCGAGAGGCATTAGTAGTCACTCCTTGGTAGTAATTCAGGAGACCCTGCCCTTGCTTTGGAGCGGGCCCGTATCCCAGAGGAGCCCTTGACTGTCTGGGCAGTGCCAGTGGTTCAGCAGCCCTCCCTGCTGGGCGAAGGAGCTGGGGAAAGCCAGCACACAGTGGGTTTGTGGTGCAGAATTACAACCCGGGAGCGCTGGGCTCTGCATTTCCAGCCTCTCCTACACGTCCATGTTGCCAGGACAGTGGCCTGGACCGGGGGTGGGAATACTGTGTGGGGTGCAGACAGGGCGCCCGTGTGTTAGGCCTGTCCAGGATGGAAGTGCTGCAGGCAGCACCAAGTTTTCTCGTTCAAAGGGTCACATTTTAAAAACGACCAAAATAAAACTATATGTTGTTCAAAAGTCATCTCAAAAAATCTCGAATTTTGTTAAAAACTTCCTAAAGTGTCTGTGACATGAGAAATGCCCCGAGACGAGCCAGTGGGGCCTCAGCCACGTGCATCTGAAGTGTCTGTGACCACACGGAGAAGGATCCAGGGGGTCCCCAGTCCCGTCAGTTAGAGAGAAAGTGATCTCAGGTTGGAGACCCTTGAAAATCCGTGCTGCCATCCCCAAAATATGTCACTTTCAGTATAGTTTAAATACAAGTATCTTTTGCTTGGATGCCAACATAAAAAATGATTTTATGTATTTTTATTTATTGGATAATTTTTATTCCACCAAAATGTAAACGAATGATTTCACAGATATTTTGTGTGCGTGCATTTGCTCCTGTCTAGCACAGAGAAGACCCTAGCCTGGTGTCTGGATAGTGTCTGTCTTTTGATGCCATGTTTAGCTCATTTCTGCATTTATCTCTCTTTTTTTTTTTTGGAGACAGGGTCTTACTCTGTCTGCCAGGCTGGAGGGCAGTGGCACCATCACGGCTCACTGCAGCCTCCACTTCCCAGGCTCAAGCAATTCGCCCACCTCAGCCTCCTAAGTAGCTAGGATCACAGGCGCGCACCACCCTACCTGGCTAATTTTTGTAATTTTAATAGAGACAGGGTTTCACCACGTTGCCCAGGCTGGTCTTGAACTCCTGAGCTCAATTGATCCTCCCACCTCCGCCTCCTAAAGTGCTGGGATTACAGGGGTGAGCCACTGCGCCCAGCCAACTATTTGTGCATTTATCTCTCAAGGACCAACTGGGCTAGTAATGGGGACTCTCGCGTGTGGTCCCAGAAGCCCCCAGCCAGGACAGGCCTGATGTGCCACTGCAGACGCTGCCAGCATCCTCTCAATGTAAAATTGTCCCAAAGAACCAAAAAGAGCCTTTTTGTGAAAAGACTGTGTCTCTTTATGCTGTAGCTTTCTCATGACCTAACCCGTTTAAAGGAGCACTATGAGAAAAAGATGAGAGATTTGATGGCAAGCACGGTGGGCGTGGTGGAGATTCAGCAGCTCAGGCAGAAGCATGAACTGAAGGTAGAGTCTTGCCCCCGGCCGCTGCCCCCACTTGCCAGCCGGGCAGTAAAGAAAAACCGCGCGGCTCGGTCGGTCCTTGCTGTCTCAACAGCGGTTCTCAAAGGGTGGTCCGGGGCTCCTGGAATCCCCCGACGCTTTGGGGCTCACGTGGACTCTGAGACGCTCTGTGCCTTTCACTGTCTCCCTCTTACGGGGAACCCAGGAACATTCTGGAGGCTCCACAGCTGTGGCCTCACCGCTGGCGGAATGCCATCTGGCTGTCTACTAGAGAGGGGTTTCCAGAAACGCACAATGCCACTTTCTGTTTGTTTTGGAAAATACAGCAATTTTTCATCAATGTTATTTAAGATAACATGTAATAGGTTGATTATTTTTTAAATGAACATTTATAAAAATATCCAAAATTTTTCAGCGTTTTAACTTCAAATGCAGTAAATATTGATACATAAAACCCTGGTAAACAAAAGCCATTTGGGCTCTCCATAATTTTTAAGAGCGTCCAGGGCCCCTGAGACCGGAATGCTTGAGAACTGCCGGACCTGAGTGTCGTGACAGTCTGTTCTGAGCGATGTCTTTTAAAAGGGCACTGTCAAGTACTGTTTCCTGCAATTGGACCTTTTATCCTGCTGGTATTTTGTGATCATTCATATGTGTTGAATGGCACTCACTGGAAAGGGATGTGCACTCCACACAGCTTCTGGAGCAGCCGGCTCATCCGCCCTGTTGTGCTTGGGCCATCAGAAGCCACAGCCACAGCCGCCCCCTGGGAGCCGCGTTACCCCCTCACATGCAGCATCTGGCTGGCTCCCCTGCAGGGTGTCTGATGGGACCTGCCGGAGGCTGCAGGCAGTGTGGCGGGGTTTCTGAGGAGTGGAGGGCGCCATCAGAACCATGGGAGGGGTGTGTGAGCTACATTTGGAGGTTTTCACAGACACGGGGAGTGCCCTGGCTGAAGCAGGTGAGGGCACTGTGGGAAGTGGGAAAGGAAGGCTGGGGAGGCAGCCAGGGCTGGGCCCAGCACGCTCGCTTCCCCTGGTGAGAACACCCCTGTGTCAGCCCTGAGATCCGGGAGTCCTGGCCGAGGCTGTGACCTGGAACCCGGGGTCTCACCTGCTCTGGGGCTCAGGGAGCATGGCGGCCCTCCAGTTTGTCAGTTTGCAGTTCTCTGATACTCTGTCCGGGGACCCTGAACGGCGCTGGCTGAAAACCAAGGGTTCACAGCCCAAATCTGGGGTTGAGAAAGAGCAGGATGTAGACAGGCTGTGCAGGACGGAAACGCGCAGGCGGGCAGGGCTGTCTGCGGCATCGGGCGGGAGGCAGGGGACATGGGTGCAGGGGCCAAGGAAATGGCAGCAGGACATGGTCCCATGTGGGGTTGGGAGATGCAGGAGCAGGGGAGCCCCCGGGGGATGGGGGACAGCATTGCAAGTGATGGAGATGGGCTGGGGCAGGCGACGCGGGTGTGAGGCCGTGCGTGTTGTGTGGTGTTCATGGTGAACGCTTCAGGAAGGCAGCCCTCAGGCGTTTGGAAGTCCAGGGCAGGCAGACACGGCCAGGGCTACAGCGACGCTGTCTGCACGCTGGTGCCCAGCAGCCCTGCTCCTCACGCGGTGGTGTGACCCAGATGAGGAGAGCCTGGTTCTCAGCTGCACTGCTGGTCCCTTTGAGAGGTCCCTGGGATGGGGACATCGGTTGTCCCATAAGAGATCATCTTTTAAAGACGAAATCACTCAGCGTCCAGTGGCCAGTACCTCAGATGTTGGGTTTTTAAGGAATAAGAAATCAGATGGCAGGAGACGCCTCAGACGCCCCTGAGTCTAGGCAGCCGTGAGTGTCCAGCACAGCTCTGGCCGAGGAAGTGGAGGCAGGGAGCCCCAGGCCAGGGGGACATGGCTTCCGAGTCTGACATCCGCAGCGTGCTGCACCCCGACCCTCCCTCAGGTGTGTCCCGTGCGTGTCTGCAGCATTTGCCAGGGTCTTGCATTCAGCCCCGTGGCTGGAGCTGGGTCCGTGTAACCATGCGTGTGAGGCGGCCCTGTCAACAGCTGGCCATGCCCCCACATGGGGTGCAGTGGGAAGCCCCGGGGAGGTTAAAAGGCTGAACTGGAGCTGTGAGCGTCTGCAGTTAGTTGTTTTGCCATTTAATTCGAGGCGAGTTGTTTGACATTTGTGCATGTTAGTGACTCACCTGTGACCCCCACGTAGCTCTTTGTGTGAGTGGATCACATATAATACCATAAATGGGGCAGGGAACATGTTTCACCATGTCCAGGAAGGGCTGTATTTTTAAGGTCTGTTTTTTCCTTTTTTCCAACAAACAAAACCAAAACAAAACCTAGCCCAGAACTGCACGTGACACATGCGCTCACAAGAACCAGACTACTTGACAGTATTCTTTTAAAACAGGCAAATGAAAGTCGCAGGTGGGTTCTGCCGCCGTCCCGTTCTCACATCTCCCTCTCCGTCGCAGATGCAGAAGCTCGTGAAGGCCGCGAAGGACGGCACCAAGGACGGGCTGGAGAGGACCAGGGCAGCCGTGAAGAGGGGCCGCTCCTTCATCAGGACCAAGTCTCTCATCGCACAGGGTCCGTGCCTGCAGGTCTTCTTGCGGGGAGGACACGGGGTTGGGGGGGGCGGCCACATCTTGTGGGGAGGACTCGGGGTGGGGGGCGGCCGCGCAGGCTCCCACAGCCTTAGGGAGCACCAGCCTGCTCAGTGCTTGGGTCTGAATCAGCCCTGCTGACCCCAGCCTCCCCGTCCTGCAGGGGTGGCGTTTTAGACCGAGGGCACCCAGCAGCAGAGAATCATTGAGAATCATTGAGAATCACTGGCTGGACATAGGAAGGGCTGTGCAGGGGCCTCTGTCACTGTGGATTCTTAGTATTGGACTCTGTATTTATAGCACATTGGCCCTCCTGGGCATGGTCCCGCAGGGACTGAGGTCGTGAGCGTCCTGAACTGGCATTTCAGGAATCTTTTCCTTGGTGAGGGGAGATTTGGAGTAGACAGCTGAAGTTCCAGGTTTTTCTAAACATCTAACGAAGGCGCAGTGGTCTGTGCAGTTATGTGTGGAAAAGGCAGGTGGTGTGGAGGTGTCGTGCACGGCGGCAACAAGCAGCAGGCTGGGGTCATTTACCGTCCGAGGAGACTTCTCGGAGCCTTTGTGCACGGATGTCCTAAGGTCGAGTTACGGGAGGGTGACTGAGACTTCACTGTCATACAGGGGTCGCTGTGACTCTGACCTGGCATTTCCTGGTTGTTTCTCCAGCTTTCTAATGTGCCTGTCTGGTGCTAGGACGTGGGTAGCATTTGCTAATATCTGTACTTGGAAGGGACTTTGCAGTCACGTTGTCCCTCAAGGAACGGCCTCGGATACGATGTGTAATTGGTATGACATGGTGTAACTCAGGAGGCCTTTTCCTCTTTCAGTCCTAATGAAGCCCTCGGCATCTCAGACAAGGTGGGGGTAAGCTGTCAGCATCCCCGAGGGGTTTATTTGGTGATGGAGACGGGCAGGTGCATTCTAATAAAATGTGCAGTAGTATCATGCCCTGATGAGGTGCCATGAGGTGCTCAGGGCAGCAAAGGACAGCCTTTGAGGAGGTGGCCATATTACACAGCCCCTGGAAAGCACAGGCAGCTCTGTCCAGTGAGGAGTTGGGATTTGGGGCCACATTCACTGCCTCAAGGAGTGTGTCTGCCACCAGCAGCAACCCCCCAACTGGAGCCCAGATTCCAGGAGCTGATCACAACTGCCCACCTGGAGCCCATGCCAGGCCCCTGAGCCAGGATTTGCAGGCTGGCAGAGTCCCCCGGGACTGGGTGTGTGGGACAGTCTGAGAAGCCCGGAGTCAGCCCCTGGGAGCAGGTCATGCTTTGTCTCTGGTTTAGGGGTACTCTTTTGCGGGTCAGTTGTAGAGATGCGGCAGTTTAATAGGCAAATCCTTGGCCGGGCACGGTGGCTCATGCCTGTAATCCCAGCATTTTTGGAGGCCGAGGCGGGCAGATCACGAGGTCAGGAGATCAAGACCATCCTGGCTAACACGGTGAAACCCCGTCTCTACTAAAAATACAAAAAAAAATTAGCTGGGCGTGGTGGCGGGTGCCTGTAGTCCCAGCTACTCAGGAGGCTGAGGCAGGAGAATGGCGTGAACCCGGGAGGCGGAGCTTGCAGTGAGCCGAGATTGCGCCACTGCACTCCAGCCTGGGCGACAGAGCAAGAGTCCATCTCAAGAAAAAAAAAAAAAAGGGCAAATCCCTAACCTCCCAACCCGAGTTTCCTAAGCCATAAAATGAGAGGCTTGGACAGAATTTCGTTCTTCGTCCTGGTTGTACCTAAGAATTAACTAGAAAGCTTTTAAAACAGGCTGGTGCCAGGCCCTCCTTCCCTGGCTGATCCGTTGATCTCTGAGGGAAAAGTCTGGGCATCAGTAGGTTTTAAAGCCCCTTAGATAGATGTTTCTGTGCAGCCAGGGTTTGGGATCTTTGAACTAGAAAAACTCAGGTTTCTATCATCTAAAAGTGCCTGTGCTTTTCTGATTTCCAGCCATTTTGTGGATGCTTTAATGTAGTTAGCTGTGTTTTAAAAAAATGAATGTAGGCGTTTTCTTGTTTTTTAGAGACAGGGTCTCACTCTGTCGCCCAGGCTGGAGTGCAGTGGCACGACCACAGCTCACTGCAGCCTCCACCTCCTGGGTTCAGGCGATCCTCCTGCCTCAGCCTCCTCACTAGCTGGGAGTACAGGTGCTCACAACCATGCCTGGCTAATTTTTAAATTTTTTGTAGAGATGGAGTCTTGCTATGTTGCCCAGGCTGGTCTTGAGCTCCTAGGCTCAAGCGATTCTACCATCTCGGTCTCCCAAAGTGCTGGGATTAGGGGAGTGAGCCACCCCACCCAACTGTGAATTTAGTTTTTGTTTAAACTGTTTTGAGTTTTGGAAAGCTGTGCTTCTTAAGGCATCCAGTGAGAGAGACAGAAGAAATATACTAAGTGCCACCTCAGTTTTCAATGACTTTTGACTCACCTCAGTTTTCAATGACTGTTCTTAGCCATTCTTAGCTGTGTTTCCTTGTTTCTGATTGTGATATTTTATAGATTAAGAAACTAAAATATTTAATTTAGGAAATATTCTAAAACACTAAGATTCCAAAATATTGCCACTTTGCTATCTAGCTATTCAAATGGCACTTCTCCTTTTTGAAGTTAAACTTTAAATACTGAAAATTTTAAATACAGACAAATATTGTATTACCCTCTGGAAAGAATATTTTATTGGATTTGTTAAAAATTCAACTTAATAATAGCTGGGTGTCAAGTAAGCATGGAAAATTGAAAGGTCTACACAAAATATTTATTTGACTTTTTTTTACTGTACTGTAGTGTTGTGAATATATTATTTGAATGTAAAATTCATGCATTTTGACTTTTTTTTTAAGATCACAGATCTTCTCTTGAGGAAGAACAGAATTTGTTCATTGATGTTGACTGCAAGCACCCGGAAGCCATCTTGACCCCGATGCCCGAGGGTTTATCTCAGCAGCAGGTGAGATGAGCAGAGCTGACAGGGGCTGTTGACCAGCAGAGCTGTGCTAGTTTTTAAATATTTGTGTGTTTGATGCTGGTTGGTAAATATTTGCTGTCTCAAACTCTGCATCCACTCGGGCCCTCCACTGTAGGTTCCTGGCCCAGCACTTAGAGGCTTACTGCTGGGCTCAGCAAGGGTCTGGGGGGACGCTGGTCAGCAGCTGTGGCCTGGACTCAGGCCCTTCTGGTCCTTAAATATTTTGGACAGCACCCCTGCCCCTGAGTGTAGCTGTGAGAAAGGGGAGGAACTTGCATTCTTCGTGGGAGTCAGTCACACAGTTTTTACTTTCACAGAGACAGAGTGTGGGTTTGTATGGTCAGTATGTGTATGTAGCTACCTGAGACTGAGATGAAAATGACAGATTTTCAGTAACTAATTAAATCTGAATATAATGCATTTCTTAAAAATCTGATACTCAGTAGCAGAAGGGAAAAAATCAGTGGTTTTCATTGGATTGTCTTAGGGTAAAAGGAAGAGAAAACTTGAGGAACCAGAGTGACAGCACCAAGTTTGCAGGCCTTTAGCAGCAGGGGCTGATACTTTGGGATGATGGGAGTTGTTTCCCACATGGGCAGCGAGGTGCAAATCATGGACACCAGGATGGATAGGCAGACATATGTGTAATCCACGGATCTGGGGAGATCCCTGATACAGGTAGGCAGATAGAGCAAGAGAGAGCATTGTCAGATTAAAGACAAACAACACAGAAATGCTTAGTGACTGGCCAGGTTTAAAAAGAGATGAAAAGGGATACCTGCGAGCTGTTCATAATTGACCAGGCTGAAATAGGAAGCTTACATTTCAGTGGAATTGAACAGCGATGACTGAAGTATTAGTTTTGTCAGCAGCATCACACGAGTGACGGGATGGAGTGTCAACAGAGCTTGGAGACAGTTGTTGAGGAGCTGTCACTCATGGGTGTGCATGCTCTGTGCAGGCCCCGTGCCCGGTCCCTGGTGTGTTTCACTGCATTTCATCCTTGCAAATCCCGTTGCCATCCTTGTGTACTCTGTAAGGAAGCCTGGACTCGGAGGAGGCTGATCATCAGAACTGCATCCTCCAGCTATGCGAGGAAGGGGTCGTGTCTGATCTCAGTCTCTCCCATCGCAGCCTGCTCCTAACCTGTCTGTGCTCACTGGGGCCATGTGATCTGGGCTGCCACACGTCCAGGGGGGTGGTTGACAGCCTTTACCAGGAACAGAGGATCTAGCGCTTTCTCCTGTGCATGCTGTCCAGCTCACCCACCTCACTTCATGCTCAGGAGTTATAAAAGGGGTTCATGGCTGAACACCTTCTTGCCAGTCCTATGAGGCGCTCAATAGGATGACACGCTGGCCAGTCCTCTACTATCTGGGGCCCTCACTGCATGTGGGGTACCTATTCTGGTGAGGACACACCATGTGAGAGGAACTTGGATCCTGCACTCTGAGAACTTACTGTAGCGATGAAGCCGAAAACCAAAAATAGCAAAAGAAGGGAAAAGCACAGGGGAAATGCTTCCTAGCAGATGAGGGACTAAACAGGAATCATAACAGGAGTGTGAGTGACTCAGGACCAGAAGAGTCAGGAGACCTTGAGGACACATGGCCCAAGCCAAGACAGCGGCCTGAGCTGAAGACCAGTGGGCAGGATGCGGGGGTGAGTGTGAAAGAGGCGATGCCAGACCCTGAGTGGGGTGTGAGGGGTCTGTGAGGAGATACTGAGTGGGGTGTGAGGGGTCTGTGAGGAGACACTGAGTGGGGTGTGAGGGGTCTGTGAGGAGACCCTGAGTGGGGTGAGGGATACGTGAGGAAACACTGAGTTGGGTGAGGAGTCTGTGAGGAGACTGAGTGAGGTGAGGGGTCTGTGAGAAGTCCCTGAGCAGGTGAGGGTTGTGAGGAGACTGTGAGTGAGCTGAGAGTCTGTGAGGAGACACTGAGTGCAATGTGAGGGGTCTGTGAGGAGACAGTGAGTGGGATGAGGGTTTGTGAGAAGACGCTAGATGGGATGAGGGTTTTGAGGAGACACGGAGTGGGGTGAGGGTTGTGATGAGACAGTGAGTGGAGTAAGGGTTGTGGGGAGATGCTGAGGAGAGGTGAAAGTTCTGAGGAGACACTGAGTGGGATGTGAGGGGTCTGTGGGGAGTCACCAAGTGCCGTGAGAGTTGCAAGGAAACACGGAGTGGGGTGCGGGTCATCAGGAGACAGTGATTGGGGTGAGGGGTCTGTGATGAGACACTGTGAGTGGGGTGAGAGTTGTGAAGAGACAGTGAGTGGGGTGAGCTTTGTTAGGAGGCACTGAGTAGGGTGAGGGTTGTTAGGAGACAGTGAGTGGGATGAGGGTTTATGAGGAGACACTAGGTAGGGTGAATGTTTTGAGGAGACACTTAGTGGGGTGAGGGTTTGCGAGGAGACACTTAGTGGGGCGAGGGTTGCGAGGAGACAGTGAGTGGGGTGAGGGTTTGCGAGGAGACACTTAGTGGGGCGAGGGTTGCGAGGAGACAGTGAGTGTGGTGAGGGTTGCGAGGAGATGCTGAGTGGGGCTGTAGGTTCTGAGGAGGGGTGGGGTGAGGGTTTGTGAGGATATGCTGAGTGGGATGTTGACTGTGAGGAGACACTGAGTGGGGTGAGGGTTGTGAGGAGATACTGAGGTGATAGTTTTGAGGAGACAGTGGGGTGAGAGTTGTGAGGAGACACTGAGTGTGGAGGGCTGTGAGGAGGCACTGAGTGGGGTGAGGGGTATTGAGGAGACACTGAGTGGGGTAAGAAGTCTGTGGAGATACTGAGTGGGGTGAGGGGTCTGTGAGGAGACGCTGAGTGGGGTGAGGTATGGGGAGACACTGAGTGGGGTGTGAGGGGTCTGTGAGGTGTCACTGAGTGTGGTGAGGTTTGTGAGGAAACACAGAGTGTGGTAAGGGTCCTGAGGAAACACTGAGTTGGGTGAGGGTTTGTGAGGAGACACTGAATAGGGTGAGGTTTGTGAGGAGACACTGAATAGGGTGAGGTTTGTGAGGAGACACTGAATAGGGTGAGGTTTGTGAGGAGACACTGAGTGGGGTGAGTATTGTGAGGAGACACTGAGTGGGGTGAGAGTTATGAGGAGACACTGAATAGGGTGAGGTTTGTGAGGAGACACTGAGTGGGGTGAGAGTTATGAGGAGACACTGAGTTGGGTGAGGGTTGTGAGGAGACAGTGGGGTGAGGGGTCTGTGACGAGACACTGAGTGGGGTGAGGGGTCTGCGAGGAGACACTGAGGTGTGAGGGGTCTACAAGGAGTCACGGAGTGCAGTGAGAGTTGTGAGGAAACATGGAGTGGGGTGCGGGTCATGAGGAGACAGTGATTGGGGTGAGGGGTCCGTGAGGAGACACTGAGTGGGGTGTGAGGGGTCTGTGAGGAGACACTGTGAGTGGGGTGAGGGTTGTGAGGAGACGCTGAGTTGGGGGGTTGTGAGGAGAGCGTGGGGTGAGGTTTATTAGGAGACACTGAATGGGGTGAGGGTTGTGAGGAGACATTGAGTGGGATGAGAGGTGTGAGGAGACACTGAATGTGGTGAGGGTTTGTGAGGAGATACTGCATGGGGTGAGCTTTCTTAGGAGACACTGAGTGGGTAAGAGTTGTGAGGAGACACTGAGTGGGGTGAGGGGTATGTGAGGAGACAGTGATGTGAGGCATCTGTGAGGAGACACTGAGTGGGGTGAGGGGTCTGTGAGGAGACACTGAGTGGGGTGAGGGGTCTGTGAGGAGACACTGAGTGGGGTGAGGGGTCTGTGAGGAGACACTGAGTGGGGTGAGGGGTATTGAGGAGACACTGAGTAGGGTAAGGAGTCTGTGTGGAGACACTGAGTGGGGTGAGGGGTTTGTGAGGAGACACTGAGTGTGGGTGAGGGGTCTGTGAGGAGTCATGGAGTGTGGTGTGAGTTGTGAGAAAACTCGGAGTGGGGTGAGGGTCGTGAGGAAACAGTGGGGTGAAGGTTTGTGAGGAGACCCTGAGTGGAGTGAGGGTTGCGAGGAGACATTGAGTGGGATGAGGGTTGTGAGGAGACACTGAGTGGGGTGAGGGTTGTGAGCAGACACTTCATGGGAGGAGGGTTTGTGAGAAGACACTAGGTGGGGTGAGGTTTGTGAGGAGACACTGAGTGTGGTGAGGGTTTGTGAGGAGACACTGCATGGGGTGAACTTTGTTAGGAGGCAGTGAGTGGGGCGAGGGTTGTGAGGAGACACTGAGTGGGGGAGGGGTATGTGAGGAGACACTGAGTGATGTGAGCAATCTGTGAGGAGACACTGAGTGCGGTGAGGGGTATTGAGACACTGAGTGGGGTAAGGAGTCTGTGCGGAGACACCGAGTGTGGTGTGAGGGGTCTGTGAGGAGTCACCGAGTGCCGTGTGAGTTGTGAGAAAACGGAGTGGGGTGAGGGTTTGTGAGGAGACACTGAGTGGGGTGAGGGTTTGTGAGGAGACACTGAATAGGGTGAGGGTTGTGAAGAGACACTGAGTGGGGTGAGGGTTTGTGAGGAGGCACTGAGGGTTGTGGATTGTGAGGAGACATTGAGTGGGGTGAGGGTTCTGAGGAGACACTGATGGGGTGAGGGTTGTGAGCAGATACTGAGTGGGGTGAGAGTTGTGAGGATACACTGAGTTGGGTGAGGAGTCTGTGAGGAGACACTGAATTGGGTGAGGGTTGTGAGAAGACACTGAATGGGTTGAGGTTGTGAGGAGACAGTGAGTGGGGTGAGTGTTGTGAGGAGACACTGAGTGGGGTGAGGGTTGTGAGGAGATTCTGAGTGGGGCGAGACGGGTCTCTGAGGAGACACTGAGTGGGGTGAGAGTTTTGAGGAGTCACTGAGTGTGTAAGGGTCTGTGAGGAGACACTGAGTTTGGCGAAGGTTATGAAGAGACACTGAGTGCAGTGAGGGTTGTGAGGAGACACTAAGTGGGGTGTGAGGGGTCTGTGAGGAGACACTGAGTGGGTCACGGGGTCCGTGGGGTGTCACTGGGTAAGAGTCGAGGTTCTGTGAAGAGAGAGTGAGTAGTGATTGGTAGGGGTGTGTGCACATATCAGAGGAAAGAGGTTTGACCTTTTTGTTGTATGGCACTTTTCCAAGGGCCTGTCTGTTGGGTACTGATTTTGGTGGATTTGCTCAGCGAATTGGCAGTGACTGTTCATTGTTTTATGGTTTCTGTAAAGGGTTTAAGCTTCCCAAATTAGTCTCACAGACCTGGATGAAATTCTGTTTTTTGCTCTGATTATCTCAGTTACTTTTGTCTAGTAGTTAATTTCTGAAGTTCAGTTTTCCTTTTCTTTGAAGGGTGGATTTTAATGTCTATTTCCATCTTGCTTATCCCACCGTAATGGTTCAGTGAAGTCCTGTATAGCAAGGTCTCTGTGTTGTGTTAGCACAGTGCCGTCACTTTCAATGAGATGATAGCTGGGATTACGATTAGAAACTTAGCAGTATTTAGGATTTCTGCATTCTTTCATGCAGCTTTCTTTATTGTAGTCATGATTCACATCGATTTTGTTTTCCTCCTGCCAAATGTGTTGTCCATGAGAGTTTTCTCTTGAGTGGTTAAATGGGGGGTATTGATGCTCTTTAATTCTTGTTCTCCTCTAGAATTGAATTAAGGGAAACATAACTCTAAAATGCTGTATATTAAACATTCTTTGCATGCCTAATTTGGGGGTGGAAAAAGGCAAATGTTCTTTTTGAAATAAAGAAGGGTCGTTCTTTACTTGGAAAGTACCCTTGATGCTGGAGGACAGAGGATCCTGTCCCGTCCCCATTCCCGGTGAGGACATGAGGAAGGTCAGGCTGGGCCAGGCCCAGGCACCATCCGCAGCTCTCCCAGCTCAGGCCTAGGAGCCTCTCTGATTGTCCTCCAGCCCTGGCTTTGTCCAGTTGCCCCATGACCTTCATGCCAGGGACCCTCCCTGTGGGGGCTGCATTCAGGATGGATTTCTCCTCTATGACTTTAGGTCAGGCTTCTCAGGAAGAGAGTGACACTCTTCCTGAGCACTGGAGGCTCCCTGTCCCACCCCTTAGTGGGCATATAATTTGACGTGTCAGATTGAGCTGCCAGAAAGACTGACATCACGTGCAGTAGCCATGAAACCCAGAATATTGGTTTTGTTTTTGTATTTTAATATTATACCTATTCCAGATCTTTTGACCTGATACTATATTAGTATCATCTCAGGACTTTAAAAAATATACATACATAATATATATACACATATAAATAATACATATACATAATATAGGTACACATATCAATAATATATATAGTATAATATATAACATATTATATATATTACATGTATATATACACAAATACATTTTTATGTTTGACCCCCACAACTGTGACTCAGGAGCCTTGGGAGAGTGTTTGGGAATCTGAATTTCAGAAGAAAGACTGGCCTGGGTTTGATGATGGGAGGGGTTGCTTGGCCTTTGGGTTCTAAGCTCTCGTTTGAAAGGGAAGCCTCTGTGCTCTGACGTTTCCTGTGAATCAGTCAGTAGCAGCAGCTGCAGCTTCCCAGCTTCTGGCTCTGTGTGTGTGTGTGTGTGTGTGTGTGTGTGTGTGTGTGTGTGTGTGTGTGTTTAATCCCAGCGATACCTGTATTTTTTAAATACATTAGTATTTTTTTAATACATCAGTTTCTTCTTTGGGTATTTTAGAAGGGTTGATTTTTGTCTTTTGCGAATAGAATAATCCTTTCTCTAAAAGGAGTAATCTCTCCATTGTTAATCAGGTTTTGTAAATCTTGGTTGCCCTGCAATCTTTTTAACCAGAGAAATTTCCGTTGTGAAAAATGCTCTTTGCCCGCTAGGTGGCAACGCAGTCCCTTCAAATAGCATAATCCAGGGCTGCAGGTAGCCTGATGCTACACTGGAGTACCCGTGTGTGTGCATGTGTGTGTGTGGTGTGCTTCCGTGCGCGCACGTGTGTGTTATCTTGCACATATATGGGGTGGGTGTGTACAGGAGTGTGTGTGGTGTGGTGTGCCCGGGCGTGTGTTCATATGCGGGAGTGCGCATGCTGGTTTAGGAGAAACTCTATTGCCCTGTTTTGCTCTGTTTTCCATGAATTGGCAAATTGGAAGTACAATGATCACTAGCTGGACTGTGTTTAGAATGAGGGAAATGCCGGGCGTCCTCATAGGCCTTTCACGGGATCTTACAGCCACAAGTCTATTGTATGTGCTTCAGTGATGAAAAGCAAGATGGAAAATAACGTCAGGTTTTGATTGCAAACATGTCAGATTGTAGAGATTTTTTTTTTGCACCTCTAAGTGACATGAATAATTTACTGTCCACATTCTTGGCCTCATAGGTAGATCTTTGGATGGTTGAAAGATCTTTGCAAAAAAAAAAAAAAAAAAAAGATTCCTCCACATTCCACAAACTTTGTTTTCTTAGAACTTTGGAATAAATATTTTAGATAAGTGTTGCTAATAACATTCATTGATCAAGACTGGAACTATTTTTTATCCTGAATTCATAGGAAGTATCATCTACCTGAATGTTGGATACATAAAATACAATCTGTTAATTCAGTATATTATCGTTGCATAAATGAAGGAATTTCTTTTCAGTGCTGTAATTTTTTTTGTCCCAGCTGTAGTTATAGTTCATAGTTTGAGGTTTAAGACATTATATAATTGTATTAATGGGGCGAAGTATGTTTTGTACCTGTAATGTTATTTAATTAGGCTACCCTTGTGCACTGTTTTCTAAAAATAGAAAAGTTACTTATCAGCAAGCCTCAGCATAGAAGTAAAATGTATCTGTGTGTATTATAAAGCAGTTTTCTATCATTGTACTTCCAAATTTCCAACAGGTTGTAAGAAGATATATACTGGGTTCAGTTGTCGACAGTGAAAAGAACTACGTAGATGCTCTTAAGAGGATTTTGGAGGTACTTAAGTGTCGTGTTACATAATACATACATTTCTATTATTCTTTTTTACCTATATACATTTTGATCCATAAATGCAAAGCATATATGTTTATGAAACATAACATGCAAATTTGCAAAATTCTCAAAAGGATCTAAGTATTATGTCTGTATATTGACATCAAAAGTCATGATTTATGTTGAAATAAATATAATTTATGTAAGTGAATATTTACATTCATTTATCTAAGCTTTAAAAATGTCTGGGCCAGGCTCGGTGGCTCACCCCTGTAATCCTAGCACTTTGGGAGGCTGAGTCAGGTGGATTGCCTGAGCTCAGGAGTTCGAGACCAGCCTGGGCAACACAGTGACTCTCCATCTCTACTAAAAT
Source organism: Homo sapiens (assembly GCF_000001405.40). Classification (NCBI taxonomy): domain Eukaryota; kingdom Metazoa; phylum Chordata; class Mammalia; order Primates; family Hominidae; genus Homo; species Homo sapiens. The sequence goes on from NT_187576.1 coordinate 77,393, forward strand.
ACAAAATATTAGCCGGGTGTGGCGGTATGTGCCTATGGTCCCAGCTACTCGGGAGGCTGAGGCAGGAGAATTGCTTGAACCCGGGAGGCAGAGGTTGCAGTGAGCTGAGATCATGCCATTGCACTCTAGCACGGGTGACAGACTGAGACTGTCTCAAAAAAAAAAAAAAGAAAAATGTCTGAAGCAGCCATGCCCCCATGGAACATGCCTATAATCCCAGTTACTTGGGAGGCTGAGGTGGGAGGATGGCTTGAGCCCAGGAGTTTGAGGCTGCAGTGAGCCATGATCGCACCACTGCGCTGCACCCTGGACAACAAAACAAGACCCAGGCTCTGAAAAAGAAAAGTCTGAACTGTCTTTGCTCATTTTGTCTTAGCAATATGAGAAGCCGCTGTCTGAGATGGAGCCAAAGGTTCTGAGTGAGAGGAAGCTGAAGACGGTGTTCTACCGAGTCAAAGAGATCCTGCAGTGCCACTCGCTATTTCAGATCGCGCTGGCCAGCCGCGTTTCCGAGTGGGACTCCGTGGAAATGATAGGCGATGTCTTCGTGGCTTCGGTAATTAAGCTGGGACACCTGGATGTCCATGGGGCTCTCCATGCACCTGTCCTCTCTTCCCTTCTTAGGCTGATGTTTTGCCCCTGATCTCCTGCAAGCTGACAAGTGTGCAGTTCTCTCTAAAGGCCAGGCTGAAGTTGCAATGCCCTGGCCAAGCGTGTGCGCTAGGGAAATGATAAATGGATCTTTACCAGGGAGGCCAAGGCGTTAGAAAGGCAGACACTGGACAGAAGCTGTATCTGAGGACATTTAACAATATGCACTTTATCGAGTCTTGGATGCCCCATTAGACGATTTGCTGAAGCTTTTTGTTGTTGAACAAGGATGCCGTGTGTTTGGCAATGTTGTAAAATTGCCGTTTTTAAGCCCTCACACAGGTTCTCTTCCTGATCTAGGTGTCACTTTCTGGGTGCAGAATTATCTGTGCCTGGGAAAAATAGAAAACACGTGATGGGAAAATTCCTAGATGTTTTCTCAAACTTTTGCCCTTGGCTGTAGCTTCTGTTGTGTAGATACAGGCTTTCGGCCCTATGCTGTGACACAGGAATATGATGTTGCAACAGCTTGCCTGAACACTTCCTGGCAGGAGAAAGGGTTAGCTGCCTGGAAACCACTGGTGGTTTCTGCACTGGCAGTTTCGAGTCATTTTATCCTCACTCCGTGTATGAATCATACTTATTGTATATTGGTTGGATTCTACCTAGATGTAGAGGATTATGAGTGAAACAGATTGGTTTCTGTAATTATTTGAGACTATGATGCTATCAAAGGGATATAAGCTTGCAAGTTTTGAAAAAAGTGTTCCTCTTCTTAAATGAATGTTATAATAATAATACGTGAAATGTTTTCCTATATAGTTTGTATATGTACTTGATGAGGTCTATAAATGCTTTGAATAAATATGGAAACAAAATTCTTTCAAAGATATTTGCATAATACCGTTTATGGATCCTTAAAAAAAGAGAAATATTGGATATTTATTTTGTTATTGGATTTTTTTTCTGGCTGTTTTATATATTAGGTTCAACCTTATCACTGTTCTTTAAATACCTACCTTCCCAACATTTTTAAAAATGCAAACAGATTTTTTAAAGAAATAGAATTTTGATGAAAACATTCCTGCTATCAATGCCAGTCACACCAGAGCTCTGCCATCCATCCTAAAGGACTTACGGTTTCTTAGAATAACATGGAGTGATTTTTCTCTCTTTGAATATTGATAGCAAGGGCAAATGTTTCTGCCTCTTAACAGAAACCTTTGTGCTTTTAGGAAAACGAACACGTGTAGGGCATTGTATGTTACGCCAGAGAAGCAGGATCAGCCCCCGCCCCCAGCCCCCATTTCTAGGGTGTGGTTGAGGCCTGTTTCTCAGGATATTGGGCCCACCATGGAATGAGTTGCATGACTTTCTTGCCTGGAGGTTGAACCCACCAAGTGAGACTTGGCAGGAACTTAAAATCACCATCCTTATTTGTCTGTAGTCATGAACATTCTTAACTGAAACCCAAATTACCATGGTTTTGAACAAGGATGTCAGAAAGTGCTCTGGAGTCAAAAAATAAGGTCAAACCAGCAACTTAACTCCTAACACGCTTGCTTAAAGAAAAAAAATCACACAGTCATAATAAAGTTTATCTTATGAAAACATCACAGTGACCGAAAGAGTATTTTGAGGGCGAGTTTCAAATCTTCTGTTTTATGTTGGAAAAGGGATATCTGGACTCTGTGATTTCTCTCTGAATTTCCTCCTGTGTTTCAGTTTTCTAAGTCCATGGTGCTGGATGCATACAGTGAATATGTGAACAATTTCAGCACAGCCGTGGCAGTCCTCAAGAAAACATGTGCCACAAAGCCCGCTTTTCTTGAATTTTTAAAGGTAAGCGCTTTTTTTTTTCATTTGGGTTTTAACACCATCTGATAACAAGTTACATGTCAAAGCTTGACTCTGAATGCAGTTATTCGTTATTAAGATTTCAGTATCAATAGTGCCCTAGATATTGGATTAATGCTAGAAATGAAGATGAATTTTAGGTCCTAATGTAGCTTTTTGAAAACAATTTTATTTGCACCTTCTTAAAAGTGTATCAGCAGACAGACAGAAAGAAAGTTAAAATCAGATCCCCAAAAAAGAAGTCAAGATCAGATCCCAAAGTTACCTTTCCCTCACTGTCCTTCGGTATGGTATTAGGAATCAAATAAACTAAACATCTCAATTCCAGGCCTCTTTGGGATCGGGGAGAGGCACCGGCCTGGAGAGTCAGAGCCTGGAGCGGGCCCTACCCGAGGGGGACGCAGGCTGTGTTCCTCCCAATGCTGAGGACAGCACTGATGGCCTTCCTCAGGGGTCTCTGACCTGGCAGTGATGGGGAGCACGTCCCCTGATGGGTGTGGGTTAGCGTTATTTAATCAGCAGGCAGGCAGGGCTTCCCCAGTCGTGGGATGCGTGTCCGAGGCTGTGTTCTGACAGTTTGCTGCACAATGAACCAAGCTGAAACCCCCTTCAAAGACGTCGGCGGAACTGAGTCTCCTTTGTGGAGCCCCTCATTTGCATGATAAACCCCGGGGACAAAGTGTGTTCTTGTTACTTGGACTGTTTCTTGGAAACTGCTGCTACCTGGAGCGAGTGAACACAGGGCAAGTATTCTCGCCCACAGCAACGTGTCATTGAAGCTGGAATTTTTTCCCTCTGCCTTATCCAGCACGGCGGCTCCTGCTCCTCCTGGAGCACAGTCTGTGGCCCATGGAGGTTTGCTAAGGGATCGGATCGCAGTTCCCACTCTGGACAGCTGTGAGCTCTGTCCTAAGGGATCGGATCGCAGTTCCCCCTCTGGACAGCTGTGGGCTCTGTCCTAAGGGATCGGATCGCAGTTCCCACTCTCGACAGTTGTGGGCTCTGTCCTAAGGGATCGGATCGCAGTTCCCCCTCTGGACAGCTGTGGGCTCTGTCCTAAGGCATCGGATCGCAGTTCCCCCTCTGGACAGCTGTGGGCTCTGTCCTAAGGCATCGGATCGCAGTTCCCACTCTCGACAGTTGTGGGCTCTGTCCTAAGGCATCGGATTGCAGTTCCCACTGTGGACAGTTGTGGCCTCTGTCCTTTGGCTAGGGAACCATCTCTTTCTTTTGGGGAAAGAAAACATGGACTCACTTAAGAGCTCACTCCCTCTGGGGATTTTGCTGTACTCCCATTAAGGATGCCAGCCGTGGCCGTGACCGCAGTGCCCACTCCTCAGCTCGGTGGCTGCCACGTGGCCTTGGGAGATAGACTCTCTCATCCCATTTCATTGCTCCAGGACCTGAGCCCCAAAGAGTCGGGTGCCCTGTGAGCTGAGAGGCCGAGGCACAGCCAGGTCTGTGCTGTCTGCCCTCTCCACTGCACAGCCCCCTCAGCAGAGGGACCTGGAGACTCCCCCCAGGTCAACATTGCCCAACAGCCTTGGTAGCAAATGGCCCCACTGCACATCCCTGATGTGCTCAGGGAGAGGAGCCGTCAGCCTCCAGGACGTCTTTCTGCCCATGGCACCGGAAGAGGTTGCCAGCCTTTTCTGGGGGCCCACTATGGCCAGAACACAGACACCCAAGGACAGCCCCTGGAATCTGCCCAGTCCCCTGGCCCGGGGAATTCACCCCTGGAGCTGAGGCCAACGTGTGAGGTCGGGCCCCTGCAGCAAAGCGGAAGCCCCTAGAGCAGGTGCAGAAAGTGGCTGGAAGGTATTTGGCCAAGTTTCTTCTTGTAGCTGAAGACAAGGTGCAGGCTTTTGACTTTCCCGAGTGTTCAGTGTGGTGGGGAGGAGGCGGCCCCAGGGGCAGGGAGGGCATGGCAGCCCTGCAGGGAGGTGACCCCGGTGCCTTCCCCCACAGCAGGAACAGGAGGCCAGCCCCGATCGAACCACGCTCTACAGCCTGATGATGAAGCCCATCCAGAGGTTCCCACAGTTCATCCTCCTGCTCCAGGTAAGTGCTTCACGGAGACCTCCTCAAGCTAGTCCTCTGGCTCGCCCATGACTCATTTGAAAATGGCGTCTGTTCCTCCACTTTGGAATGGCTGCCCCTCGGGCCTCCTCATCTCCTCTCTAGGCAGTTACAGGAGGTGGAGGGTAGAGGCAGGTGGAGACCTGCGGAGAGTCACCCTACGCCGGGGGCAGCTGTAGGGCCCAGTGCCTGCGAGGCCAGCCTTGGGGGACAGAGGGGATGGGCTGCGGGGAGGGGTGTTGTGGGCCCTGGCCTGCCTCACGTGCTCTCACAGGGCCCCAGCACTGGGGGGCCGCGGGGCTTGGTTATCAGTGGCCCACAGGTCACAGCTCCCTTCTCCAGTGTGTCTGTGTCTGGTCTAGGATCACATGAAAAATGATTCTCGCCTCTGTGCCCAGAGGGGATGGACAAGCTTGGAAAGCTAAGAATAGATTTAAACAAAACATACCCATCACTGATTTAACAGCAAATCACCGAGGACAGGGAGATGCTGCGATGGTGAAAACACTGTCCACTGGACCCTCATTTCTCTAAACTAAGGATTCTCAATTGGATACCTGTGGCTGTGAACAGTAGGCCTGTTCTGAGTGCTGACGTGACGTCTCACAGCGGACGGCCTCTAGGTCACGTCTGATGCAGTGTGTGGTTGCCCGCTCGTTTTCCGACCTTCCCACATAACCTGGAGCCCAGGTGACCCTGTAGGCTGCGGGGCTCAGCACCCATTTTATTTAAATGAATGCCATGCCTCCAGGGAGGATATTTCAAAGGAGAGTCTATGCTGGTTTCTGCCTGTGTTGATTTTTCAATGATTGCTCAGCTTGCTTTTTCTAATTAAATCAGAGGACTTTGCTTGGACTGCCTGCTTATTAGAGCCGATTAAGATGAACTGGTGGAGTCATCGCCAGAAATGAACTGGCGCCTGGGAAATAGTGTGAAGTCCCCTTCCATTGAGGTTATTTTTATTTTTGACCAACCAAATCCATGGCACATTCTTTTTAAATAAATGTAGTCATCAAAGTATGAAAAAGGATACATACTAAAATATCGACATGGGCTCTTTCCATGGTTAGGTTGATGGCTCATGTTAATTTTATCCTCTGGCTTATATTTTTAACAATGTGCAGTTTGCCTGTATTACAGCATTAATAACAAAAGCTGTTTTTTCCCAAGATCAAAATATTCAAAGTGTGTTTTATTTCTTTAGCTGACAAATATGTACTGAGTTCTAATACGTGCGAGACGCTGTTGGCTTCCGGCAAGCAGCCACAGACGTGATGAATGAGCTTCCTCGTGTGAGGGAGTCTGGCGCTTGGGAGGAAGGGGGTCAGGCCGCCTGTTAGACATTAGTTATTCAGCCACAGCTGGGAGAGTGTCACCAGGCTGTGAACCATACGGGCGGGTGAACCAGCCCACATGCCCTGTGTTTAGCGATGCGCCAGTGAGTCCCTGGGTCGTTCTTGGTCGCCAGGGACGACAGCAAGTGCTGACTGTGTTGTGAGGTCACACACGTTGTTGGCTTTCTATGATTTATCAGAATACTTTCTAAATTTTTTAAATTTATTAAATTTGGATATAATTTTCAAACAAGCTTGTTAGGTTTTGGTTAAATGTAAGTAAGTAACTACAAGTAAGTAAGTAAGTAACTATTTTTGCCTAGGTTTTTTCCGAAATACATTCTTTTAGACAGAAGGGGTGGGCGGGCTGCTGGAAACGGAACAGGACAGAGAACCGCAGGGAAAAGCCTCTACCGGGATTTTGAGGAGCCCGAGCAGCTCCCACGTTTCCATCCACCTTCAGCCGTCCTGGGGAGGTCGTTGTCCCTTTTTTATGCGCTAGGAAACTGAGTTACGCTCTAGGAAACTGAGGTTTAGGGAAGCTGATGATTCTCCCATGGTGACACAGCCCGACAGATGTGCTGGGATTCTAACACAGTTGTCTAGCCACAAATCTAGTACACTGTCCACACCCCAAAAGGATGCCAGCCAGGACTTTGGGAAAAGCAGCAGATGGAACACTGCAGACGTGCGCTGTCGGACGGGCATGGCCTGCCTGTTACACACTGCGCCGTTTACAAATCTGTTCTTGTAAGAATTTTGTACACTTTTCTTTTTTGAAAACATACTTCTAAATATTTAAGTTCTCTGAGGAAGGACATTCTTAAACTCAGAATTCCAGTTATGTAATAAACTCAAGAACTTGGGTGTCAAAAGACTTGCACTTAGAAAGATTCAGTGTGCTCTTCCAGATCGTCACCAGCAGAGTTACGTAGGTCAGTTTGCACACAGCTCTCCCCGTCCTCCTCCCTCCTTGCCTCGAGAGACCCTCTTTAGAATTTCCCACACAGGGTCTGTTGCCCCTGAAGGAGAAAATGGTCTTTGCCTTGATCTGACAAAACAAACTGCAGATCCTAGATGTGCCGAGCAGTTTCCCTCAGGGACACTTTTTGCCCACATTTGATGAAACGCTGGCGTATCCTAGAGTGTTCTCGGAGGGGAGCAGGGTGGGTCCACGTACTTTGGAAGAGGCAGAGTTGGAAACAAGGTGGTGTCTGTGTCTGGAGTCATTGTGTGGATGTGCCTGAGGGGCCCTACCTCAGGTGTGGGTACTCAGGGCACCCGGGATGGGGCGAGGAGACAGGCTGCAGAGAGTCAGCAGGTACAAGCACATACCCTCCCTCCTGCCTTCTGCCGTAGTCCGTGTGCTGAGTGTAGGTGGATGGGGAGACAGTGTGGAGAGGCCTGGACACCCTCTGTCCCCTTCCTCCCAGTGACTCTCCTGGTCTCTGCTCTCCGGTCTTGCCTGCGTTCTTCCTGGTTAGTGCTCCCAGACCTTCTTTCTAAGACAGGTGCTGTGAAGCCACAGCTGTCCCCTGGCTCAGGCAGTGAAACCGGCTCACCCTGGCTATGCTGGTACTGTCAGTTTCTCCCATGGATCCAGAAACATCCATTGGCCCTGTGACATTTGTCTTTATCCCAGCTACCTATTTCTCTCCGTTGTTGTGCAAAGATAAGTAACAATTTCTGATAATAACAGCAGCGAGAAACTTCACTTTTCTCCTTCCCTGAGCCTCCTTGGGTGGCTGCCAGCCCGGCGGATGCCCCCGGCTGTGCTCAGTGGCCCCACGGCATGTCGGACTCCACCCTGTGCTGGCTGCTGTCTCCATCGCACGCCTAGTCCCCGGTGCCACCACCAGTGTGTGGGTTTGGTGCAGAACTAGTGTTAAGATTGTTCTTTTTTGCCTTGATAGAATTCGTTGTGACTCATAGGAAAACAAATGTATAGAATAGTTTATATTCATTACAAACTGGAAACATTTAATCATTTATGCAATGTCCTTTCCAGATTTTAAAAAAAGGTTTAAAAAGATAAGCACGCTGTTGAATTCCATGACTACTAATATTCCTATAAACATGTCAAAGATGGTAGGCAAGACGCAGAACCACATTTTTTTTTCTCACTCTAAGTTCTGGGATATGTGTGCAGAATGTGCAGGTTTGTTCCATAGGTATACCTGTGCCATGGTGGGCTGCTGCACCTAGCAACCCGTCATCTAGGTTTTAAGCCCCGCGTGCATTAGGTATTTGTCTTAATGCTCTCCCTCCCCTCACCCCCCGCCCCGCAACAGGCCCCGGTGTGTGATGCGCCCCTCCCTGTGTCCATGTGATCTCATTGCAGAACCACATTTAATTCTGAGAAAGAGTGTTTCAAGTTCACGTTTGCCCCTTCAGCAAACGTCAGCGTGTCGAATGTGAACGAAAGCTGGGAAACAAAAGGCCCTGCATAAAACCAAGGTGACAGAAATGTCCTTTTGTTACTGCCTGTTAACGTTTATCCTGTGATTGGCAGCAGTGCGTCATTTTTTGCTGGCTGTTGTTGTTGATTTGTGCCACATACCCTCCCTTTGACCTCCTCGTGCTTGTCTGAAACCTTAACTGGGAGAAGAGGTAGCTCAACTCCCTTTTTTTAAAGACTACTTTTTAAGAGAAATTTTAGGGTCGCAGCAAAATTGAGCGGAAAGTACAGAGGTTTCCCATCTACCCCTCCCCTAACATGCATAGCCCCCTCCCCCCACATCTCCACCAGAGTGCATTTGTGACAACCAGGAGCCTGCGTGGCCACGCAGCCACTGCCCAGCGGCCACAGTCGCAGGAGGGCGTACCCTTGTGCTGTGCATTCGGTGGGTTCGGATGAACGTTTAGTGACATGGACCCACCACGATAGTGTCATGCATCTTTGCCGCCCTAAAATCAGGTTCCTTTGTCACTGTGAGAGAGACTCGATCCTGCTGTGTGAGTTGACACCATGGGTGCAGTATTCGGCACCACAGTACTCCTGCACATTGGAAACTGGGAGACTGGTGTTTTGAAGAAAGTAGCTGGACCCATCTGTGCATGGGTTCATCTGTCTGACTCAACTTGAGAAGGAGAATCTATCATCATCGTGAGCATCGTTCCAAGTGCACAGTATTTCTGAGATTGTGATATGTTCATATTTAGCGTGTCCTTTATTGTACAGTGCTATTTTTTCAATTTTGTTTTTGCAAAGGAAGCTGTTCAGATGTTCAGCCAAGTCGTGACTCACTCAGCTCATCATCCCTTCCCAAGAACTGACTTTATTTTTCCCCAGGATGGCAGATGCCACTGCCTCCTTTCCATTGTCAGCTGGCGGGTGACGCGACTGTTGTTGCACTGGGAGTGTCCACGTGGTAACTGCCCACCTCTCCCCTGTTGCTTGTAGGACATGCTGAAGAACACCTCCAAAGGCCACCCCGACAGGCTGCCTCTTCAGATGGCCCTGACAGAGCTCGAAACACTAGCAGAGAAGTTAAATGAAAGAAAGAGAGATGCTGATCAACGCTGTGAAGTGAAGCAAATAGCCAAAGCCATAAACGAAAGATACCTGAACAAGGTTGAGAGAGGTTTTCTTCAACTCTATTCCAAAATTATTTTTGCTTTGTGCTAATAAGCTGTCGTTGTCCAGCAATACTAATCTTTTGGATCGTTTGGAGTAATTCCCTTCGCCCAGAGTTCTTAACCGGGGTGGATGGAGGCCTTCGGGAGAGTCACACCAATGTGGAAATTGTATGTAAAACCTTAACAGCCTGTCTTAACAGCATTTTCTTAGGAAAGAGATTCATACATTCATTAGACCCTCAAATGGATCCAGGACCTCCCAAGGGGTTAAGAGCAACTCCTTTAGCTTACTTTTCCTTTCAAAATAACGGTATTTAATTTCAGATAGTAATAGTTAAAGCTGAAAATATTTACAGGCTAGGCACAGTGGCTCACACCTGTAAGCCCAGCACTTTGGGAGGCTGAGGTGGGAAGATCGCTGGAACCCAGGAGTTCAAGACCAGCCTGGGCATGATAGTGAGAACCCATATCTAAAAAAAGAAAAAAAAAATAGCTGGGCACAGTGGCATGCACCTATATAGTCTGAGCTACGTGGGAGGCTGAGGCCAGAGGATTGCTCGAGCCTGGGAGGTCCAGGCTGTGGTGAGCTGTTATTGAGGTGCTGCACTCTAGCCTGGGTGATGGAGCAAAACCCTGTTTCAAAAAAAAAAAAAATTCACAAACATTTTTTGTCTTCACCTATGCATGGGCTAAGCTGCATTGAGCGTGAAAAGAGATGCAGGACCCAGAAGGCGGCAGTTCATTTGCCAGGCTACATTTCAGCTTGATGCTTACATAACTACTTGTCTGCAGCAGTACTCTGAATTTATGTGGGCTTTCCCGTATTCACTGAAGGCCCTGGCTCACAGGGAGATGGTAATTTGTATGAACTGTGTTAAGTTATTGCATCTAATATTCATTATTGCTAAAAATCATTATTGCTACAAATCATTGTTTTGTCATTAGGAGTAGTTTCTTACGTTACAATGACATTCAGTAATGTAACTGTGCGAACTTTATGGTAATACACTTTAAGCCACATATTTTCCCCATTTCTCCAAGTGGTTTATGTAGGAACGTTTATAAGCAGCAAATTGTATTCAGTTATATTCTTGACATGGTTCATGTTATTTAAAATCATGCTCCCTGTGGCACTTGAACCTCCGAATACACATGGGGCACGGAGCAAGCCCAGAGGCCCAGGAAGAGGGGATGATGCTTCGCACTGAATGTCACCCACATGCCTCATCGTTCCCGTGCACTTGGCAGGGACATTCAGGGAGGCGGGTGTCTCGCTGGTTGCTCAGAGCTGGGCAGCAGCGTAGGTTTAGAATCAAAAGACAGCACAGACCACCGGGGCTGAGGACTCTGTTTTTCTTGTGGGCTGAGTTGTTATAAGTATTGGCCGGGTGCAGTGGCTCACGCCTGTAATCCCAGCTCTTTGGGAGGCCGAGGTGGGTGGATCACGTGAGGTCAGGAGTTCCGGACCAGCCTAACCAACATGACAAAACCCCGTCTCTACTAAAAATACAAAAAGAAACAAATTAGCTGGGTGTGGTGGTGCACACCTGTGGTCCCAGCTACTCGAGAGGCTGAGGCACGAGAATCAATTGAACCCAGGAGGTGGAGGTTGCAGTGAGTTGAGATTGTGCGGCTGCACTCCAGCCTGGGTAACAGAGCGAGGCTTGGTCTCAGAACAAACAAACAAAAAAGGTAGTGTGACTTCTACATCGCATACCATTGTCTTGGTTCATACAAAGCGTCTTTCTGAAGAACTGATGGTTTTGCTTTGGCTCAGTGAAGTAAAATATGGCCTACCTTTAAGAAGTTAAGATAGTCATTTAACTATGCTTAATTAGGTTTACTTGGGGAAAAGTAAAATTACAAAACAATTCCTTGCATTCCTCACCGTTCCTGGTTAATGTAGTGTTTAAATCGCGGGAGGGCCAACTGCGGTGAAAGTCTGTGAGGAAGGAGGCGGATGTTCAGCGCAGTCACGGGGAACATAGGAACGATTTCCGTAAAGCGCTCAGTTTGGAAAAGTCACCCTGAGACTCCATACCAGACTTCTCCTCATCTTTTTCTTTTCCGGGTAAACTGAACTGTGGTCCCTGGGCTGTGTTTTGAATGTCCAGCTTCTCAGCAGTGGAAGCCGATACCTCATTCGATCAGATGATATGATAGAAACAGTTTACAACGACAGAGGAGAGATTGTTAAAACCAAAGAACGCCGAGTCTTCATGTTAAATGATGTGTTAATGTGTGCCACCGTCAGCTCACGGTAAGTGCATAAATTCTCTATAGTAGTCCTACCATCATCACATGTTACCTTTGCCTAAGGGCACATGCATGACTTTGTTAATTCTGTCACTCAGACTGAACTGGTTTTTTGTGCCAAAGCTCTGTCCTGTGACTAAGGGAACCCTTATAATAAGCAAGCTTATTTTTAAATAGATTCAGTGTAAGTCACCAAGTCACTGTTAGTAGAAGTACGTAGAGGTTTATATACTCTTTAAACAGGGCTGATGGCGGAACTAGAAACTCAATTGAATTTCTTCATAACCCTCCTAAATCAAGAGTTCTTTTTCTTATGGTTTAAATTCTCTCTTTACCTGCTTCTCTATAAATATATTTTTGATAAATGTTTAAATATAATAAAGTTGGGTATATTCATATTTATTGTAAACCAAGAAAATGAGTTATTTTCACTTAAAATAGTTTTACATCAGAATCGTTCTCCAATGCATGGAATATTGTAGTGAGATGAGGATATGTGAGAAACTAAAAGGTCTTCAAATACAGGTAGATGATAAGGGAACTGATATAAAGTTAACTATAACACTCCTGGTGCTGTAGAAAATAATGCAAGCGAACGTGGTGCCAATTCGTCATGTCTTGCAAGAGTCAAGTGTTGAATCTTCCAGAGTTTTGAGATCCAGTTGCTAAACATTTGGTAGCTTGAAGTCATCCACACGGGAACATTTACAGCATGGAATTTGCCCAACACGATGTGTTAGGAGCCTGTCCTCCCAGTGAGAGCCAGCTGTTAAACGTTTGCCAGCACACCACTAAACATGCCCTATTTTTCATGCCCGTCGCCCCCATTTTCCAGCGGCCAGATATATCTGCCTGCCCTCCTCACCTTGCCTTAGAGACCCAGGCAGCGAGGGTGTGCAGGTCAGCGCTCAGGAGTCGGACTCCTTAGTGTGAACTGCACATCCACCTTCTCTGAACTCTGAAAATTACCCTCTCTGACTTTGCCTCGGACTCCTCATCCGTGCAATAGGGTTGATCATAAAAATAATGCCAGTGGTACGCTCTTGCGGGTCTCTTCAGGGATCAAGGCGAGAACGTTCATTAAGCTGCTGCAGGGCACCTGGCACACGGCACTGCCTGCGAGGGACAGGTTTTCATTGTTGCTTTTCATCATCGTCAGTGACTTTGTGGCAGCTACAAAATAAGTCCAAAAAATATGTGAGTCTTTAATGACACTCCTTCTTGTAAGAGAAAGAACCCTGTTCATTTGACTCATACCCCATGGCTTGGCCTTCACTGTGGACGCCTGGCGACAGCCGCAGGCCACCTGCCTTCTGTGTGCAGAAGTGAAGCCCACTGCACCCTGCGTTGGAGAGGAGCTGACGGAGTGAGGCCGTGGGAGGTCGCAGCTGGAGAACTCCAGGTGTGGGCTGCTCTAGAGGATGCTTAGAATTGCGAGGATGCAGAGTAAGGTGTCTCCACCCGTTTCCCTGGTGTTATGAGGTGCTTCCCATAGTGTGGAGACTAAAGGTGTTTATCACTTAACAGTATGGCTTCCAAGTTTAACTGTCCCAGAACCCCCCTCTCCATGTAACACCTGGAAAGTTAGTTTTCAGTGAAGTGGCCCCACTGTGGCTGAATCCACCCAGCTCCTCACCTGCAAGTTGGCCCACACGATGTGTCAAGTTGGGGACATTAATGCTTGTTCCACCTGCCCTGGGAGACAAGATCATAGAAGTGAAATGACCTTGTAAACGGCAAAGTCCTAAGCAAATATAATGGTCCTTGTTGAGTCTTTTCCGCATTCATCACTGATGTTTGTCTGACACTGACTGCTGCTCCAGAACCCCTCAGGCTGCTGTTGGGGAGCGCCAGGACACACTTGACTCTTGGGCAGTTTTAAGTACGTTTAAAATTCTCCCGCTGCCAGACGTGGTGTACTTTAAAGATGAATTAAAATGGATACTTTAAAAGTAACTCAGCTGTGCTTACTGCTAGAGGATTCCTTAAAATAACGCCCCTGCCTTTCCCACGATGCCAGGGCTTGAATTTCTTTTTTTGCGAAGTGCAGTGGTGAGTCGCAATTCCTTTCCCATGGACATGTTGTCAGTGTGAGATTTTCAGCGACAGTGCCCGAAGGTGATGAGATGAGAATGCATTTTGTTTCAAATAGCTCCCAAGGACCCTTTGGTCGGCCCTGTGAACATTAAGATTCTAAACCTCCTCTGTAGGGATGGAGATTTTTACATTCAAAGAGGAGGAATCGGAATTTTGGTAAGAACTCATGGGCATTTCTGTTTTTCTAAATTGGAGGCACAGTCTAATTCACGGAACACAACCCATCTTTCCTCTTACTGTGTCTGAATTGTTCTTCCTCCTTTCCCTTCCTGTATGGACTGGATGTCCTCATGGAGGGCAGAGTGCTCTGGTGTAAGAAGGAACTGGAGAGCTTGGGTGCAGACGGGCTCCCAGCCAGTCAGGTGCTCAGTCCAATGCATAGCACCCGGCATTTTGGTTATTTCTACCCACACTTTGATTTTTTTTTTTTTTTTTTTTTGAGAAAGAGTCTCGCTCTGTCACCCAGGCTGGAGTGCTGTGGCTCGATCTCAGCTCGCTGCAAGCTCTGCCTCCCGGGTTCACGCCATTCTCCTGCCTCAGCCTCCCTAGTAGCTGGGACTACAGGCACCCACCACCACACCCAGCTAATTTTTTAAATATTTTTAGTAGAGATGGGGTGTCACTGTGTTAGCCAGGATGGTCTCAATCTCCTGACCTTGTGATCTGCCTGCCTTGGCCTCCCAAAGTGCTGGGATTACAGGCGTGAGCCACCGCGCCCGGCCCACACTTTGATTTTTAACGGCAATATCTTGAAGAAAAGCAAAACGTGATGATCACTAAGTGAGAATAATGGTTGATTCTGGAGGGTGGGATTTCCTGGGGCTGCGGGGATGCTGGCGATGTCACAGCCTTGGCCTTGGAGTCCGCTACACAGATGTTGGCGCAGGTCGTTTCCACTAGACTGTACATATGTGTTTTGTGTTTCTTCACGTATATGTTCTATTTATGATAAAAGAAGAAAATAATCTGTATAAGTCATAGGGTTTTTTTTCGGTTCAATTTCCGTATACTTGATAAATATTTTAGTCATGGAGTGTAATGGTATGATTTGATTCTATTAAAGTGGTTACAGTGTAGCCATAAAAGAATAAAGCAGCAATTTGAGAGTTAACTCTTATGAAACCGCCAGAGAATATCTCTATCCACATAGGAGACTTTTCCTGGTAATCGAGCACCTTTGCTCAGAGTCATCAGCAAGCACCGAGCTGCTTCCTGTTAAGCCTTTATGGAAAACCTCGGAGCTTCCGGGAGATCCGTCCCCTGTGCGGCTCTTCCCTGCACTCTCTCTCATCCAGTTCGAGGCCTCTTTATGGCAGCAAGTGGGGACTCAGTAAGAAAGTCAGAAGCACAATTACTATTGTGAGAAAGTCTGAAGAGTTACAATTCAGCAGTGGGAAGTTTCTCACTTGAACATCTGAGGGATGAACATTACCATAACGTGTTCATGTAATTATTCGTAAAACAAGGATCTTTTGGTCGTTTCAGCCCCTCTCATGACAGCCGTGTGATGAGCAGCCAGAGGTACTTGCTGAAGTGGAGCGTTCCACTGGGACATGTGGACGCCATCGAGTATGGCAGCAGCGCAGGCACGGGCGAGCACAGCAGGCACCTTGCCGTTCACCCGCCGGAGAGCCTGGCCGTGGTTGCTAACGCGAAACCAAGTAAGTGATGCTTTCTCTCACGTTCGTGCCGTGGGGCCAGGGTAACTCTCACGTTCATGCTAGCTGTGGGGCCAGCGTAAGCTCCACCATCAGCAGGTTCAGGGTTTAACATGGCAAGTCTGCAGAGGTGATCCAGTCTCTAGAATCTGTATGCTGTCTGACTAACATGGCCAAGTCGGCTGCTCATCACTGACTTGTCCCACGTGCAGCTGGGGCTCCTTCGGGTTCGGGCCGTGCACCTGGCCAGTCAGAAGTGGATTCCGTCTTCCCGGTCCAGTGAGCTCAGTTTTGCGTTTCCAGTTAACCAAATCAGGACTTGGCAGTGCTGGTCTCTTGAGTGTGTGGAGCTGGCGTGCAGGAAGTCATAGAGCTTGAGGCGGTGGTGGTTCCAGCTCGGCTCTTTGCTCACCTGCTCACACTGCTGGGCAGCGTTGTGATGTCTTTACTCAGTTTCCCCATGGAGGCAGTGCTTGTCCATGAACTTCCCAAGGTGAAAGGAGAGGAGTCAGAATGCTTTGGCAATGTCTTAGCATTGCACATGATTTATGATTATTATTACCTAACATTGTTCAGACTGCAGATTTTAATCTTAGTGTAAAAATCATTACCTTCTCTTCATTATTAAAAAAAAAATCCAAAGAACGACTGGCTAAGTTTTATTCACTTTTTGGGCTCTACCCCTGAATTGTAGAACAATTTAAAAAACACGATGCATGGGAACTTTCAGTTAACCTTTCATAGGTTAAATATGCATGAATTTTTCAGATTATTTTGTTTCTGACATGTTCAGAAGCAAGGAAACCACGTGAGAACGTTTAACCTTTTCTGATTGAATTTGCATATTCACCTGGATTTGCAGAACATGATGTAAGGAGTATTAGGTCTAATTCGCTTTGGGACCGCTTTTATTTTTCTCATTCCCCTGATGTTAATAGTCATTCTGTTTGGTAATCTGCCTAGTAGGCTAATTCGTCAAGCATATTATTACAATTTGTAATCTCTTAAATTTCTGACTCTTAAATCCTCGTCCTATTTAAAGTGGTATGCGTCTGTATCAAACCCTCTCCACAAATAACTGAAGTACCAAAACCCAGATTTCCCAAAAGAGCTGTTCTGGGGGGTGGTATGGAGAGCGAGAGGGAGGAGCCGAGGGAGAGGGGACATGGGGACAGAGAAATCATTTCTGACATGATTCATTAACATTTTATTCAAGAGCAAATTGGATGCCTTGTTAAAGATTTTTAAAAATCCTTTTAAATTATTTGGAAACATTGATTGGCAATCAAATTTATATTGTGGTTTTGTGAACAAAAACACCTTCATGTATTTTATAATGCTAGCAATCTTAGAATTTATTCATAATTAAGATGGCCTTATTGTATTTAAATAGCTAAAGGTGACTTTGATCCATAAAATAGTATGTATTCCATGCAATGTTATATTTTCTTATTCATCTTATTATTTATGATTTATGCTGAGCTAACTTAGATTGATTCAGTTAGCAATGTGAAAAAAGCATAAAGCAGGGTGATTCAACCCATTTTTAAAATACTATGTGGAGGAAATAACCTGGAGTGAGTTTATCATTGCATTTGCACCCTGGATTTAACTATGAGCTTCCTATCAGCCACAGCAAGAGGAGAAACACTGAGTATGGACAAGTTCTCATTGTCTATTAAAAAGAAATATGCCACATTGGAGAGTAAATGTTTTTCTTTATTCTGAATTCAAGGAGGTCTTTGGTGTTATATCTCCAGTTAAGGGGACTTTGAAACACACTTGAAAACGTATATGATTGTGTTTTGCATACCTGCATTGATTTTTTTTTTATCACGTCTCTATGGAAAAGCACCTAGTTAACCTCAGTGAAACCATTTTTCCATGGGACATCTTTTTGCCCAATGCCTTAAACAGAGAGCTTAAATGATAAACTTGTTTTGCCATCAATAGTGTTTTGTTCCTCTAGATTAAAAAAGAAACTTTTAAAACAAATTATTTAAAATGTGCTAATTCTGTATGTGTCTGAAGATAGAACTCAAGTCAGAATTCTCTGGGGCTTTTTTCCGGCGTCAGGTAAGAGCATGGTGCTGTCTTGCATTTACAGAGAAGGTGAAAGTGGGCACCGTGCTTGGTGCTGGGACTGGCAGGGCTTCTATCCCGACACGTCTGGATTCATCCAGGGTGGACCGACAGTCTCTTGTTAGCATTGATCTTGAGTGGGTCTATGTGGTATCACATCCATCATGTTGATCCCATGAGTGCCACGCTGCAGCCGGTGAATGACGTCCCTTCACTCTGCTCATCTCAGCTCACTCCTTACCGTTTATGCTGACAAAACCCAGGTACATCCATGAACCACATCTCCATGGGGCTGCCTGTAATACCTCCCTCAGAGTTTTCATCAAATGGCTTCAAATTCACTCTCAGTGTTTGTTTCTTCCGGTTCTCTTGGTTTGTCACTTCTAAATTATATCGAGAAGCTAAGTCAGAAATTCTCATTCTCAGTCGATAGTCATAGGACTTCTGCTGCTTGAATGACTGTTCTAAAATTCAGTGTTGGAAATGTTGGTGTGTTACTTGATATTGACAGAGTGTAGGCAGCACTGCCCAGCAACCTCTGCTTGCAGAGCGGGCAGCGTGGTAACCACCTGAGACCAGTGAGCAGCTGCAGCAGGGAGCTCCCTGTCCCTGCAAAAGCGCCGTGTCGATTGTGTGTTTGCCGTGTGGTGTTAGACTCAGCAGGAAGCTCGCTGTCCCCGCAGAAGCGCCATGTGGATTGTGCGTTTGCCGTGCGGTATTAGACTCAGCAGGAAGCTCGCCGTCCCTGCAAAGGCGCTGTGTGGATTGTGCATTTGCTGTGTGGTGTTAGACTCAGTAGGAAGCTCGCCGTCCCTGCAAAAGTGCTGTGTGGAATGTGCATTTGCTGTGTGGTGTTAGACTCAGTAGGGAGCTCACCGTCCCTGCAAAAGTGCTGTGTGGATCGTGTGGGTTGAGTGTTTGCCGTGCAGTGTTAGACTCAGTAGGGAGCTCCCCATCCCTGCAAAAGCACCGTGTGGATTGTGGGTTTGCTGTCCGATGTTAGATTCAGCAGGGAGCTCCCTGTCCCTGCAAAAGCGCCATGTGGATCGCGGGTTTGCTCTGTGGTGTTCGACATCCGGAGTTATGATGTGGCACTTTCCTCTCTTGCAGAGGCTGCAGGCTGGTGACCATGGGTCCCCTGGTCCATGGATTGGTTTAAGCTCCCAAACTCCCTGATGCTGTTTTGAAAAATGTCGTGTCCCCTATGGATCCATGGATTGGTTTAAGCTCCCAAACTCCCTGATGCTATTTTGAAAAATGCTGTGTAGTTTTCTGGGGTGATTTTAAAGGTTTTGCCAGCCTCCCCGATTGGGACTGGTGGCGGGGAGGAGGAAGATCGAGCGTGAGCCGTCAGTTGCTCTGGCCTGGTGCAGCGTCTTTGTTGGTGCACTCCACCCGGCCGCTGTTCCTTCTCACGTTGCGCTCCATCCTGTCTGGCAGGTGGATTTATGAGAAAGTAATGTTCACTGTTGCCATTCTGTGGGGGGGTTTCTTCATGCAGGATCTTTATAACCTCAATTCATTTTCAACAGATGGACTGTCAAGCGCTCCTAGTTCTCGAGGTCTGGTACTAAGTAGGAGTTGTGGGGGTGGGTGGGGAGGTGGCGCATAGCCCCACCTTTGGGAGCCTTTAGAACGGGAGGAGAGGTGAGATCAGTTGCTCTAGCCGGGCTCTGGCCTTCAAGGGTGTTTCAGAAGAATGGCCACTGGAGAGCTGTTACCGCCCATCCTTCCCAGGGAGAAGTTCTTCGTGTGTGTGTGTGTGCACTTTTATTCAACTGGTCTCAAGTCAGTGTACAGGTGAAGTTCTTAAAATGTTTAGAGAAATGTGAGTACAACTTGAATCTACTTGAAAGGAAACACTCCTTCAGATGTGCAAATATTCATCATTTACTTTTGTAAAAATCAGTCACATTACTTTGTAGTTATTTAATCCTTAAAAATGAATGAAGGTAAAAAGCATCTGTGTTCCTCGCTGTAAGGTCACCTTTTAACGGAACAGGATTGGCCTCTGATGTTTCTGGCTTTGCTTGTTATTGGACCAGCATCTACCTGGTCCAATACCAGCGTCCCGTCCCTGCACTGGCAGCTTGCCTAGAAGGGGCCCTGCAGCTTCCAGAAGGCCGCTGCCTCCCTGTGTGTTCTCAGAACTTTGCAGCAAGAGGGGAAGTCCACTCAGACCGCCCTGCTCTGGCCCATTCCGCTTTCTGTCCCGGAAGCGTGTCCTGAGTGCCAGGAGTGCTTCTGTACAGTTGAGCTGGATATGGCGGTTGGTACAGGAGGATTTGTAACAAGACACAGTCATTATGAACAGGTAGCTGGAGGAGCTGCCAGCAAGCTTGTACCGTGAGGAGGGTGAGAGACAGCTCCTGAAACCTCAGGGTCCCTGCTGAGCATAGAGAGGGGAACTTCCAGGCAAACGCGGAAAGGGTCGTGGGTGAGGTCACAGAGTTGAGGGAGCTCCCAGAAAACACAGTACCTCCCCCACAAAATTCACACGGTTTTAAAAAACAAAGCAAAACACTACTAGCAAAGAACCAGCACCAAGGAGGGAGGAAGGCGGGCGTGACTTACAGTCTTTAAATAGAAGTGAGCCCGGCCGAAGGAAGCTTGAACAGCTGAATATACACCTGACTGATCCTCCTGAAGTAGAAGGCAGCAGGAGAAGCGGAGCTGTATTTTTAAAACGTGAAACGGTTCCTCATGAGGCTCCCCTGAGCTGCATCCTCCAGGGATGTGTGGCCAAGTGGCCGTTCTGTGGAGGCACGGAGGGGTCTGAGCAGCGCGTCCAGCCACAGCCCTGAGGGTTCTGGACACAGTGACCGATGTGGGACCCCAGGAGTGACGGGTTAGCCCCGATTTCTCTCCCTGGCCCCTGCCCGATGCACTGCATGGCCTCGCCTGTAGGCAGGGACAGTGCCTGGTCTCCAACGTGTCCTCTCCAGAGTAAGGTACTTCTGGGCGGCAAGGGTCACTGTTCTTGCTCCTTATGCCTGTAAGAGTGAACTTCGTTTTGAAGGTGAGAGGACAGGCACAGCGGAAGCCCACCATGGCAAAGCTGTCGTGTTTTGAAATACACAGCAGTCGAAATGAAGGAAACAGAACAAAATGCCTCTGTGCTCCATTGCTGTGGGAAGGGCTGCTTCTGCGTCATCTGAACGTTGTACTGTAAAACAGCACGTGTGTGTGTGTGGGAGATGAGGCCAGGACTCGGCGCTGGTTTTCCTGTATGGCGTGTGGATTTGCAGGTCCTTCCCACGACTCAAAAGTGTCATTATAACCCTTGAACGAGTACTGAGAGCAAACACACCACCTGGCCAAAGGTAGCAGGGAGGTTGGCTTTCCACACTGAATACCGTGGATAGTCCGGAAACAGTCTTCAGTAGCTTTCCTGCAATGCGACACTGAGGTCGGCGTGCCTGTGGAATGTGACACCAACAGATGAGCCCCTCACTGGGGGAGCGGATGCAGCTGCTCATTACTGTGAAGCTGCTGACCTCCTGCCACCACTCTCTGTGTCCTGTGCCCCTGTGTGCTCATGCGGCGTGTTCAGTGCAGATGAACGGCCTCCCTTCGTACAGACAACATCTGTATGCTGAGAAAGGCCTTCAAACATACATAGGGAGTAAAACCACAAAGAGCTCTCAGAGAGGATGGGCGCTGACTCCGGATGGAAGGCAGAGTGAAAACAGGGTAGGCGTGCCATGGCTTTTCAGGGATTTTTGATGAAAATGGCATCTGAAGTGAATGGAGCAAAACAGTCACATCACAGATTCTGGGCAGTGGGTAAAAATGTGTCCATGAGTTATTCTACTTTTCTACATTTAAAGAGTATTTCATACTTTCACAAAATGAGAGCCCATTAAGGAAGCCCAGAGCCAGCCTGGGACTTGGGTCCCTGTTAGAATGGCTGTTCCAAGCCCATCCCCAGGCCCAGCCTCTGTCTGGGGGAGGAAACGGGGGCAGCATGGCAGATGGACGGAAAGTGGGAAAGGGTCTTCCAGCATCACACGTGCTTTCAGGACAGTCCCACAGTGGTGGCGATGCCACATGCGTGGCTCTGTTCTCCATGCAGGTGGCTGCCGCCTTCTCCGTCACTGTGTCTGTTTATATCTCCCGTTACCTCAGGGACAAACACTGGTGTGAATTTTCTGGGTATTCAGTAACACACCCTTCAAACTCTCTGTCTTTAGGAGCTCAACAGGAGGCAGGGAGAAGTGGTTCCATGCAAAGAGGGATACCCATATTTTCTAAATATGACATGCACACTAGTCCACGTGATCTGCTGATGCCAAAATACTCATTCTCATTCCTAACGGCCTGTATAGCTGACCTGTGAACTTAGACGCCGATGCATCCCTGGAGCTATGACTGTCAGTCAAGTTGACATTCCAGAAACCTTCTATTCAGGGTCACGGCCCTGTCCAGGACCTGACAGCCAGCGTCTCAGGAAAGCTATCATAGCTCCTCAGCCATGGGGATGGGCCAGATGAGTGCCATGCCTGTGTGTCACATGCCAGTCATTCCCATAAGTCTCGTGGAGAAGACTCCCTCAGGAAAGTGCAGCTGGCACATGTCCCTAAGTGTGGACGGCCAGCCCACGGAAAGGTGCACACGCAGGACGGCCTGTGGACAGGGTCCTCTCTCTGTGTCCTAAGTGCAGACGGCCAGCCACGGAAAGGTGCGCATGCAGGAGGGCCTGTGGACGGGGTCCTATCTCTGTGGGAATCACACACGTGTGTCCTACTACACATGGACACATACAAGTTAGGTGTTGAGCAAATTAATATTATGTTCTGGGTTTTTGAACCCCATGAAGCTATAGGGATGGTTTTACTTGATTAAATATCTGGAATTTGAGACATGACATGTATCTTCGTGACAGTGTGATGTTCACGTTATAAAATGCTTGGGTTTTGTTAAAAACCAAACTGGATTTTAGTCACGGGGGAGAATTCTTATTGTTCTTCTCTGTTCAGTGCTGTGGTTTCAGCTTTGCACCTGGGAGTCTCCTAGGCCTTGCGCTGGGAGGAGCTGCCGTAACGTGTCCAGAACCACATAGGATTTATTTTGCCTGAATATAGCTGGGATCACTACTGGTTCATAACCAAGATTTCTCTATACTTTCCATGTTAGAAAACTACTTGCTTATAGAGAAATTCAATTTGTGCCTCTTATCAGACTAGGGACTTATATATGATGCTGTTTAAAAATTACCCTCTTTCTCCTGGGAATTAATTCTTGTTCTCTGTTGAAAACACTAAAACGTTTAAAGACAGTAAGAATGACCTGTAATTCTTGTATCTGGAGACTGTATTAACACATGAGTGATTTCTCTCCAGCCTTTTCCTCACACCATTGTCCGTATACCACAGTTCTCTATGTGATCCTGTATAGGGAATTTTCATTTAATATTATAGGCTGACCATTTTCTCAGTCTTTAAAAAT
Source organism: Homo sapiens (assembly GCF_000001405.40). Lineage (NCBI taxonomy): Eukaryota > Metazoa > Chordata > Mammalia > Primates > Hominidae > Homo > Homo sapiens. The sequence goes on from NT_187576.1 coordinate 100,374, forward strand.
TCTGAATCGAAGTCATTTAAACTGACTACAGGACGTTCCTCATGATTGAAACTGAGTTTATTGCATACTGCAAGCTTCTTCAGTTACTAGACCACTACGAACAGTGACGTGGAGACATCCTTACACATTAGTCTGATAATTTCCTTAGAAGTGGAATTTTCAGGTCAAAGAGTAGAACATTTGTATCCTCTTTTAGACTCCTGATGCATGTTTGCAAGTTGCTTTCCAGGAAGTTTTCCCCAGTTTCCATTTCTACTGGCTATGTCTGACTTTGATGACACAATGAAACTTTTATGATTTGATTTGTGAAAAACAGTTTTGTACATTTGCCTTAATTTAAGTTAAAAATTTTTAACGCCTTCTGGCTCTGACGTCTCGGTCTCACATCGTGGAGGAGAGGCTTTAAGATGCTGTGAGGGTGCCCCTTGAACCCAGGCATGGAGGTTCTCAGGGACCGAGCACACCCCCAGGGGCTTTTCCAGCCGTCCTTGCTATTGATCTGGCCACACAAACCCTTCCTTGTTTGCCGCACAAATTCTGTTTCACTGACAGACCCTGAATTTTCAAACAGATTGCAGGGATTTCCATGGAAACAAGAGAAGCGTCCGTGAGAAAGACTCGGGAAGTGCTTTTGCGGAAGTGCAGCAATTGTGTGTCACTGCAGCGACAAAGAACTTCGCTCACAGAACTGAAAACTCTAGAAACTGTCAGCTAGAGGGCTGGAAGTCAACTCTAACAAAAATTCTGATTTGCAGGTGTTTCTTTCTTTTTCTTTTCTTTTCTTTTCTTTTTTTTGAGATGGAGTCTCCCTCTGTTGCCCAGGCTGGAGTGCAATGGCGTGATCTTGGCTCACTGCAACCTCCACCTCCTGGGTTCAGGTGATTCTCCTGCCTCAGCCTCTCTGAGTAGCTGGAACTACTCAGAGTGTGTACCACCATGCCTGGCTAATTTTTTTTTTTTTTGTATTTTTAGTAGGGATGAGGTTTCACCATGTTGGCCAGGCTGGTCTCGAACTCCTGACCTCAGGTGATCCACCTACCTTGGCCTCCCAAAGTGCTGGGATTATAGGCGTGAGCCACCGCGCCTGAACTGCAGGGGTTTCTTTAATCAATTTTGGCCTGAAAATCAACATGAAACAGTTTTTCTGAAACTGAGAATCACATTTGAAAAGCACTGGCCGCACTGTGTGGTTTCTTGTTATTCTTGGGATGTGAGTGCAGACGCTTTCTTTGGCAGCGCACATTGTCCCCATTCATGAGGAAGCCTCAGGTTGCTCTGTGGTGTCATCTGTGCCCTGAGGTGCCCTATTATGAACTGTCTGATGATCCGGCAGACATAAAACGTCAGCACATTTCCATGGTCCGTAAGGTCGAGGAACTCCTCCTCATCTCAGTTCAGAAGGTTCTTTAATACACTAGGGAAAGAGTATTCTCCCTTCCCATGATAGGTTCACATTTGATGGCTGTGTGTGTGTGTGTGTGTGTGTGTGTGTGTGTGTGTGTGTGTGTTATTTTAAAAATGTTTATGTTTTTAGTTGACAAATAATCATATACATGTATGGTTTAAAACATGATGTTTTGAAATATGTATACATTGTGGAATGGCTAAATCAAGCTAAGTAGCTTATGCCTTCCTTCACACACTTACCATTTGTTCATGGTGAGAACCTTAAAGTCTACTCTTAGTGATTTTCAAGTATACAATACCTTATTAACTACATTAGACGTCTTGAACCTATTCCTCCCAATGAACTGAAATCTGTGCACCTGTGAATCCCTGTGACCTATCCCACATGTTCTATGGGTGATAGAGCTGCCTCTGTGGGTGATGGAGCTGTTCTGTGGGTGATAGAGCTGTTATGTGGATGATGGAGCTGCTTTGTGGGTGATGGAGCTATTCTGTAAAGTGACGGAGGTGTTCTGTGAGTGATGGAGTTGTTCTGTCAGTGATGGAGCTGTTCTGTGGGTGACGGAGCTGTTCTGTGGGTGATGGAGCTGTTCTGTGGGTGATGGAGGTGTTCTGTGGATATGGAGCTGTTCTGTGGGTGATGGAGCTGTTCTGTAGAGTGATAGAGCTGTTCCAGGGGTGATGGAGCTCTTCCGTGGGTGATGGAGCTGTTCTATGGGTGATGGAGCTGTTCCATGGGTGATGGAGCTGTTCCGTGGGTGATGGAGCTGTTCTCTGGGTGATGGAGCTGTTCCGTGGGTGATGGAGCTGCTCCGTGGGTGATGGAGCTGTTCTGTCGAGTGATGGAGCTGTTCTGTGGGTGATGAGCTGTTCTGTGGGTGATGAGTTGTTTTATGGGTAATGGAGCTGTTCTGTCAGTGATGGAGCTGTTCTGTGGGTAATAAACTGTTCTGTCAAGTGATGAAGCTGTTCTCTGGGTGATGGAGCTGTTCCATGGATGATGGAGCTGTTCCTTGGGTGATGGAGCTGTTCCATGGGTGATGGAGCTGTTCCATGGGTGATGGAGCTGTTCTGTCCAGTGATGGAGCTGTTCCGTGGGTGATGGAGCTATTCTGTGGGTGATAAACTGTTCTGTCGAGTGATGGAGCTGTTCTATGGGTGATGAGCTGTTCTGTGGATGATGGAGCTGTTCTGTGGGTGATAAACTGTTCTGTCAAGTGACAGAGCTGTTCTGTGGGTGATGAGCTGTTCTGTCAGTGATGGAGCTGTTCTATGGGTGATGAGCTGTTTTGTGGGTGATGGAGCTGTTCTGTCAGTGATGGAGCTGTTCTGTGGGTGATAAACTGTTCTGTCAGTGATGGAGCTGTTCTATGGGTGATGGAGCTGTTCTGTGGGTGATGGAGCTGTTCTGTGGGTGATGAGCTGTTCTGTCAGTGATGGAGCTGTGCTGTGGATGATGGAGCTGCTCTGTGGGTGATGAGCTGTTCTGTCAGTGATGGAGCTGTTCTGTGGATGATGGAGCTGTTCTATGGGTGATGGAGCTGTTCTATGGGTGATGGAGCTGTTCTGTGGGTGATGAGCTGTTCTGTCAGTGATGGAGCTGTTCTGTGGATGATGGAGCTGTTCTATGGGTGATGGAGCTGTTCCGTGGGTGATGGAGCTGTTCTGTGGGTGATGGAGCTGTTCTGTGGGTGATGGAGCTGTTCTGTGGGTGATGGAGCTGTTCTGTGTGCCCTGGAGTTCTCCCTCAGGCTTACTGCGGAGATGTTCACGTGCATTTATACATGTGTGAAAATATATAGAGCCGCACACCAAAAATAGAAGGGTCAATTTGATTGGATGATAATTGTGAAGATCATATTTTAAAAGAAGTCAACTAATTAATAAAGTTAACATTGCACTTATAATTTTATTTACTCATTTATTTATTAATTTTGATACAAGGCCTTGTTTGGATGCCCAGGCTGGAGTGCAGTGGCACAATTATAGCTCACTGCAGCCTTGACTTCCTTGGCTCGAGCGATCTTCCTACTTCAGCCTCCCAAGTATTTGGGACTACAGGCGCGCATCACAATGCCTGGCTAATTTTTTTTTTAAACTCTATGTTTTTGGTTTTTAAAACTATGTTGCCCAGGCTGGTCTTGAATTCTTGGCCTTTAGCAGTCCTCTCACCTTGTGCTCCCAAAGTGCTGACATTATAGGCATCAGTTACCACAACCAGCCTATACTTGTGTTACAAGGTTGTGTTTATAGAGTTTATCATCAAAGTTTGCGAATGAAAGCAAATATGTGTGTTATGAAACATTTTAAATTATAAGCATTCTGTAAGGATAAATAAAGTTGCGATGTGTAACTACTGGATCAGTTTGCTCTTTCGTTTTTTTTTGTTTGTTTGTTTTGATGGAGTTTAGCTCTTGTTGCCCAGGCTGGAGTGCAATGGCATGATCTTGGCTCACCATGACCTCCTCCGCCTTCCAGCTTCAAGCAATTCTCCTGCCTCAGCCTCCCGAGTAGGTGGGATTACAGCATGCACCATCATGCCCAGCTAATTTTGTATTTTTAGTAGAGACGGGGTTTCTCCATGTTGATCAGGCTGGCCTCGAACTCTCGACCTCAGGTGATCCTCCTGCCTTGGTCTCCCAAAGCACTGGGATTACAGGAGTGAGCCACTATGCCTGGCCGCTCCCTTTGTTACGAAACTTCATGATACTTCAAATGCAGTTAGTAATTGCATTTGTCTAGATAGTTGATACAAATCAGGCTTACCATGTTCATAAATACCATGTAATCATGTCTTCAACATAAAGTGCCTGCAAAATTATAAATGGTTATGCTACTCCTCAGTTATATAGTAAATATTTTTAGATACCTATATCTGAAATCTTTTTATTGGAAATATGTAGGTTCTTTCAGTTTTGACATATATATGTATTATATCTGTTATATACACTAAAAGAACAAGCTGCATAATTTGTGGGACGTAGCATAGAAGGAAAATGCAGAGTCCTTTCCTCAAAATTATTAAGAATTTCAGGATGTCCAGGCCAGGCACGGTGGCTCACGCCTCTAATCCCAGCACTTGGGAGGCCGAGGCGGGTGGATCACCTGAGGTCAGGAGTTCGAGACCAGCCTTGCCAACATGGTGAACCCTCTACTAAACCTCTACTAAAAATACACAAATTAGCTGGGCATGGTGGCAGGTGACTGTAGTCCCAGCTTATTCGGGAGGCTGAGGCAGGAGAATCGTTTGAACCCGGGAGGCAGAGGTTGCAGTGAGCTGAGATCGTGCCATCGCACTGCAGCCTGGGGGACAAGAGCGACACTTCGTCTCAAAAAAAAAGAAAAAAGAAAAAACAGAATTTCAGGAGGTCCACATCCGAGCCTGAGACCAAGTTCTGGGCCCTGTAAGCTCAGGTCTGTGCGATTCTACAGACCCATGGCCGGGAAGCCTGTCCTGCTGAAACACAAGGCACTTTACTCAACTTAAATGAATTTCTTCTCCTTGGGTTTGAATTTTGGCTCCTTCTCTTACTGGTTTTTTGACCTTAGACAATTTATTTCTATGAGAAGTGGAAAAGAAGGAGCGTATTACTGCATATTGCTTAAAGTACAGACACTCAGGCTAATTCTGAGATCAAATCCTTCTCATCTGTCATCAGTCAGATGGGGAGATGGGGGAATCTGTCCTCTGAGCCTGTGGGCCCGTCGTGGGATTTAGTGAGGAAGTATTTGAACATTACTTCCTGTAGTACACAGGAAGCCCTCTGTGAGGGGTAGAGCAATTCTCACTTGGGCAAATAGACCCCGGGACACGCGTCGTTCCTCTAACCCAAGTCATCGAAGACAAACCATTTCTATTCCCTTAAAAAAAAAAAAAAACTTTAGGAAAGATCATTGGGGAACTCATTTTCATGGTAGATGACCCCAGTTATTGGAAATGTGGTTCAGATTAAATGTCATTTCTAAGTGCCTCTTACTAATAGCTGTTATGTCAACGGTGTCTAAAAAATACAAAAGGGACAAAACATGAATCAAACTCAAATTGTGAGACATTCTTTAACTCACCAGCATCCTCCAAAAATGTCAGGGTCGCGAAAGAGGAAGATTGAGAAACTCCCCCAGACTGGAGGAGATTTCAGGGACGTGACCACCGAACGCAGTGCGAGTCCCTGGGCTGAATCCGGGACTAGGAAATGACATTCATGTGAAAGCGGTGAGGTTTGAAGACGGTCTGTAGGTCAGTCAGGAGTGCCGTGTCATTGTGGTGTCCCGGATTTGACGGTCATGATACGCTTGCGTCAGATGTTATCCTCTGAGGAAGCCAGGCCTGGGCATTCAGGAGGCAGCTCTTTGCAACTTTTCCATCTAAAATTATTTCCAAATAAGTGTTAGAAAAGGAAAAACCACTAAATGCTTGAAAATGTCCACTTTTTAAAAGTTCTAGATTCACCCCTCAACTTAAAAATTATTTAGTATTTGAGTCTTTTCTTCCCTCAAGTATTGGAGTAAATATGGCTTTACCTTTGTATTCTTTTTTTTTCTTTTTGCTTATTTTGTAGACAAAGTTTACATGGGGCCAGGACAACTGTATCAAGATTTACAAAACTTGTTGCATGACTTAAATGTAATTGGCCAAATCACTCAGCTGATAGGAAACCTTAAAGGAAACTATCAGGTAACAATTGAAGCAATTGGATTTAAGATTCTGCCTTTACTTATAAGTCATTGTAAGTATGTGATTATATCTCCAAGTTCTACCAGAAGTGAGAATTCATTTTGACTTTAAAAATTAATCTGAATGTACATTTTCTCTTACGTTAGATAAGGTGAGACTATTTAATGGTAACTTTTCTTCATTTTGCAAATAGGGTTTAATATCAGTTCTATCTTAGAAATGTCTCAGCCCCCCACAGTGTGATCTGACTCCCAAAGCTTTCTTTTTCATAATCTAATAGTTTCATTTGGTCTGAATTTCTCATATTAAAATTGTGTCTTTTTATCTTCCTTGGGATGGCCCTAGTTTTTAAACACTTTTGAAATGTGCGTATTTATTTCCTTTGTAGAACTTAAACCAGTCAGTAGCCCATGACTGGACATCAGGTTTACAAAGGCTTATTTTGAAGAAAGAAGATGAAATCAGAGCTGCGGACTGCTGCAGAATTCAGTTACAGCTTCCCGGGAAGCAGGACAAGTTAGTAGTAGCTTTAAAACGAAACCTTCTTGGCCAATGCTGGGGAGAAAATGGTTCTTTGTCATGACATGTATGTTTTTTGGTTTGCTGATTCTATCAGACAGGCAAAATGTGTAATTTAACCTCACAGGATGGAGCACGTTTTATAAAATGAATGCTTGTCTGTTGTTTCTGGCAGATCTGGGCGACCGACGTTCTTTACAGCTGTGTTCAATACGTTCACCCCTGCCATCAAGGAGTCCTGGGTCAACAGCTTACAGATGGCCAAGCTCGCCCTAGGTAAGGCCTGGCTGGCTGAGGCTGAATGAGGCATGCGGCGTGATGATGAATTCCTGCCCACGAGGGTGAGGTCAGGGTTGAGAAGGAAACTCAGCAGTAGATCCATGCATTGACCTGAAAGAGTGTTTCTAAACAGGAAAATTCACCCTGGCACCGGCGATTTTTTAGATGTTCATATTAAAATAGAGGGATCGCATATTAAAATGGAGGGGTTAAAACGGATGGTGTTTCTGGTACCAGAACATGAATATCAGTTGAGGCAGCTGAACACAGAGGAAGCCCGTGGAGCCTGGCCGTGAGCCAGGTGCTCAAGGCGGGCGGCGGGCGGCGGCCTTCAAATGGCAGGGGGGTCATTGTTCCTCTTGGCCCTTCTGCTCACCCCTCACTGAGAAGCAAAACACAGGGCTGGGCTGGGGGGTTACTAAAGATCCTCCCAGCACCAAAGATCAACCCTGTGGTTTTACTGTAGATGGATGTGACTTTATGATTTCCTTGTTCCTATGTCTCTTCAGCCTTGATTATTTTTTGCTCTGTGTGTGTGTGTAATGTACTTATACACATGCTTACAGACCTGTTACCCAGAACACACTGGGATGTCATGTGTGTGTAAAATTTTCCTTCTGCTGTAGATAATCTGAAATGTTAACGGAGTATAAAATACAGAAGAGAAATGCAGAGCGTGGGTAACGCCATTGCCCCGGGGAGCTCTGATTAGTGGAAGGGCTTTGTCCCGGACGGGAAAGCCGTCCTGACTTTGTGCTCACTTGATGAGGAAGCAGAAACACAGCCCCTCTCTCTCTTGCTGAATAATTTGGTCATTTTTCAGGTCAGGTTCAGAGTGACTTAGCAAACAAGGAAGTGGCCACTCTCTAAAGAGAATGAGCTGAACGTGCAGATAAGCCCCCTTTCGTCTTCAGATCAGCTATATATTCTTTAATGCTCAGGTTGACAGTTTGCTTTGGGAGTAAAATATTTCTCCATTTTGTTGTACTTTTGTTTATCCCATAGCATTATACCATGTTTTAAAGTTTCTCAGTACATCTCTGGTATTTGAATCTAAACATTTCTTTTGCTTTGGAAAAACTGGAGAAAGATAAAGGGAAGTGGACCTATGTGGTTTATACAGCGACGTTTGGCAGCCTTTGGGTCCAGCGTATTCAGGAGGCGCAAACAGGGAGAGGTCCCTGCCACTTAGATGGGGCCAGGCTGCCTTCTAAAATAATGCCACGAATATACAGCCTATGCTGTAAGAAGAGATTGTACTGCTTTCCACAAGTAAAACATGGCGTTGTCTGGCCCTGTACAAACAGAATGCCAGAAACTTCCCCTGCTATGACCTGTGGAGCTGCAGGTCTTTGCATGTGAGTTAACTGCATTCTTGCTCATTTCTCTCTGAATATAATTGCAGAAGAGGAGAACCACATGGGCTGGTTCTGTGTGGAAGACGATGGGAATCACATTAAAAAGGAGAAGCATCCTCTCCTCGTCGGACACATGCCCGTGATGGTGGCCAAGCAGCAGGAGTTCAAGGTGAAGGGAGGCAGGGCCCGCGGCCCGGGGTGGGACGCACCTCGCAGCTCTGAATGGGCCACTTGGGAGATGATTCTTAAGGGGCGTGGTCAGAACATGGTCCTCCCAGGTTCACCACAGTGACCGCTTCTCTAGAGGTCATTTATCTGGAAATAAGACTGCTGTTGATTGAAACCTAAAAAAACGCCCAGCCATTGTCTCTGAAGCCCAGTCCTGGGCCAGGACCCTGGGGTATTCCAGCAGTGCCACAGCACCTGAGGCCTTGTTAGTTAAAGAGGGGACACGTGTTTCACATTTGTAGCTCTGTTTTGCCTTTGCTTGGCAAGCAGTCTGTTTCCACAGTGGATCGTAACTCCAGGTCTCCTGTCTGCTTGAGGTACCGTGCCCGCTCTTTGCCTTGGCAGACTCCATCTCCAGGGTGGCGTCTTATTAATGTTCCCAGTGTTGCTGACTCAGGCATCACAGGCCAGGGCCTTCAGTGACACTGACAATGTCTTATTCTTTAAGAAATAAAGATGTTTCTTCTCACCCTGGTCTCTGGCCAGGGTTTCCCAGCAGCTCCCCTGACCCCTCCTGTTGAGAGTTGCAGGCGGTGCACAGGACTCCTCTGGGAGAGGCTGGGGTGGGACAGGGAAGGGGAGAGGCACAGGCCATCACAGGCTGTACTTGATGCCTGCAGGGCCAGCCCTCCCATCTGAAGCGCCCTGAGCTGCCGGATTTCAGTGTGCTGATGGGATCTAAAGATTAAGATACCAAAGGTTGAATCTCCTTAGGTGTTCACTTCTAAAAAGCTAACTTCTGAGAGTTGTACTTTTAAACTTTCATCCTCCCTATTTTAATCTTTGGTAGGTAATGAACCTGTAATTTCTGTGTTTATACATTGGAAGTAAGTCATCCATTTAAGACGTTATGTAGTCTAGGAGCCTCTTAGCTCTGTTTTATATGTGAGCGTTTGATTTTATTCCATTTTAGATTGAATGTGCTGCTTATAACCCTGAACCTTACCTAAATAATGAAAGCCAGCCAGATTCATTTTCCACGGCACATGGTTTCCTGTGGGTAAGATGTGTTTATTTGGTTTTGGTACAAGTTCACAGAGAATCAACGTTCATGGTCGGTGTGATGAGAGACTGAGATGTGAATTGCTCAGTAGAGAGTTGGCGGTGGCGTATCCCAGAGTGTACTTAGAAACATGAAAACTTCTTTGAAAGGGAGCTGATCACTTTTGGAAAAGATTTACAGTTCTTAGGAATGCAAATATTTGTTTCTTTTCCTTTTCATCTAAAACATTTACCAGATAAAGTTGAGTCCAGAGACAACTAACTAATAAGAGAATAATTTTAATATGTTTTTCCATTTTGGTGTCAACATTGCATGGATTTTTTTTCTTGTTCCAAGACTGGCTTTTTCCAGTGGAAACTTAGCAGTTAAAATTAATTTGTTCCAAATGAAATATTGCATCTGAAATTAGGCTGGAATTGCAGTAGACGTTCCTGGTTCTTGCAAACCAGAGGACATTCTTGAAGCTGTGTGGTCCCAGGCTCTCCCCTCTCTGGTTTCCTGTGTTCCCTCCCTGCAGCCTCAGACTCGCCCTCCAGGGCTCCACTGTGCTTTTCCAAACTCTCATCCTTTCCTCCCAGGCGTCCTGTGCAGCACGCCACTGCCTCTCACTTCTCACATCCACAGCTCCTGCTTGGTCAGTGTTCCTAGTTGAGTGTCAGAAATTGAACAACCCAATTAGCTGGTATTTCATTTGTACCAACCTATGAATGGAGGAGTAGCCTTAATTCCCTTGGGGGCTTCCACTTCTAAGAGAACTGTTTTCCGTCCAGGTAGGCAGACCTGTCATGGCTGAAGCTTCATCACCTGGCCTGGTCATAGCCCCCAGGCCCTGTAGGCAGGACAGGGGCTTGGCAGATTGGCATCCTTCCCACAAAAGCATGAAAGTAGGATGTCTGTATGTAGCGACAACAAATACAAGAATAAGGAGAGTTTAACAACATTCTCAAAGTTGGTGGAAAAGAAAAAGAATCAATGAAAACATCACCCTAAACCAGCTAGTGCTTTCTGTTTACAGGGATCAGACCCCTTCCCACTTAAAAAAAAAAAGACAAATAAATTTAAGTTTAAATTGGGAAACTAACTGTGCTATGTGTTCTCGTTGTAGAGATTCAAACACACAGGAAGTTCATGTACACTGTTGCAGCAATGCTACTTTAGAAATTCCACGGCAGGCGTGGTGGCTCATGCCTGTAATCCCAGCACTTTGGGAGGCCGAGGCGGGTGGATCACAAGGTCAGGAGTTTGAGACCAGCCTGGCCAAACATAGTGAAACCCCGTCTGTACTTTCACATAGTGAAACCCCATCTCTACTAAGAATGCAAAAATTAGCCGGATGTGGTGGCACGAGCCTATAGTCCCAGTTTCTCAGGAGGCTGAGGTGGCAGAATCGCTTGAACCCAGGAGGCAGAGGTTGCAGTGAGCCAAGATCATGCCATTGCACTCCAGCCTGGGTGACAGAGTGAGACTGTCTCCAAAAAAAAGAAAAAAAAAGAAATTCCACAGCATACCACATGTTGACTTCCAATGAGCTACTTGGGATGCATTCTTACTGATGTTTTTCCTATTTGAAAGGTTTATTTTCTTAGCCTAGGTCATTGAATATTAGTGTTAAGTTATTAAAATTGATAATAATCTGCTTCTTAGGATTTTAAATTGAGGATAGATGGGCCCTTACCTTCATATTGTGATGAGTACGTGATTTTTAAAGTATAGAAATGTGACTTTGTAGAAATGAAAGTTACGCTTTTGCTTTAAAATTTTTTGAAAACTGAATTAAATGTGTTGAAAAGAAAAAGGGGCTCTGTGAGCAATTGTTTAAGAATTTTTTTTTATTTTTTTAAGTGTGTTGATTCTCACATGAAAATCGAAGCTTGTCGTGGCCTTTAAGGGTCAGGTTCCAGCGTATTATGGAAGCCGCCACATGGTCGTTTTCTTCTTTCCTCCTAATTCTCTGATTCAGATCGGAAGTTGCACCCATCAAATGGGTCAGATTGCCATCGTCTCGTTTCAAAATTCCACTCCCAAAGTCATTGAGTGCTTCAACGTGGAATCTCGCATCCTGTGCATGCTGTACGTTCCCGTCGAGGAGAAGCGCAGAGAGCCTGGGGCACCCCCGGACCCCGAGACCCCGGCCGTGAGAGCTTCTGATGTCCCCACGATCTGTGTAGGGACGGAGGAGGGAAGGTAGGGCATGCTCACTGCGTTACAGAGAATTAGCAAGCTCTGCCCATGGAGGGCGTGGTGGGGAGCCTGTCCTGGAAAGAGTCCTTGACTTTGACTCAGGAGTAGCCCGTGCAGGAATTAGGGGATACCAGGGGAAATTTTTAGGGTCATTGCACTTTGAAATAACTAGTGAATTGGGCCCATGGAAATTATTCTAGGAAACTCTTAAAGAGAAGTGGTATTTCTTTAAAGGGGACAGTTTGGCTGTTTGCCACTGAAATGTCTCATTTATATTAATGGTTTTGAAAAGGACATTCCCCCCTTATATTTTGGAATAAAACAGCCATATTCTATGTCATGATCATACTGAATTGCTGACACCATTTAAAGGAGAGTTAAAATGATTTTCCTGATGTGAAGTTCCAAGATACACAGTAGGAAGAACTAAGTTTTTTCATATATCCCAGAATTTCCCTTTTAAAAATAAAGAAATCAAGGTGGTTGCAAATTTTTTAAAAGTACTGGCAAGTGTCCCTAGGAATGGAGAAGGAAGGGCAAGAGGGAAGAGTTGAAATGTTTGTGTTTATGTTAACAGGCACCCTCGTTCTTGTTACAACGAGCAAATATATTTATTAGCTTGTATTTTTCTCTTAAAGCATTTCCATTTATAAAAGCAGTCAAGGCTCCAAGAAAGTGAGACTTCAGCACTTTTTCACTCCTGAGAAGTCCACAGTCATGAGCCTGGCTTGCACGTCTCAGAGCCTGTACGCTGGCCTGGTCAACGGGGCAGTCGCCAGCTACGCCAGAGCCCCAGGTGAGGCGGGTCTCACGGCCTCCTGGCCGGTCCTTGGGGTTCACTCAGGGGACTGTGCATCCGGTTTAGCCTCCCCACCTCCCCACCGGCCTCCTGCCTCCCGCCCCTGTGCCTCCGCCCCTGCGCTCGTCACCCTTGCCCAAGGCCCGGGTGCCTTGCTTCTTCCCCAAAAGGTGTTTGTTGAATATACAGACATCTTTCAGAAGTCAGTCTGCCCGTCTCCTCCCACCCTCCCACTTCTCTCGGCCTGCCTGTTTCTCCCCCTCGGATGGGGGCACCGGGCCATGCAGAGCCTCCTTCAGCATGTCCTGCGCTGACCAGCTGAGCAGCCTGCCCGCCCGGCGGGGCCTCCTGTACCTGGGCCAGCCCTCTTTGCCCCGGTGCTGTGCCCTCGGTCCCGTGCCCTCGGTCCCTGCTGTTCTCTTGGCCACAGGGCTAAGGACTCCATTGTGTTCTGCTGGGTGCCTTAGACGAGGCCCTCCCTGGCCCATCCCGCCTGGTCCCCGCAGCCGCTGGGGGTGGGCAGCTGCTGTGTGTCTGTTCTCTCTCCAGCCCCTGCCGCGTTGGTGGCAGCTGTGCTTTGCAGGCTCTTCCTGTGGATCTGGCCGCCGCTGCTTGTGGGAGCTCTGGGTACGGGGCTTTCCTTCCAGCTTCCTTGGTGCTGGCTGAGGCTGCTCTCCTGGCCCCTCACTCAGCTCTGAGCGCAGGGGTGCCGAGCCCCAGCTGGATCCCAGCCAGTCTCGGTGCTGCCATCCTGGAGTGGAACACGCAGGGCTTCCCTCACCGAAAGTTGCCCTGCACCACCCTCCCCACGGCCGGGAGCGACGCCTTGGCGGGTCCTGTTATCTTTCCCAGGCCATCCACCACTTGTTCTTGTACCCCGAGACCATGTCCCAGCTCACTCCCCCATCATCACCACCCTGGTCCACACCGCCCAGCTCCCGCCTGGATGGCAGCGTAGCCTCGCCTTCATTCTTCCGCTTCTACTGATTCATTCTCCAAATATTTGTTATTGAGCTTTTTAAACTGTAAATAAGGTTTTTACCCTCCCCGCCCCCCCGCTGAAAATTGTGTGGTGAGTCCCCAGTGTACTTAGAATAGAATTCCAGTCCTCCAGTCCTTGTTCCTTGCTCACAAGGCATTCTGCCCTCCAACCACCCCCGTTCTCTCTGCTCTGAGTGCTGCTATTGGAGTTCCTCCCTCCTTAGAAATCTGCGCCAGCCCCTCCCAGAGCCTGGGGTGTTATTTGCCCCCGGACTTTGACACCTCCTCCTTGGGGAGGCTCTCTCGACCTGCTCCACGGGGACGGCCCCTCCTTCTCCCGTGTGGTTCCGGCCTGGCCTGTGCGCACCTGCGCCAAGAAGGCCTGGACTTCTTTCTCACTCCGGTAGGTGGAGTAAGCACAGGAGCCGCTCCTGTCTCGTCCCTCAGCCATCTGGAGTGTGACCCTGCTGATCCCTGGCCGATCCCTGGCTCCTTGGCGGGCCTCTGGTTGCCTCCCTCTCATCCGGTGGGTGCCCCGGCCTGGATTCCGGTCTGCACCCCCTCTTCACTTGGCCTCATGATTTCAGTTCTCCATGGACGGTTTTGTGTCTTCGGGGTTGGGCTCTCCCATTCCAGTCCTGCTTTGTCATTCACCTGTTGTCATAACCTCTGCCAGCCTCCTTGGCCGGCTTTCCCGTCCTGTCTCTGCTCCACGGTAGGCGGAGGCCCCTCCGCATGTGCGCCGAGAGCCGCCTCCCTGCTGCCTGTGTTCCTACCACTCTGCACTCAACTCTTTCATGAAGCTTCGTGGAGGAATGTGTGTTGATAGGACTTTTTCATATAATCTGGATTTTTTTCTGTTTTTCTAATTTCTATTAAATGCAATAGAAATAACATTTCTATTACGTAAAATGTATTTTATGCTTATGTCCCCCTTTTTTCCCCTGGGTTTACTAGCGAGCATCTCTCCAGCCTCTTACTTGGCTGCATTGCTGTCCTGTCCACTGTGGAGCCCCGTGCAGGGCTGTGTTTTCGCCTTGTCAGACGCGTTGCATGATCTGTAACTGAGATCTGCTGAACGTGTCTCTTCGCATCTTTCTCACCAAGAGCTGTCCGGCGTACCGTGTGGGAGCGTGCGAGGCAGCCTGCGCAGAAGCGCATAGCCTGCCACTTCGTTCTTGGTGGTGAGGGACGTGGCTGGCTGGAGGCCTCGGCCCGGGCAGAGGGAGGGGGAGGCTGCTTCCTAGCCCCTCACTGTTGCCAGAGCTCTGAGCTTTCAAGGGACTTAAAAATGTGAAATTCTGTGGGCAATTTCCAGATTTTTAAGTGTTAGTTCAAAACGTCATTAGCGTGTGCCTGGTTCCGGCTGCGATTTGGGATCCTGCTGAGGGCTCTGGCCTGGGACACATACACAGGGAGAAGTCATCCCAAGAAAGACAAGCCCACACTGCAGAATGACCCACCCAGGTGCTCAGAGAACAAAGTTCAGTTGTTGGAAGTTAAACCTTAACCGAGGGAAACGTCTGAAGTAGGCCATCGTGTCATTGATCTTTGAGTTCTCGTTTCAAAGGAATGGTGCTATTGGTAGGACACTGCCAAGCCACACCTGACAGCCAGGATCCAAGCACAGTGGGCGGTGCATAGAGAGAGCTCTGACCTAGGATTCACAACCCTGCGTTCTTGTGCCACTCCATGCCCTTCAGAGTGTGTGAATGTCAGAGAAAATTGTAGCTCTGCCCTGAGCCCACATATTTCTGGAGGTTGCCGTGTGCCGTGCTTTAAAGGGCTATGAGTACCAGATGGGAAGGCCCATGCACATGTGTGTATGCACAGGAGTGTGAGGGGTGTGCATTGTGTGAGCAGGTGTGTATGCATGTATGCACATGTGTGTATGCACACGTGATTGTGAGGGCGTATGTGTGTGCAGGCGTGTGTGTGCCTTGAGTGCACATGTGCAGACGTGTGTGTCCCTGTGTGCATGTGACGGCAGGTGCACGTACTTGTGGGTGTGTGTGCACATGTGCATGCCTGCATGTGTGTATGTGTGTGACATGTGCACGTGTGTGTGTGCATATGGCATGTGCACGTGTGTGTGTGCGTGCATGTGTGTTGTGCATGGGTGCATGTGCATATTTAATCACATAATGATAGACTGGGCCCTGTGCAGATATTACAAAGGAAAAGCAAGCCCATGTTCACTGGGGCTAATAATTACCCTACAACACTTTTAGCCTAATTGCAACATAAAAGCATTTCCATTAACGTTGAATTATAACTAAAAGTATGCCACAGAAGTCAGAGCTTGCATAGTTGCCTTTTAGTGACTGCACACCTCCACTTCAGACACTTGTTTTGTATTCAAAGGTTCAGTGCTTGAAATCCAGAACAAAGAGATAAGAACTGAGGCCGTGTTCTCCTGAGTGAAGTGTGTTTATTTGATTAGGAAGTCGACGGCATTGATGGATTAATAATTTAGTTACACTTTTAAGGTCGATGCCTTAATTAATGGTTAGACTGAGAATTGAAGAATTCATTTTAATTATTTATAGGATAATTACATTAGTCACTTTAGAAGTTTATGGTAAATCTTGCCTCAAATAATTTTTATTGGTATTCAAGGTAGCAACTCATACTTGATATAAAGTGTGAAAGACCTTGTCAGTAGATCTTTGGATATATTTTCAAACCAGAATATTTCACGACTGTCTAGGCTTCAAGAAAGGGAACAAATTCATCAAAAGTAAGGAATTCCTTTTACCTCAATTTTGATTTCTTAAAGTATTCTGTGAAGATATGGCCTCTCTTCGTGATGCAGTATAGAGCAAGGCACATGTTAGAACGGAAGCAGCTAATGGGGAAATGTAACATCTGCCCAGTTATTTTGGATGCAGTTCCTTTTAATGATGACTGAATCATCTTCTCTGCTATTATTGTAAATGGTCGTATTGACTGAATACCTGTGTGCTGGGTACTGTGCTGAGCTTTGTACATGCATTATTTCATTTTTAACTTTTGATACAACCTTTGCGGCTAGTGGTAGGATGGTCTCGATCTTACCCTGAAGGAAGCTGAGATTCAGGGTGAATGAGTGGTTTGTCTGGGACACACATGGAGGGGATAGGCAGGGGGGCGGGTGGGGGGTCTTGAGGGCTGCGTGTCCCACAGCTGTCTGTGCTTCCCGACTGTGCACCATGGCCCAACTGGGGTGGGTGTCAGCTTGTCGATCCCCAGACACAGCCAGGATCAGGCACAAGCATTAACATTACAGGTGATCCTTCGGGTGTCAGTTACTTAAAATGATGTATGACCCCATTTTCCCATTCCTGTGCACAGAAAACTGAACTTGAATGAAATGAAATATTTTCTTTTAAGATGGATCCTGGGATTCAGAACCTCAAAAAGTGATCAAGTTAGGCGTCCTACCAGTTAGAAGTCTACTCATGATGGAAGACACGTTGTGGGCGGCTTCCGGAGGTCAAGTCTTCATCATCAGTGTGGAGACTCATGCTGTAGAGGTAAGTCACTTAGGTGGCTACACGGTGTGGAAAAAATGCATTTCAGAAACAGCTCAGCTGACTTCTGGTGCCGAAGTCAAGGCTTCTTGCCTGTGGCTAAATTTCCTTCTAGCCGGGCACAGTGGCTCATGCCTGTAATGCCAACACTCTGGGAGGCCAAGGTTGGAGGACTGTTTGAGCTCAGGAGTTCCAGATCAGCCTGGGCAACAAAGTGAGATCCTGTCCCTACAAAAAAATTAGCTGGGTAGGGCAGTGCGCACCTGTAGTGGATGTGGTGGTTGCACACCGGTAGTCCCAAGTACTCGGGAGGCTGAGGCAGGAGCATCACTTGAGCCCAGGAGGTCCAGGCTTCATTGAGCCAAGATCTCGCCACTGCACTCCAGCCTGGGTGACAGAACAAGACCCTGTCTCCAAAAAAAAAAAAAAAAAAGGAAAGGGAAAGAAAATTCCTTCTAGATTTTGCTTAGAAAGACAAGATTAGCAAGAAAATTCAACTAACCATTTTTTAACCATTTACCTGTGTTCACTGGTTATCTGCTAAGTAAAAGAAACATTGCTTTAAGAAATGTGTTCAGTATGAACCTGTAGAGTCCTCCAGGACTTAGGGAAAATTTGCATTTGATTGAGGTGACATTTCAATTCAGTGGGCTAAATGGATCATTCACCAAAGAATCAGGAGACAAGTGGGCAGCCGTTTGGAAAACACGGAGCTGGCTCTCAAACCCCAGCCCTCTCCTCCTCTAAACACTCCAGATGGATGGGACTTTCACCATGAAGACGAAACTATAAACCTCTAAGATAAAAAGCAGTAGAACAGTTTTATTACTTTGCAATGGAGAAAGCCTCTCCAAGCATGCCACAAACCCAGAAGTTACCATAATAAATAAAATGGTACAATTTAATAACTTTTTTCACATTGAAATATGTGTATCAAATATTTATGGAGGAAAAATTGGGAAAAAAATTCCTGTATATATGACTAAGAATTAATGTTCTTAAAATACAAAGATTTCTTATTAAACTAAGAAAAAGGTAACCAACCCAATAGAAGATGTTCAAAGGACATGAACAGGCAGCTCACAGAAAAAGAAAGAAATAAACAATAAACTCATACACATATAACTTAGCCTCCTTAGCAACTAACATTGCCTATTAAAACAAGGTACTGTTTTATTAATAAACTTTATTTTTAGAGCAGTTTTAGGTTCACTGCAAAATTGAATGAAAAGTGCGGAATTTTCCATGTACCCCTCCTCCCACACACGCACACCCCCCACAACCCCCCATCAGCCCCGTCCTGGAGTGGTGCGTTTGTTACAGTCAGTGAGCCTGCATGGGCCTGTCATCATTGCCCAGGGTCCACAGTCCCTCATCACTCAGGGTCCACTGGGGGCTTACTCTTGGTGCCGTGCTTCTGTGGGTTTGGGCAAATGTATCTCAGCATTGTCCACCACTACAGCATCGCGCAGAGTGGGTTCACTGCCCTGGAAATCCTCTGCTCTCTGTTCAGCCCTCCCTCCCCCAGTCTCGGCAACCACTGGTCTTCAGGGTGCCATTTCTTCAGATTGACAGAAGGTAAACACTAAGTACGACCTGGTTGGAACGTGGGGACACAGGGCTCTCAGGACCGCGGGGTCTTAGGGCAGCCCCTCCGGAGGGCACTCACCTGTTACCAGTTAGCACTGGGGCTCATAACGTCTTCCTGGCAACTCCGCACCCTAGAGAAATCCTCTCTACAGAGGAGCTTGTGCACGCACATCTAAGGGTATCCATTGCAACCTTGTTGGTATCACAAACACTTGGGAGTGTCCTAAATGCATGTGCATGGGAGGAGCTGGGGAAATGAGGGCATCTATGCCCCACAGAGCAGGTGAGCTCAGGCAGCGGGAGGAGGCCCAAACTCTCCTTGTGGGTGTTCCTAAATGCACGCCCATGGGGGCACGTGCAGGGAAGCAGGCTGCGGAACACTGTCCGAGCTCACTCCGAGGGAGGCTGTGGTGCCTGATGAGCCCACCCGTGTCTGCTGTTAGTGGCCGTGTGACGTGCCAGCGTGTGTGTGTGAAGTTGGACTGACATTCCTGAAATGATGAGGAAAAGGCTACATACTTCCCCTCACACCTGCATTTTTCAGCCGTGTCATATGTGGTGTTTATTATGAGGTTGCGCTGTCTTGTTTTTTACTGTCTGTTCTTGGCCATCTCTTGACCCCACTGTCCCTAAACAAACTGGGATAACACAGGTGTGTTTTCACCCAATAAAATGGACCAACTCATCATTAAAAATTCCTCTGGGCCGGGCACAGCGGCTCACACCTGTAATTCCAGCACTTTTGGAGACCAAGATAGGTGGATCGCTTGAGCTCAAGAGTTCAAGACCAGGCTGGGCAACATGGCAAAACCCCATCTCTACAAAAAATATATAAGTTAGCTGGGCACGGTAGTGCATGCCTGTAGGATATTCGGGAGGCTGAAGTGGGAGGATCACTTGAGCCCACGAAGCTGAGGCTGCAGTGAGCCAAGATCGCACTGCTATACTCCAGCCTGGGCAACAGAGTAAGACCCTGTCTCAAAAAAAAAATTCCTTTGACCCTCACACAAAATGTCACAGGAAAGTGTCTTCAGTTGGGGCAAGGGGTCTAATTTCATCTCTTTGAAGCCTCTGAAGACGTTCTAATGACTAAATCTACACAAATCCAGAAAGAAATGTTATCATTAAGAGCTTCTAAAAATACTTCTCTAGACCATCGTTAGGAGGGATGTATCAGTTCCCCAGGTTAGGAACTTTAAGACATTTTGCTGACATTTCATGAATCATATTTGCACACACTGACGAGACCGGTTTCAGGATGTGCCTAGGCTGCATCCTCTGTCATCTCAGAGGGAAAGTGGCTCCTGAGCTGCCACGTGGACACCGCTTTGGCTTGCAGCACAGTGGGATGCGGGCTAATGCCGTCTTCAGCCAGGAAAGGGCTCTCCGGCTGGCCCCTGGAGACGTGGGTTTGGTTAGGAATGCGAGGTCCACACTGGGGCAAGGTGCAGATGGGACCTGGGTCCTGAGCCTCCTGGAGGCCGACGCTCTGCCGTGGATCATGAATAGCATTCCCGCGTGAGTCTTTTTTTGACACAGCCTCCCCGACGTCCTTCGAGACCTGGTCTGCTAGACAGGAACAGAAAATAGCTGGACAGGGAGGTTGGGGTACATGTTAGATGATTTTTGGCAGTATTGTTCCTGTTACTTTTCATATCCATCTGACACTTCTTATTTCACGTGCCCTGAGAATGAGAAGCCTTCAGTTTCGTGGGGAGCCAGGGATTAGCTAGTGCGGCCATGCAGGGTAGCCCCGTGGATGCGGTCACAGCTTCTTGAGTTTTTCACAGCCCTTGTACCCCATCAGTACAGCCATCCTAGTAATTGCGTATTTACAGAGGGAGCTCAGCCATATAGTATACGGTGATCTTGGATCAGCCGCCTACCTGGGTCTCAATTGTCTGAGCTGACAGCTGGGGGTAATTCCCCTTTCTCAGGCTGCTTGTAATTTATATGCTGTAAATCTCGAAGACTCAGAGAGAAGCAATGTGTTTGGATCCAGATATAGGGCTCTTTCCTTGCATTTTTAGTACCAAAATAACTAAATACATTTTTAGAAAGAAGCAAAAATCTGCTCTCTGAAAACATGATATTCATCCTGTCGTTCCCGTTGTGCAGGGGAACTGTGGCCAGGGGCTGGGGCAGCCCACAGGACCTGAGCCCACAAGATTCGAGCCCTGGGTATGTGTCCGCCTTGCTGACAGCGAGGGCAGCAGCTGCGGGGGGATCCGTCCCGAATGGCCATATGCTGTCAGAACAGTGCCGGCCTGGGAGCTGCATGTGATCTGGGCTTGGGTTGAGCGGGTTGGGAGATGCTAGCCATATTTGGAAGAAAAAGGCACCTGAGGCTCTGAGGCTTCGGTGTTCCTGGAGTGACTGTGCCAGTGGAGGAGTCAGCATACCGGTGGGGGTGGCTGGCCCCGTCCCAGCTCTGGCGCCATAACAAAGCAGCACTGGGCGAACCAGTAGAGACGCTGAGCCGGGTGCTTGGTGCAGCACCCCCAACGTGGCAGGGGGCACCCACCTGTCTGTCAGGGCCGTCAGGAGCAGATGGGAAGACATGCCATGGACGCTGAGCTGCCGCACGGTGCCAGTCACAGTCACCTGGATGCTTTAGGGGAGGGGAAGTATCTCTTTTTCTCCAACTGCAAATGGCCCTTTACCCTGGGTTTGTCCAATTGCTGTTTAAATCTCATAGTGTTAGGAACACGATGCAGTGCTAAGGGATCTGACGTCTGACGTTTAGGAAAAGGGTGAATCATTCTGGATTTCTGGGGGGCGTTGCCTGGACAGGTTTCTTGCTTAGAGCCTTGAGTCACAGCTAGTTTCAGTGGAATGACTACAGCTGCTTAAAGTGCAAACCTTTTCTTCCTCACTCTTGATTTTCTGCAATATGCAGTGCTCTTGACTGAAGACAGATGGAAGGAAGGAAAGAGAGGAAAAAGGTTTCTGGCCCTCATCCTCCACTGAAGGGAAAAACAATGAAATAATAAAATAGGCGAGATATTAAAGATGACCTAAATAGTGCAACATAGTGATTTGCTGCAGCAATGCGTTTTTTTTCTCATAGGAAGTTAATTCTTGTCATTGTGTAGAAAGAAACACAGGGCAACAAAACAGGCCTAAGCGGGCACGGTGGCTCACACTTGTAATCCCAGCCACTTGGGAGGCTGAGGCAGGAGGACTGCTTGAGGCTAGGAGTTCAAGGCCAGCCTGGGCAGCATAGCGAGACCCTATATCTAAACACAGAAAATAAAACAACAGGCCCAGGTCAGCAGAAGAGGCCAGAGATCCCCGAACACTGTGGAATCTCAGTCCCCAGAAAATCTGAACACTGTGGAATCTCAGTCCCCAGAAACCCCCAAACACTGTGGAATCCCAGTCCCCAGAAACCCTGAACACTGTGGAATCCCAGTCCCCAGAAACCCCCGAACACTGGAATCCCAGCCCCCAGAGACCCCCGAACACTGTTGAATACCAGTCCCCAGAAACCCTGAACACTCTGGAATACCAGTCCCCAGAAACCCTGAACACTGTGGAATCTCAGTCCCCAGACACCCCTGAACACTGTGGAATCCCAGTCCCCGGAGACTCCTGAACACTGTGGAATCCATAGCCTGCTTTCTTTCAGACACCTTCAGAATCACACAATTTCAAGGCAAACGGAGACTTAGAGATCCTGTGGCCCAGTGTTCTTATTTTCGAGAACCAAGGCTTAGAGAAAGGAGAAGCCATGCCCAACATCAGTGCTAAGGTAATACCCATATAATCTGTCCTCCAGAAGAAACATAGCAAACATTTACCAAGTACCTAGCACTGTGCAAAAACAGAGCAACCACAGATGGTTAAGACATTGATGACACAGGCCCGGCTCTCAGTCCCAGGATGGCTGGGCTGCCAGCGTGAGTGAGGGTGCTGTGGGAGTTTTGGGGGCAACACTCCCTCCAGGCCTCAGGCTGGCACAGTGAGCCGAAATCCAGGGGCATTGCATCCCACGGTTACTACGAGTTTCACGACGGCAGCAGCAAAGCGTCAAGCCAAGCATGCGTCCCTGCAGGCACAGGGCCCTCGGCAGCTGCCTAGGGATGGTGCCCATGTGGCTAGCTGGTCGAGGGTGAGGAGGGATTCACTAGGAGAAAAACCGGGATGCCACCTCAGAGAGGGAGAGATGCATCAGGCTTCGAGACTACTGGTCCCCAAGGGGCTGCTGGAAGCAGAGGGTGGGTCTGCGAGCACAGTAGGGGACAAGGAGCTTAGGTCCTGTCACTGGCTCAGCTCCCGGGGACTGGGGGGAAGCATGGGCAGTGCAGGCATCCCCATGCCGCTGAAGGTAGCCAGCAGCCTTTGACTTGACTTCTTGGAGCACAGTTCTGTGTAGTTTTCTTTTAAACAGCACTTTTGCAGCAGACGGTGCTGAGCCATTGAAGGGTTTTCAGCGTGGAACAGATGTCAAAATTTGTTTTCAGAAGAGTATTTTGCCAGCAACGTAACGGGGTGCGAGACGCTTGGATACTAGAACAAAGGAGGTTGCGCTGGGTTAAAAACTCCATGGGTTTGGTTTTTTTAAATCATCTTTCCAGAAGTTTGGATTGTGATTGTGAAAGAGTCAAAAGCCCGAGGAAAGAAAGAAGCTTTGCTCCTCTATAGTCACACCAGAGTTCTGTCATACGCCACGGTTGTTTGTTTTGCTTTTTAAAATCCTCTCTATGGAAGTCGCCTTCCTCTGCCCCAAACAGTTTTCCAGGGAGTAATTTCTGCTTTATTCTGAACTAGCTAAAGAAACCAGCTATGATGGAGACTTGTGTGTGAAACAGGCAGCAGGTGGCCAACAAATTAGATAATCTAGAAGAGATGGACAGACTCTAGAGTGGCACAAACTACCAAAACTGAATCATGAAGAAATAGAAATAGAACATTTGAATAGACCTAAAAGTAGTAAGGAAATTGAATCAGTAATCACAAACTTCTGAACAACAACAAAAAGCCCAGGACCAGATGGCTTCATTGGTGAATTCTAACCAAACATCTTTAAAAAGAATTAACAGTACTCTTTCCCAAACTCTCCAAAAATATTGATGAGGACGGAACAACACTTCCTACTCATTCTGCAGTCAGCATGACCCCGATACCAAAGACATGACAAGAAAACCACAGACCGGTATCCACTGTGAGCACGGATGCAAAAATCCTCAACGGAAGACTTGCAAATTGAAATCAACAGCGTACTGAAAGGATTGTGTACCCTGGAAAAATGAGATGGATTCCTGAAATGCAAAGATGGTTCAGGACGTGAAAATCAATCAGTGGAATGCATCACATTAACAGAATAATGGGGAAAAAACCCACATGATCATCTCAATTGATGCACAAAAAGTACTTGACATGATTTATCACCCTTTTATGATAAAAACAATCAAACTAAGACTAGAAGGTGATTTTTCCTCAACCTGCCAAAGGACATCTATAAAACACTCACAGCTAACATCATACTTTATGGTTAAAGAAGAAAAGTTTTCCCCTGAAGATCAAGAACAAGACAAAGATGCCTTCTGCCATTTTTATTCACAGTAGTACCGGAGGATCTGCCAGAGCAATTAGACAAGGGAAAAAGAGTGGAGGACTCAGATGAAAGGAAGAAGTAAAGTTGCATTTGCATATGATATCCTCTTGTATGTAGAATATTCTGAGGAATTCACAGCAAAACTACTAGACTAATAAACAGGTTGAGCAAGGTTACAGGGCACAAGATCGGTATACAAAAATCAATTAAATTTCTATACACTAGCAGCAAACAACCTGAAAATGAGACAAGAAAACAACTTCATTTATAATGCTGTCAGAAAGAAAAATACTTGGAGAAATTTTTAATCAAAAAGTGCAAGATTTATACTCTAAAAACTACAAGACATCATTCAGAGAAATTAAAGAATACCTAAATAAATGGGAAGGCATCCTATGTTCATAGATTGGAAGATGTACTATTGTTAAGAAGAAAACAGTCCCCAATTGGATCTGCAGATTCAACATAATCCCTATCTAAATTTCTGCTGCCTTTTTTTTTTTAAACAAAACTTGACAAGCACATCCTGAGATTCATCTGGAAATGCAGGGGATCCAGAATAGCCAAAACAATCTAGAAAAAGAACAAAATTGGAGGCCCACACTTCCTAATTTCAGATTTTACCACATAGCCACAGTAAGCAAGACAGCATGGTGCTGGCACGGGACAGACACATACATCAGTGACATAGACCGGAGACCACGTGTGTCTATGTTCACATAATTTTCAACACGGTGCCAAAACTATTCCATTTGAATGTTGAATGGCCTCTTCAACAGGTGCTGCTGGCACAACAGGTGCTGCTGGCACAACTTCATTCTTCCATGTGCAGAAGAATGAAGTTGGACCCCTGCCTCACACCACATACAAAATTATCTCAAATGAATTAAAACATAAATGTAAAAGCTAAAACTATAAACACCTTAAAAGAAATTATAGGGGTAAATCCTCATGATTTTGGACTAGACAGTGGTTTCTTAGATCTGACACCTCAAGCACAAGCAACCAATGTGGAAAAATAAGATACACTGGGCTTCATTAAAGTTAAAACCTTTTTGCTTCAAAGGACACTATCAGCAGGGTGAAAAGACAACCCACAGAGTGGGAGAAAATACGTACAGCTCATGTGAGAAGGATCTAGTATGCAGAGCATCTAACTCACTCTTAGATCTTAATAAAAAGAAAAGTAACGCTATTAAAGGCAAGGGAACTGAATGGATATTTCTCCAAAGAAGATGTACAGTCGACCCATAGGCACACGAGAAGATGGTCAGCATTGTTGCTTGTTAGGGAATCATGGAGCGAAACCACAGTGAGACACTGTGTCACACACTAGGATGGCAGGAATAATAATGTTAGTGGAGCCAGCACGCACTGCAGAGTACGTGAGGATGCTGGGAGACTCTTGCTGGTGGGAATGCAGAATGGTACAATTTCTGAGAAGACAGTTTGTGATTTCTTCAGAAAGTAACTCGTGGCATGACCAGGTGACCCAGCATTTCCAGTCGTAGGTGTAGATTCAGAAGAACCTGATACTCATGCAGACACGAATTATCATAGCAGTGTTATTTATAGTCAAAAAGCGGATGCAGTCCAGACGCCCAGGAACTGGTGAATGGACAAACAGAATGTGGTTCCTTCATACATGAGGATTGGTTTCAGCCATAGAAAGGAGTGAAGCCCCAACTCACGTCACGTGGATGAACCTGGAAAATGCCAAATTCAGTGAAAGAAGCCAGACACAAAAGGCCGAACATTGTAGGATTTTGTTTATATGAAATGTCAGAACAGGCAAATCCAGAGACAGAACGTGGATGGGATGAGTGGTTGTCAGGGGCTGGGGAAGGGGGCATAAGGGTGATAAAATGTTCTGGAATTCAAGAGTGGTTAAAGTTGGCAACTTCCCGAATATACTAAAAAGCACAGAATTGCGCCCTATAGAAGGGTGAACTTCATGATATGTGAATTATAGCTCAGTGTTTTCAAAAGGAGGTGGCAGTTTTGGAAGTAGCTGAGAAGTTAGCAGAAGTTAGCCTGAAGCAATGGCTGCGGGGAGCGGCCTGCCTAGCACAGGCAGGAGGAGGGGAACCCTACAGCCCAGCCGGAAAGGGGCACAGGCTTTTCTTCCTTTTCTTTTTCCCTATTTTTCTTTTTAATTTGAGTGAGACTTGTGCATGCTTTGGGGCTCAATGACAGAAGCCAGGAGAGACAGGGCCCCATTCCAGGAGGAGGGCGAGGAGCAGGGGAGGAAGGAGCCAGTGCCGCGAGGAGGCCAGATTCAGGGAGCTCTGCAGGTTGGAGGTGGAGTGTCAGGGAAGTGTGGGCCTGCACACCTTCTCCTCTGTGACGCAGGAGGCCAAGTCAGAGGGAGGAGGGATCAAAAACAGACCCACGCTAGAACCATCTGGAATCCGAACCAAGACTTCCCAACTCCCAGGCAGATGCTCTGTCTCCCACGCCGCACAGCCCAGATAGTTTAGACTGTGAAGATCCTGTGAAGCTTCAGTTCATAAAAACACTTGGGATCTTTGTGTGTGAGATTCGTGTTCCGCTGGGGAGTAAGAGCTGGATTATCTGCCTAGGAACCAAGTCACAAGTCAGTGATGCAGACTCCTTTGCAATTGTGAGCACCAGTTCCTTCTCATTGACAAATATTTAAATTCAACTTGTGATTATTGAAGAAATTTTCTATGAGGAAACTACGGGCATATGGCGAGAGGTATTACACGGCTGACTCTAGAATGGGCATTTTATGAGGAAACTACGGGCATATGGCGAGAGGTATTACACGGCTGACTCTAGAATGGGCATTTTAGAGGTGGGGCTCTCACTTCACATCAGGGGACCTGGGGGGTTCCAGTTTGCTCCAGGGGGGTGGACAGTCAGATGTGGAGCCCGCTCAAGACCCACAGTGATGGGACTTGGGGCCGTGTGGGCCAGCCTCCCTGACTGTGTCACCTCCCTGGGGACCCCAGCCTCCCGCACCGTGTCACCTCCCTCGGGACCCCAGCCTCCCGCACTGTGTCGCCTCCCCCAGGATCCCAGCCTCCCGCATCGTGTCGCCTCCCTCGGGATCCCAGCTTCCCGCACCGTGCTACCTCCCTGGGGACCCCAGCCTCCTGCACCATGTCGCCTCCCTGGGGGCCCCAGCCTCCCGCACCGTGTCGCCTCCCTCGGGACCCCAGCCCTGCGTGCCCAGCCTGAGGACACAGTCCTCTCCTCAGCTCTCAGGCCCTGCAGCGCCCCTGTGTAGGCTGGAGTCCTCTGGCCCCTGTCCCTGATGGAATCTCAACTGAAATAAGAGGCGATGCCATGGGAGAAGGGATCTCCCATCCACTGAAGTCGCATCCCTGAATTCCTGCCCGCCGGGTTCACTGGGCTCTGGGCGCGGCGTAGTGCCGCAGGATGGGGTTTGGTGCCACGGGGCATGTGTGTGGAGTCAGCAGTCTCCACCATGGGGGCTGTCGTCTTTTCCCTTATTCTCAGATTGTGGGACAACTCGTAGGGCCAAGATGTCAGTCTGGTTATTTCCTGTGGGTTTTTATGAGTTTCATCACTTTACTTTAGATAACTGTGCAGGATCGTGAGTTTCTTTAATTTCAAGAGCTGTGAGGCTGCTGGTTCCTGGGGCACGCAGTGTCTCTAAGCTTCATCCCAGCCCTCACCCTCTGTCACCCCCTCCAATCCCTGATGGGCAAGGCGGGGGCAGTCCTCCTGGGACTGATCCCAGAGAGCCTGAACTCCAGGCAGCCCCTGAGGCCATGTTGGGGGGTCGCTGTGTTAGCAGCTCCTGCTGGCTGTGGGGTGACGAGGGCCCAGGCCCAGGCACCCGTGGGACCCCTCAGAGCAGGCCGCTGGGATGCACTTTCGGAGCTGCGGGGCTGCAGCTGAGCCTGGAAGCTCCAGAAGGACCAAGTTGCTTGGAGAAGCAGAAGGTGCCTTTCCAGGACAGCAGAGCTAAGAGGAGGCACAGACTCAGAACCAGGGTCAGGCTGCAGGCAGGCAGTGGGGCCCCATGCCATAGCTTGGAGACATCGAGGAAGGTTCCAGCAGGTTCTGATGGGCCTGGGGGGATGGATCCTGTGCCTCCCCTCGCCAGCCTGCCCATGTCTCCTTTAGGACACAAGCTCAGTGGCCCCTCGGCAGGCGCACCATGCCTGTGTCTTTGGAATGGCCATTTTCTGGGCTCACAAAGGAGCCAGGATGATTGGAAAATGGCAGGCAGTTGGGTTGCTGGTGTTTGGTTGCTGGAGACGCCTGTGATTTGGAGCAAAGCCTGCTACTGTGTTGCAGCCACTGAATGGCGCTCCAGCTGGACGCCACGTGGACCCAACAGGCCCCACTCAGACTCACTCCACGGGGCTAGCAGACTTGACCTCTCGATTTCACAGGGTCAGCTGGAGGCCCACCAGGAGGAAGGCATGGTGATCTCCCACATGGCCGTGTCCGGCGTCGGGATCTGGATTGCCTTCACCTCAGGGTCCACGCTCCGCCTTTTTCACACGGAAACTCTCAAGCACCTGCAGGACATCAACATCGCCACCCCTGTTCACAACATGCTGCCAGGTAAGGGGACGGGACGGGGCCCAGGGATGGGACAGCAACCGGGGACGGACGTGGGGGGTGCGGAGCGCTGTCAGCCCACCTTAGCGCTTCCCAGTGCAGGACACTGTTCACAACATGCTGCCAGGTAATGGGGTGGGACAAGGCCCAGGGACAGACGTGGGAGTACGGAGCATGGTCAGCCCACTTTAGCGCTTCCCGGTGCAGGGCACAGGTCCTGAAGGAGCCGCGTGCTGGGAGGAGCCGCGTGCTGGGAGGAGCCGCGTGGCAGTGCCATCTCTGTAGGTCAGAGTGGGTGGGAGACGATTTCTCATCATCGGTGCAACAAGGCCCTGGGGAAGCCAGGACCTGAGGCTGAAGAACACAGAACAGGAGGCCTCCCTTTGGCTGGGAGGGCTGTTGGGGAGAGGCCAACAGAGGCCTATGTTTGTGAATGCCCTGTTGCTGGTGGGTGTCACTGAAGTTTCTGGGCAGGGGAGAAGGCCATTACACATTGAGTTTTGGGAGGATCATCCTACAACAGGATGGAGGAAAGAAATGAGGAGGGGGCCCAACCGGCTTCTTTCACGGGTAGCCGGAGGCCGCTGTGGGGTCCGTGGAAGGGCTGTTTTGCTTCTTTGCCTGCTGGTGGGTATTGGAAGACATTTGCAGTTTTAAGGGGAAGGCATGAAGTAAGGGCTCTGCCTCCGAGCCCTTCGGCTGCTGTGACACACGCCACAGACGGGCTGGCTTACAAGCCAGAGAGGCTGCCCCTCCGCGTTCTGGAGGCAGCATGCCGGGGAGCACGGTGCCTGCAGGGCCGGTTTCTGGGAGGATCTGCTTCCTGCTTTGCAGTTGGTGCCTTCTGGCTGGGGCCTCATGTGGTGAAGAAAGAGCCCTGGGGTCTCCTCCGCTTCCTATAAGGGTGCTAATCCCATCATGGGGACCCTATCCTCATGAACTCATCTAACCCTAATCACGTCCCCAAAGCCCCGCCTCCTCGCACCATCCCACTGCGGGCAGGGCTTCAACATCGAAATCTGGGGAGACACAAACATTCAGTCCATGACGGGCCATTTATGATACGTTGAAAAAAACCACAATGATTAGGGGTCTGGTTCTAGAACGGGTGTGAGGCCGTCCTTTGACAAGGGGAGGATGAGGAGGCCGAGGAGGTGTTGAGGATGTTCCTCGGGGCCTCCGTGTCCCCGCCGCACTCCCACTGGAGATGGGAGGGTGAATATATTCGGTGCACGGTGGGTCCATGATAGCCGTTCTTTTCTCAGGGGCTAACTGTACAAGTCATTGTTAAAATACTACAGGAGATTTCTCTTAGTGAGAAAAGGAGGTTTATGTAACATGCAAGTTTATATTTAGAGAACCAAAATGGTTAAGTCCCTGTGGCTCAGAAAGCAGACGCTCTGCTGTGGACCTTGTGTTTTCTTTGGAGCACTCACTGCTAGAGCAAATGTTTGCTGCAGGAATAGGCTGTCCTTGTTGGGACAAAACCAAGTCACATCCGTAATTGCCAAAGCACGCTCTCACGCGGCAGTGAGTGTCCATGTGTTCAAAGTTCTGTACACAAGGGGAGGTGAGGAGGGTGTTATGAGAAAAACCTCTCCACTCGACCTCCCGTGGGCTCCAGCACCCGAGCCTCCAAATCCTGCCCCAGCTGCCCTGCAGCGCAGACCTCCCTCCGGGGCGAAGCAGCCCACGGTTACCCTGGTTTCAGAGTTCCGAGAGCAGCCACGGAAATGCAGCGGCCCTGCAGGATCCTTGGTGTTTATCCCTCTCCGGGTGGGATCAGAAAGAAACTCCTAATCAAGGGAAGGCTCTGGCAAGTGTGAGTGGAGTTTGTATTTTGAATTTGATTTCTTAATAAAATAACCCTTGCACACGATTTAATAAAACCCAACAGCACTCACGCCCAGGCTATGAAAAGCAAAGCAGGATAGGAAAGCCTGCGCTCTGGGGACTCACAGCCCCGCCCCCATCCCAGCACCCCACCCACTGTCAGCACCCAACCCTGCCCCCATCCTCACACCCCACCCCGCATTCAGCACCCACCCTCTCATCCCAGCATCCCACCCACTGTCAGCACCCGCCCCGGCCCCCCGCACTGTCCCCATACCCCACCCCGCTGTCAGCTGCCTCTCCCGCCCGCCTCCCTACTGCTGCTGCTCGAAAGCCACTCCTGTATGGCAGGTTCTTGATGCTTTGTTTTAGATACTGTCTTTGACCTCTCCTGTAGAAGAGAAAGATGGAATTATCCTGCTTCCCTCCAAGCATAGAGCACCCAACACAGTCCTGCACCCACCCAGAAACAGAATGCAGACCCCTTGCCGGCTGCTCAGGTCGCAGGTTCTGGCTAAATCGCAGCTGCCTGTGTTGCGTGTTTTGGATGATGAAGTTGTCTGTGGCTGGGCGCTGAGCCTTCCTTGGGACTTTTCACCCTTCAGCTCATAGTTTCCAGGCGGCCGATGATGGATCCATCCCAAGCCCACCACAAGCCTCTCACTTGGCAGCAGATGCATGGGGCTCTGCAGAGCCACCATCCCCTGGCGCCCACTCTCCCGGGCCCCTCCAACATCCTGGGCTGGCTCTCCATGGCCACAGTGCGTGCTCTCAGCCCCCTGCTCCGGGGGCCCCTGAATCGTGGGTCTTTACTTATTCCTACACGACATAGTCAGGTCTGCATTTTAGACCCGCATGAAAGCAAACACATGAGTCTGTCCAGATGGAGTGCCGTGCTTCTCGTTGGCAGGTTTCTCCGGCATTTCGGTACTAAGTTGGAAATAGCTCCAGCTTCACTGATTTCTGGGGTACACTGACTGCTTTACCCACATTCAGTTCTCTGCTCCCAGGCTGTGGTCTGCTGCCACCGTGGCCTTGTCAGCAGGAGAAAGGTACACGGGTTAGAGGCAACCTCGGTGACACCAGAAGTTCAGTTTTGTTTGTGATGCTTCTGACAGTGATTCTCTGTAAGATCCTCAGTGCGGCATAGACTGAAATGGTTCTGATTTTCATTGCATTTTGTGACTCAGAGGGAATGAGCAGGCCAGAGAGTCCTTTCCTCCAGAGAGTCCTTTCATCTCATCTCCTCTGTCTAGTCGTCTTTGCCTTTCAGCTAATATTTCATATATTTCATAGAAATAAGCATTATTGCATTTCATGCTGTATTTAGACATTCCGGTGGGGGCATGCTCATACCGTGCTGAAGTGCGCGGATGCTGAGGTCGCCGGGCCGTCACTGCTCCTGGGTTCTTCTCCTCCTTATCGTCCAAGATGGTTCCTGGAGGCCCACACATGTCCTCTGTGCTCTGTTCGCACACACACAAAACCTTCATTCTAGAGTTGTATTCATGACGATGCTCAAATGGGTTTTCATGTGTGTGTGTGTGTGTGTGTGTGGCAACAAGACATAAAATTATCTTTTTGTGCTATTGCTGGAATATAAAAGTCAGGTAGCTTCTGCAAATGAAGACTTGCCAAGCCGAAACAACAAAATTTGAAAAAAACAAACTGTATTATAACTCATGCCTTTTGTGTAAGTTCACACAACGTGATGAAACCTCCTTCCTTCCTCAGGGTCTCAGCACGCTGGCCCCTGGGGAATCCGTGAATCTGTAGCTAAGGCCCTGGCTTTTCTCCTTCTATTTGGAATTCACTTCTGAAAACCATTTAGCTCACGTTCTTTCACATAAGCTACATCAGATTCAACACAGACTAACAGTTGATGAAGGTCTGTGATTAACATACACATTCGTTAGAGCGGTCGTTACCTTTCTAAGTTATAAAGGAGTAGAGTTTACAGCGAGTGAGTTCACGGCGCCTCAGCTTTTAGGTTGTGAGCAGTTGCAGTAGGTTACATCACCAGGCAGATGTTTCCTGCTCTGTCCCGCATGTTCAAAGGAGGATATTTTTGATGGGAAAGTGCTGAGACACATGGTAAATTGCGCCTTTCTGAGTCTCCACCGAGCGAATACAGAGCCTCCAGGAACTATGTGACCAAATAAAATGGCCAAAATTTCCATTAGAAAAAAAAAGACAAAAAACGTGTAACTTTTCTGAAGACCATGGACTACACCGTAAGGGAATTCAGTAAATGAAACCGGACTCAAGATGGTGAGTTAACGAACGAGACTGAGGACTTGGGAGCCACAGCCTTTCTCGGTGGCCGGTGTGGCCCTGGCCTGTCCTTTGTTTTATGTTCCAGGCTGGGAAGAGCAGAGGGCGAATCCCCCTGGTAGCATTCCCTCCCATACTTGGGGGACGTATTGCTTCTTCTACTCACTGTTCTGTCTCTGAGGTTATTTGAATGAACCTGGATGGTGTTGTTTACACCCCCAGCTTCTCCCAGCCTCCAGGGCGGGAGATGCGTCTGCCTCTGTGGCTGCCTGCAGAAGGCCCTGGTGACTCCCCACGGAGTCACCATCCAGCAGCCGCTCAAGTGCAGTCAGTCCCACTTCACACGTGTAACCCATTTACCAACCTCACTGTGCAGCTGCATCACCGTTCACCACCTCAGCTGCCCCTGCCTCCCACCTCGCCAGCGGACCTCACGTGGGCTCCAACTCCCGGGACCCAGCCCCATCTGGGACACGCCCTGCTGTCCTGTTCTAGGTCACTGTTGGTGCTTCCGGACGGGCACGGGACGCCTGGATAGCGGCACTCACCGCAGCCTCTGGAATCGGAAAATGACCGCATGACCTCGTGACTGTGGCCCTCAGCTTTCCCATGTAAAATTAAAGATGTTGATTGGCAGACTGCTTGGAAAATGCAATGGAAAACCACTCTCTGGAACTTAACTCTTTTACGTCGTTCCTGGGTACTTTGAAACCAGTTAAAAACATTCATATCGGGTTTCTACCTGCTTTTACCCTTTTTATTATTTATTTATTTATTTATTTATTTATTTGAAACGGAGTTTCACTCCTTTTGCCCAGGCTGGAGTGCAGTGGTGCGATCTTGGCTCACTGCAACCTCCGCCTCCCGGGTTCAAGCAATTCTCCTGCCTCAGCTCCTGAGTAGTTGGGATAACAGGTGCCTACCACCACGCCCAGCTAGTTTTTTTGTATTTTTTTG
Source organism: Homo sapiens (assembly GCF_000001405.40). Lineage (NCBI taxonomy): Eukaryota > Metazoa > Chordata > Mammalia > Primates > Hominidae > Homo > Homo sapiens. The sequence continues at coordinate 134,093 of NT_187576.1, forward strand.
TTTTGTTTTTTAGGTTTTTTTTTTTTTTTTTTTTTGTATTTTTAGTAGGGATGGGGTTTCACTATGTTGGCCAGGCTGGTCTGGAACTCCTGGCCTCAGGGGATCCACCCACCTCGGCCTCCCAAAGTGCTGGGATTACAGGCATGAGCCACTGCGCCCGGCCTACCCTTTTTATTAAATGCAAGCTTTGGCCAGCATTACAGGAGCCCTTCCAGAAGCCGGGCCATCGTTTCAGTCACGCAGCCGCAGCCTTGCCCGGCACGCAGGTGGGGCTTCTCCCCTTCCCAGTATCTCACATCCCTGCTCCCACAGCGGGGCTGCTTCCCATCCTAGTGCCACACGGAGGGCCGGGGAGGCCGGGTTCAGGTTTGATGCTGAACTCATATGCACACCGGTTTTCTCTCTCATAAGACAATCATGTTTCATGCTTAAAATACTTACTGTTGAGTCAAACTGCTGCTCTAGAAAGATCATCCACACTCCCTTTGCGGCTGCGCCCCGGGCTGCTCCCCGTGTTGTAGAGCGGTCAGCACTTCGGAGCAGCTGGGAATCGCGTACCCTGCGTATCAGCTTTGAAGCTGCTGCCGTGTTTCTCATTAGCTTTAGAAAGTAACAGCACCGGCTTACGTACAGGACAGCGCTGTGGATTCACTATCGCCCTGACCAAGTCACGCCGACCAGGCCAACATTCAGAATTCCTGGGACATGCATATTATTGAGCTTTTAAAAATAATATGAATCGGCGTTTAGAAATAGAACCAAATGTCTTTCTTTTTCTGTAGTGAGGGTTTTTTGTTTTGGGGGAGGCTGTTTGACCTCTGTCGATACGGAGTCTTTGGCTCTGGTGTGAGGTTGTTTTTCATGCTCTTTATCAGAGATGAACTTTGGGTCAAATGCAGGGATATTTAAAATAGCTTTTATATCTACAGAAAAGAATCAAACTGTTTTTAAGTGTTCACCGTCACTTCTCAGGAGCAAGCTAAATGGGCCTACTGTGCTCCTCAGCTTTGGGGCTAAACAGAGAAACACTGGGGATTAGCTTTTCTGTGTGTGAAGGCCGCGATGCTGACGATTGTGTCAGAGTTGTGGTGGAATGATGTGACAGTCCAGACCCACCCTGAAACCACAGTGAGGCGGGGTCTTTGGAGCAGGTGATGTGGCTCCCACCCTGTAACTGCAGTGAGGTGGGGTCTTCCTTGTAGCCACCGTGAGGCGGGGTCTTCCCTGTAACCGCCGTGAGGCGGGGTCTTGGAATAGGCCATGCGTCTCCCACATTGTTTTGCAGCCACTTTCTAGCCTTGTCACTGCCGGAGCAAATTGTTTAGTTTCTCTGGGCTTCAGATCCTTGGCTGTAAAGCAAATCAAAACCAAACTAACAAAGAGCCTCAAAGGCCCTTCTCACCCCACCATCCACCGTGATGTTTCCCTGCTGTGTCCAGCGCTGAGGCTGTGTGACGATGTTGTTCTTCACGCAGAGCCCTGGAGAGGCCGTTCAGTTCCCCTCTAGGGTCCAACTGCGGCTGAGGGCCGGTTACTCGAGTCCAGCCGCGCCCATTAAGAGACCTCTCCTCACTTGTAAAGGGGTCTCTCTGCTCCCAAAGAACCACAGGCCGCTGTGTATGTCGGGGGCTCACGAGCTCACGTGCTACACGGCCCAGAAGCAAAAGGTTTAGACAGATTCATCCAGGGGCTTGATTCATGGCTGAAGCGGCCAAGCAGAGCCATGCAGACGACAGCCCAGGAGACCCAACCAGACATCTGGCCTGTTCTGTTCAGGTGCAGGTGCAGGGTATGCCCTCAAGACCCTTGTCTTGCTCATGTGGTTGAGGGAGCCTGGTGCTCGGGTTTGGGAACTCCTGTGCCACATCCTGCCCCTGGCGGATTTGGTGGTGGCACGACAGGCCTGTGGGGTTTCCAGCACCCCGTCACCGCCCCACCAACTCTGCTACACAAACCAGACCCGAAGCCACTCATGTCTTTCCGCCCAGGGCACCAGCGGCTGTCGGTGACGAGCCTGCTCGTCTGCCACGGATTGCTGATGGTCGGCACCAGCCTGGGAGTCCTCGTGGCCCTGCCGGTCCCACGTCTGCAAGGGATTCCCAAAGTGACCGGTGAGTGGCACCTGCAGTCTGAGTGGCTGCATCCTGTCTTGCAGGCTCGTGGAGCATAGCAGTGTGTAGTGTGATTTAACATCCTAGGATTCTTTAAACAATTCATATTATCTGTGGTTTTTCAGTGTATTATAATGACTTAATAGACTGTTTAATTGGAATTATCAATTTATATATTTTTCCATTTTTTACCTTAGTAGTCCAAGGAGAATCTTATGTTTTTATATTCTGTTTACTGCCAGAATTAGTTTCCATCATTCCTTTCTGTGTTTTATATTGTGGAGAAGGAAGCCGGGATCTCCGTTGTTCCTTTGTGTGTTTTATATTGTGAAGAAGGAAGCCGGGATCTCCGTCATTCCTTTCTGTATTTTATGTTGTGAAGAAGGAAGCCGGGATCTCCGTCGTTCCTTTCTGTATTTTATATTGTGAAGAAGGAAGCCGGGATCTCCGTCATTCCTTTCTGTATTTTATGTTGTGAAGAAGGAAGCCGGGATCTCCGTCGTTCCTTTCTGTATTTTATGTTGTGAAGAAGGAAGCCGGGATCTCCGTCTTTCCTTTCTGTATTTTATATTGTGAAGAAGGAAGCCGGGGATCCGAAAAGGCTCCATTGTGCTATTGCAATGTCAGTAAGAGCTCAGGCTGGAACACATGGCCTTTCTGGACACAGTCCCGTTAGGGATTGGAGGCCTTAAAACATGCTTGTGTGTCTGGAATCAGGATTCCCAATCCAGGGAATTGGCCCAGGAAACAGCCTAAGCTAGGAACAAAGTATGATGCAAGAAGACATTTGCCACAGCATTTAATTTTTAACAGCACGAAACAGGAGGTGACCCGCAGTTCGTAATGACGGATTGGGCCATTTAATAAAATGGTGGCATTGCCGGTAATGGGTAGAACACAGCCAGCAGAAGTGGTGTGTGCAGAGCCTGCAGTGACGCGGAAAACTCCTCGTCCTGTTAAGTTCAGTAAACCACAGCCTTAGATTCTATGTGGGTTACTATGTCAGCCAGGGGGAAATACTAACAGAGAAAACGCTTTGCAGGAAGCTTGTAGAGCAGAACTGTTCCTACGGGCTCCATTTCTGTGATTTCCTCCCAGGCCGACCTGACGGTGGCTTCCGTGCACTCAGATTTTGGCAGGTCCACCCACAAGGATTAAGGAATTCTAGTTTTGCCATTCATTTCCTAATTTATGTTTTTATTATGATATATGGGATTGTACATGTTGAGGACCCCAAATCCAAAAACAAAATGCGAAATGCTCCAATTTTTTTTTTTTCTTTTTGAGACGTAGTCTCACTCTGGCACCCAGGACGGAGTCCAGTGGCACAGTCTCGGCTCACTGCACCCTCTGCCTGCCAGGTTCAAGCTATTCTCCTGCCTCAGCCTCCCTAGTAGCTGGGATTACAGGCACCAGCCACCATGCCTGGCTAATTTTTGTATTTTTAGTAGAGGTGGGGTTTCATCATGTTGGCCAGGCTGGTCTCGAACTCCTGAACTCAAGTGATTCGCCTGCCTTGGCCTCAGATGCTCCAAATTCTGTGTCGACGTGATGCTGAAAGGCAGTGCTCATTGGAGGAATTCAGATTTTGGATTTCAGATTTGGGATGCTCAACCGGCAAGTGCAATGCAAATATTCCAACATTAAAAAAAAAAATCCAAAACACTTGTGGTCCCAAGAATTTCAGATAAGTGACACTCAGCCTGTAAATACATAGAATTGTGCATAACGCACAGTTTCACAGTTTAAATGGTAACGAGAAGAGGCCACCTGCCTGTGCCCAGGTCAGAAGGGGCTGTGACTCACACACTGAGCCTCAGCTGCCCCTTCTCAGCCTCAGCCCTCTCTGCTCACAACCCTAGGAAATGATGATGCTGAGTTTTACGTCAATTATTCCTTTGGTCCTCCTCTGTAGTTGTACCAATTTGTATCTTAAAGGGTACTTTTCACCTTTCCGGCTTTTGCATTTTCCTAGCTGTCCCATGGTGCAAGCAGCCTCTGTTGCTTTTTCTCTCAGCCTTGCTGGGGTCAGTCCCTGCTGGTGCCACAGCTATAGTGCTTTCCTCTCCCTGCCTGCAGCCTGCCTCTGAAAGGAGGTGCCCTCATTGCCTCTGGATGGATAGCCAGGTGCTCCCTGAAAGGAGGTGCACTCTCACTGTTCCTCTGGAGGATAGCCAGGTGCTCCCTGAAAGGAGGTGCACTCTCACTGTTTTTCTGGATGGGTAGCTAGGTGCTCCCTGAAAGGAGGTGCACTCTCACTGTTCCTCTGGAGGATAGCCAGGTGCTCCCTGAAAGGAGGTGCACTCTCACTGTTCCTCTGGAGGATAGCCAGGTGCTCCCTGAAAGGAGGTGCACTCTCACTGTTTCTCTGGATGGGTAGCCAGGTGCTTCCTGAAAGGAGGTGCACTCTCACTGTTCCTCTGGAGGATAGCCAGGTGCATCCTGGAAGGAGGCACACTCTCACAGTTTCTCTGGATGGGTAGCTAGGTGCTCCCTAAAAGGAGGTGCACTCACTGTGTTTCTCTGGATGGGTAGCTAGGTGCTCCCTGAAAGGAGGTGTACTCTCACTGTTTCTCTGGATGGGTAGCTAGGTGCTCCCTGAAAGGAGGTGCACTCTCACTGTTTCTCTGGATGGGTAGCTAGGAGCATCCTGAAAGGAAGTGCACTCTCACTGTTTCTCTGGATGGGTAGCTAGGAGCATCCTGAAAGGAGGTGCACTCTCACTGTTTCTCTGGATGGGTAGCTAGGTGCATCCTGAAAGGAGGTGCACTCTCACTGTTTCTCTGGATGGGTAGCGAGGTGCTTCCTGAAAGGAGGTGCACTCTCACTGTTTCTCTGGATGGGTAGCTAGGTGCTTCCTGAAAGGACGTGCACTCACTGTGTTTCTTTGGATGGTAGCTAGGTGCTACCCATTTGCATTACACATCAAGCCTCTGTATATTTGTGTGGCTGGCTCTGCTGACATGGGCAGAAGCTCCTTCTGGGGGCTTGCCCAGGGGCAGCATCGCTGGTGTGCAGGGATCACAGGTGTGTGCTTCGCCAGGTGATGAGCGGGCCTGTCCCTGCACAGTCCCCCCAGCTCCTGCTCCCTGCAGACTTCACTTTGCCACTCTCCTCTTTGGGAAATGGACTCTCACCACGGTGGAAGATTCAGTGATGTCATTTGCCTTGGCCAGAGTAGGATGATGGTGAGGGCTGGGGCCTGTTTCATCTGAAAGCACTTGGGGAAAGGACACGTGCCCCTGTCCATATGTCATGTCACCCACAAAGCATCCAGAAGACACGCCAGGTCCACGTGATGCTTACAGAATCAGTGTGGGGGTTGCGGGGCTGTGTGTGGCTTTAAGAAGACCTGCAGGTGTTTCTGATACGATCGTGACTTTAAAATTTGAATCACATCACCTGAAAACTGAAAGTCCTAATTTTAATCAAATTATAGAGTTAAATTGTTCTGAACCCCAGAACGTTTTTGTAATGAAAAATGGCAGGCAGCCGGTAGTTTAGTCATTTCTTTCCCAAACCAACACATTTCAGGCGTTAATATTTCTAATCAAGACTTAGGAAAATTTGGGATATTTCCATAGGGTAAGTAAGAAGGTATTTTATGCAGAATGGAAAAATGACTATTTTATTACTTTGAAAAGTACAGTAGGAGTATTAGAACTGAAATAGTGCTGAGGAAAACACAACTTTCTATTTTAGAAAATCATTTTTAAAGCCTTTTTCACATTAAGTAAAAACCCAGAGGAATATAATCCAGATATTTTCATCGTAGCTTATTATTCATGTATGCAAGTTACTTACAGGCTTTGTTATTTGGGCAGGGAGGAATGCGTTGGGGTTAAGCCCTGCACTTTTTGCTTCCTTGTCTCAAATTTTGCCTATTTTAAAAGACAGCTGTTGAACTGTTTCCCTTTTCAGGAAGAGGCATGGTCTCCTACCATGCACACAACAGTCCTGTCAAATTCATCGTCCTGGCCACGGCTCTGCACGAGAAAGACAAGGACAAATCCAGGGACAGCCTGGCTCCTGGCCCCGAGCCTCAGGACGAAGACCAGAAGGACGCACTTCCGAGTGGAGGAGCTGGTTCATCTCTGAGCCAGGGTGACCCTGACGCAGCCATCTGGTTGGGAGATTCGCTGGGATCGATGACTCAGAAAAGCGACCTGTCCTCCTCATCTGGGTCCCTGAGCTTGTCTCACGGCTCCAGCTCTCTAGAGCACAGATCAGAGGACAGCACCATCTATGATCTCCTGAAGGATCCTGTCTCGCTGAGAAGCAAAGCACGCCGGGCCAAGAAAGCCAAGGCCAGCTCGGCGCTGGTGGTCTGTGGAGGGCAGGGCCACCGCCGGGTGCACAGGAAGGCCCGGCAGCCCCACCAGGAAGAGCTGGCGCCGACCGTCATGGTCTGGCAGATCCCTCTGCTGAATATATAAGCAGGACGGCCGCCTTCTGCTGTCAGAATTTGCAATCAAGGGTGACTTCTCAGCTAATCCTACAGCCTGAGTGGTTAAGCTGTGTCTACACTGGTTGGGAATAAATTAAAAACAGTATTTGGGGGAGAAACGTGCAATAGCGTAATGGTGGTGTCCCTGCCAATTCCTTCCTTCTCTTCTGTACAGCAGAAGTAATTACAAGCACTTCTCACGAAGGCAGAAGACTGATGCAATTTTCGAGTAATTGAGTGCAGTTCTGGGAAAATACCACATTCTTTTTGACTGCTGTAGTCCATATGTGAATACTAAATGTTAAACTTCATCAGCGTCAGACCTATTGTATCATATTAGAGAATTTGCAGACTAAGAATTTATGAGAAAATATATGTATTCAGTAGTGCAGGCATTTATTAACAATTCTTAAAAGTTTTACCTGATTCAGATTCACGACTTTTATTTATATTCTATATTTTTGAATTTCAGAGTAAAATTTGTTAACAATTTTAAAAGCCAGGTAACACCTACCAGTCCAGTTAGCATGATTTGCTTTCAGAAGTGAGCTGGGTTTTCCAAAGTGGTATAATGTGTGTACTGTATATTTTAACAAAGTAATATTTTTGTATTGCATTTTTCTATTAAAAAATTAACAGTTAATGTTTCAGTCAATGTATTATCTGTAGCATTTCACAAATAATGTTTGCTTTGAACCAAAATGCTCAGTGCCTATCAACATTTGGACTCAAGCATCAACACCAAATTATTCCTCCCTTCTCGTATAAATAGAGTGACTATCCACAGGAGAAAAGTGTGTGCTTTAGTATTAGAGGAGATAGGCAGAGAAGTCTTGCTTAGTTCCTTCGTGCAGCTTCTTGCCCCTGTTGACGTGGAATGCTGTGTCTGCTTTAGCACGCACGCTCCGAATGACTCCTGGTGCTAGGCCATGCTGGCTGCTGTCACTGAGCGGGACTCAGGCCAAGAGGCGTGACCTCGGGCCAGCCTGTCTGTTGTGCAGACGCCTCCTCTGCAGAACGCATCAGTTTCTATTCTGCAGTTGCAGAGCCAGCCCCGCGTGAGAACGTGCATAATGAGTGCACACCATCATGTCAAGGTGCATACTTAGTGAGCGCCATCCTGCTGAACGTGTATTTCAGTGTTTCACTTACTGGACGGATAACAAGAAAAAAATCCTAACACAGGCAGGCACCAGAAATAAATGTCTCAGCACTTTACAGATGACTAAAAATGTTAATTTTATGACTTAGCCAAATATGTTCTAGGTTGCATATATCCCCCATGTGAAAGTGATTTCTTCCCAAGCTTCTCAAACTGTTAGCTGCTGTCTGACTTCATCAATAAAGTATTTTTATTTTAAAATGCAGTAGGATGAGTTGCCTCTTTTCTGTGTCAAGTGGAAAGGGACATCAACCTCGGGGGGCTGGGTGGGGGGCTTGGCCTGCCCGTTCCTAGCTGCATCACCACTTGCTGCTTTGGGGAGACTCCGTGTCTGAATCCCAGCAACGCACCCAACTGCGTGGAGCACCGCGCTCTGAATTGGAAGTAGGCACTGGGAATCTTTCAAGCAACTCATGTACTTGTTCTTTATTTGTTTGAAGAGACAAAGTCTCCCTCTGTCGCACAGGTTGCAGTGCAGGGGCGTGATCATGGCTCACCATAACCCCCTGGGCTCCCACAGTCACTGCAGTCTCAACCTCCCAGGTTCAAGCAGTTCTCCCACCTCAGTCTCCTGAGTAGCTGGGACTACAGATGCACACAACCACACCTAACTCTTTTTTTCTTTTTAACATTTTGTAGAGATGGGGTCTCGCTATGTTGTCCAGGCTAGTGTCAAACTCCTGACCTCAAGCAGTCCTCGTGTCTGAGCCTCCCAAAGTGCTAAGTTTCCTAGTGTGAGCCAGGAGTTGGTTGGCAGAATTTTGCCACCCTTCAAGCCTCTGATGGCGGCTCTGATCTCTGCGATTCTTCCAGGAAGGCAGGATGGATTTACTAATTTGGTAGAAAAGGGGAGGGGGGTTCAGAGGCTTCCAATTGATGTTCCTAATTCAGTGGTTCTGACTTCACAGTCATGCCCAGCCTACACTTGGCCATTCCATTTTGAGTTATGAGTAGAATGAGTTTCCTGTAAAATGTTCCTATTGTGGGTGTTTTACCAGACCAGGGCCAACACCTTACATGGAGAGATGAAATGGATGTGTAAAGTTAACTTGCTGGGACAGAAATCTTTCCACACGATTGATGGTGCGGGACATGGACAGAGTGGGGTCTGTGTAACTGACTCCTTAACTCCCTCTGCCCTCCTAGAGAAGAGAGACTTCCAGAGATCCTGAGAGAGGCAGACGCGGGAGGGCTTTGAGGGAGGAAGAGGTTGGAGAACGTGGGCTACAAAGAACTCCCGCTATGCCAGGACGCGGGTTCTGCTTTCACAGTGAATGAGGAAAACAAGCATATCACCAACAAATGAAGCCGTGCAGACAGGCAAGTGCGTTCTCTAAGCAACAAGCTTCTACTGAGCACCTGATGAGTGTCAGAGGTGAGGCCAAGCTCTGTCTTAGGCCCTGAGGATGGGACAAGAGAGAAAAAGCCTCCCTTTGGGGTTGCCACTGCTGGTTTATTCCCCCTCTCCTCTGCAGAGCCCTGGGCTCTTCCTGGACAGGGATTAACCCAGTGACAGCAGGACACTTGGGAGCCCAGGGCCAAATGGCTGCGTCTCCCCCAGCTTCCGGGCCCCCATCTGCTGGGTAGACCCTCGGTAACTTGATCAACAAGGAGCCTGGCTGGCATCACGATCTCACCTCCTGATGGGGCCCCTGTCCTCTGGGGCGTGGCCAGGCTTGGTGTTTCATCACAGCAGCCCGAACGGAGACAGGAAGGCACCAAGAGGCATTGCTCAGCAATGAACAAAAACCTGCAGGTCATGGTCCAAGTCCCACACCTGAGTCAGCTCACAGGCTCGGAGCTCACTGACTGAAGGGGGAGTCAGGTTCACCTGAGGAAGGACCCCACACGTAGGCTGCAGGTCCCTTTGGTCGATGCTTCCCCAAAGGGACCTGCATGCGTGTGCTGGGAAGACTGCAGTGGTAACGGGAAAGAGCAGACCTTGGAAACTGTCCAGGCTCTGAGTCGCCGCTGAGCAGACAAGCAGAGCGGCACCTTGGGCTGTAGAGGGGTCTTATGAAAGCCACATGGCGCGTAGAGTTAGGCCCATGTCCGTCTCACAAGGGCCTATGGGTCTCCAGGTGTATAATTGGGATGGACAGAGCTGGCAGCTGGCAGAAACCATCACTGGTTCCTTAACCTGTGAAGTCAGAGCCACTGAATTAGGGACCATCAGTTGGAAGGCTCTGAACACCCCTCCCCATTCCTACCAAATTAGTAAATCCATCCTGCCTTCCTGGAGGAATCGCAGAGATCAGAGCCACTGTCAGAGGCTCAAAGGATGGTGAAATTCCAGTGCCCGCCAATTCCCATGTAATTCATGGAACTGGGCACTGCAGACACCAGGCTGTGATGGAAGGTGGCGGTGGGGTCCTGCAGCGTGACCAGGTAGTCTCTCCAGTCACAGCCGCTGTGACAAATAGCGTCTTTACCAGAACAGATCAGCACAGCTGCCGATTCAGCAACTGCACTCTTCTCCACACCCTATCCATGGAGAGAAGACAGTTTGTGTTGACTTGGCGAGGACTGCAGTACACTTACTGCCTTGCCCACTGTGCTGTCAACACTGGCTTTACTATAAGGCCACAGGGTCACTACTGTGTCGATGATCTCATGCTGCCTGGACCTGGGAGAACCCAGGTGACCTAGGAATGCAGGTACCTGCCTCAGGCTGGGAGATATCGGAGGCCTGCCACATCATTGAAGCTTCTGGGGTTTCAGCATCTGAGCATGCCCTGATACACCCTATGAGGTAAAGGGCAAACCATACCCCACGCTCCATGCCATTCTGGGGAGCAGTGACTGGGGGACCTCTGGAGTTTGGACCCAGCATGCACTACACATGGGAAGACTGCTCCAACTCATTTCTGGGGAGCCTCTAAGGCTGGCGGTTTTGAATGGGGCCAAGAGCGGGGAAAAGCCTGCTGAGCCACTTCTGCAGCACAGACGCCTTGCCCGGCCTCATGGTGATGCAGATATGACTATGCTGAGACGTTGCTGTAACAGCACGGCCCACAGAGCTGCGGAGCCAGGCTCTCAGTTATCTCCCGTTTGAAAAATGGAGCTTGGGTGGTACTAGGCCCAGTCAAAATTGGGCGCCAGGATCCCTGCAGAGGCCACTGTCTCTGCGCGGGCTGCAGAACAAACCACCATAGACTGGGCAGCCTCACCACGTTGATTTCTCCCTGTGCTGGAGGCTAAGTCAGATCCGGGTGCCGGCACGGTTGGGTCGTCGGGAGGGCTCCTTCCTGGCCTGCAGCCAGCCACCTTCTCACCATGTCCTCCCATCGGGGAGAGGAAGCAAGTTCTCTTACAAAGACACGATCCCATCGTGAGGGCCCCACGCTGGTGACCTCATCCCCTCCCAGAGGCCATCACACTGGGAATTAGGGCCTTGGCATATTAATTTGGGGGGATATGAACCTGCAGCCCAGAACAGATGCCGACTCAGCTAAGCAGCCCGTGGAATGCTGTCATGAGATGGGTGAGTTGCAGGCTGGGGTGGACACGATACCTTAGGGACAGCACCGAGCAGGTTCAGAAAGTGAAGTAAAATGCAGGAAGCAGGTGGCTCTGACCGTGTCCATCGCACTGCCCCACCCACACCCAGCCACATGCAGCAGCCGGCCCCTGGGGGAGCATGGGGACGCTCCTGTCCTTGCTACATGAACTGTGGCCCTGGCTGTCTCGTCCTATGCGAGGAAGGCCCAGTGGGAAGCTGTGGAGGACACGCCTCTGCACACAACGGCTGCACACAGGGCACGCAGTCATCCTTTCAGTTGGAAGGAGGATGAGCAAAAGCCTGTGTCTTTGTGTCTGCGTTAATGCCCCCCAGAGAGAAAGCCCCCGACCCCGGGGTGAGCAGAGTGGTCTGTCTGGGGCTGTTGGCCAGAGTCGGTTTGTGCAATGGGTGTAGGAACACACGGGCCACTGCGGTGGGGTCGTGTGTGGCCCCCCAGCTCAGCATCGTGGGCTCCCTGGCACCAAGCCTGGCCTTGCTAAGACCACACCGAGTGTCCAGCCTGCCGGTAACAGAGAGCCTTGTGGCTCCTTCAGTTTGGCATCATTTCCTGGGAAGACCAGCCCAGTACCAGTCAGATTGGTATTGGGCAGGAAACGGTGCTCCCCGCCAGGCCCCTGCGGCCCTGTTTGAGCAGTGCGCACTCGGGTGGGAAGCCAGTGGCTCCGTCAGCTCCCTGCTCCCATCTGCTCTTTCAAGGGGCCTTGAGAAGAACTGACCGTTGGAGCAGGGCGGTGAACTCAGCATCCCCAGCTGCTGTGGGGAGGGACGCACGTGTGCTGCTGTGGACGCGGAGGCCTCTGGTGGCTGAAAACACCATCATGCTCCCAGGGGTCCCCCGGTGCCTACCTGACCTCCCGGGCCTGCGTCCGATGGCTTCTGCTGTTTCTAACAAAAATGCACCAAGTTCTGGGCTCCTGGTTAGAAAGTGGCAGAGCTAGGGCAGGAAACGGAAAGTCCATGCTCTTTGGTTTTCTGTCAGCTGTCAAATCAGAGCTACGAGCTGCCTCCTCCATCTGCAGAGTGAGGGTGACAGGGACGACGCAAGGCACGTGTCCCCTCGGGTGCGCTGGCCGCTGCAGCCCCTTCCCCATGATCAGTGCATTTCTGAGCACGGCCCTAGTGATGCGAGGTGTCATTCACTCCTATCTTGCACACGAGGACACCACGGCTCCGTGTGTGGGAGTCTCGCCACGGGCTACTTGGCCAGGGGCGGTAGGAGCTGCTCTCCTGCTGGGTGGAGCAGCCTGGCTCTGTGGCACGTGGCCGCCCTCATTACCAGAATTGACCCGAGTCAGGATGACAGGGTTGGGATTACAGAGTAAAGGGGCAGTGAGACAGGCCCTGGAAAGCTGTAGGCTCAGCCAGGGCCCATAACCGCACGGCCTGGAGCCCGGCCTGGACACGCAGCAAACAAACAAAAGGGCTGGAAGCAGAAACCAAACAAAAGCTGCCCACAGGAATCCGTGCCCTGGTGCCATCCGGGGGCTCTTCCCTCCGGCGTATTGTAAACGGTGGTGACAAAGCCCGGCTTGCTGGCTGGAAAGCTGCCCTCCAGTCCCAAAGAGCCGGCAGCCTCTGAGATCCAGAGGGTTCTGTACATTCCGGTTCTAAGCGGGCACCCTGTGTAGATGGCACATGGCCAAGGGTGGCAGAACCGCCTTTTCCAAGGATAAAGAAGAGACGGGGCCATTTTGCAGGCTTCTAGAATGATGCTTGACCATCGATGACAAAAGCCTAGAGCTCTGTGGTGGAGGTAGGGGTGTGTGGAGGGCGCTGGGGTAGGGCAGGCCTGCGATGCGGAGGAGGCACCTGTGTGTGCCGTTGGCCCCCAGTCTCTGTCCTGCCCTGCTGGGCCTCTGGGACAGGGTCTTTGGACACAGTGCTGGAGGCAGGCTCAAATGCCATGGTGCAAGAATCAGGGTGACCCAGAAGGCACCTTTCCCCTCGACACCCACAGGCTTGCCCAGAGTCCAACCCCTTGGATTGTGGGTGCGAGGCACAGGCTCAAGAAGCAAAGTGGAGAGAAAGTAAAGTGGGGGCTACTCTTGTTAGCAATGAGGGGCTTGCGTTTATTTTCTTCTGCTCATGAAAAAAATAATTGCTTTTTTGGTGCTAACATACAAGAGTCCCGTTCCATCTCCAGTTCAGTGGGTCTCACCCAGGGCAATTTCCACCTTCCACCACCCCCTAGGAGACATTCGGCAATGTTGGGAGACACCTTGGTGGTCAATACAGGGAGAGGTCAGGGAAAGGGTGGGCGCCAGGCTTCCACGTGCAGAGACCACGGACACCCCAAGCATCCTGCAGTGCCCGAACAGCCCCAGACGCCGATGGCACAGAGGCTGGAAGACCCTGGTCGGTCGGTTAAGTAAGGGACGATTCATCTTCACCATCTTCCACCCAATCAAAAATCAACGGCTTGGTTTCCCTTTTGTTGCCAGCATGTGGGGTCCTGGTCTGGTCTCTAACGTCCCCCCTGTTCTCACTGTGCCTGTCTCATTTCGGCACTGTTGGTCTATTTTGAATTTTTAAAAGTTTCTTCTTTAGGTCATGAAATGGAATTCTCATACAGGCTAGCAGGAGTTAGCAGTGCCAATTAGCCCATATGTGAACACTCTTCCATTCATTCATCTCTAAGCCAAACCCAACAGTACATTCACAGCCTAAAGGGATCTGGATCCATACTCAGCCGAGACAGAAAGAACAATTTCTGGTGGCAGGAGACATTTTAGTTTACCTTATTTTGAGCAAATTCAACATATGTACATCTGGCTCGCACAAGCAGTAAATTTGGGCTTGGTTTTTCACATATTCAAAGTTTACAACAGACCCCTCTTGATTTTCTGGAGGAGGTGCAGGCTTTAGATGGGAACTCTTCACCCAGGTTCCAGGATCTGTGGGTCCACGGTTGCCCACCGGGTTGTGAGCTCCAGGGACAGGCGTGCCCACGGCTGCCTCCCCGTGTGACCAGAATCACTCAATGCTGCTGTCCTGGGGCCCGAAGATCGCGTTTGCCATTCTGGAACTTTTATTCATCTCGCTTTTCAGAAACACAAATGACGGATGAAGCACACAGGCCCTGAAACCCAAACGTTAACTTGGACTTAGAGCTGCTTGAGCTAGTTACTTCACATCTGTTTCAACGGAGCCAGTAGGAGCTGCCTCACACAGCTAGTAGGAGATGTGAATGAATCAGGCATGGGAAGGTGTCTGCGTGTCACCCATGGTCGGTAGGTAGGAGCTCTTACGTAGTAACAGTTTCCCCCAAACTCCATCTCAGTCATGCATCCCTATGGGCCGCGATTGCTTCGATTATCCCATAATTTCCTCACTCCTGACTTAGATGGTTTCGATTTTTCAACAAACGTGTACTGCTTGCTTGCAGTGGGTCGGCTCTGAGCAGCGGTTGGAGCTTGGAGGGGAGCAGGGCCTGCTGGGCCCTGACCCGAGATGCAGTCCCGTCCGTGGTGTTCTGCTTCCTCCCTAACACCTCTCTGCAGTGTCCTGCGGCTGGGCAGCGGCCCCCTCATGGATGTCCATGTCCTCATTCCTGGATACAGTGGATATGTGGCCTTATGTGGCAAAGGGACTTTGCAGGTGCGGCTGAGCTCAGGATCCTGAAATGAATAGATGACCCTGGACTATCTGGGCTGGCCCAGCCTGATCAGAGGGGTCTGTTTAAGAAGGAGGCAGAGACGGAGAAGGAGATGTGAAAATGGAAGCAGAGGAGAAAGAGACACAATCCTCCAGGCCAGACAGAGCCACCTGCCTGCCACCGCTCACCTTCCTCAGCATGTGCTTTGGTTCAAGAGTTACCTGAGAGCTGTCCATTCCAACAGGCGCCCCCAACACTGCCCACCACCGCTCCAGGTCTGTGGTTCCCTAGGATCCAGAGTCCCTTTCCTGTCTCAGCTCTGTCTGGTGGGACCCCGGTACGGCAGGCGACTTCTCTGGAGACTCTCTGGTGTGTTAAAATTTGGACACAGGAGTTCTGATCGCAGCAGGGTCCTGCTGGAAGGTGCAGAGGCCAAAGCAGTTTGAGGATTGCAGGTCCTTTCCAGCAAAGAACCCACTGAAGCTGGGGACTGCTGAGCAGCTGGGGCTGCCCAGAAGGAGGGCAAAGCCATCTGAGGAAACGCCCAGGGCAGAAGGTCCTGCCAACCCCCCTCTGACCCGGTCTCCTCCGAGTCCTCTCCTCTGTGGCTCCCAGAGCTCCCTGCAGGCTCCCGCCTGGGATGCCAGGAACAGGGGCTCTCAGGATGGTGTGGGGGCTTCAGGGCTGCAGGGACCACAGAGCCAGGTGGAGCTGGGAGAGGCTCTGTGGTCAGCCCCCACTCTCCTCACTTCCCACGCCTCCTGCTGCAGAAGACACCCTTGGAGCTGGGGGAGGGGCAGCCGGGGAGGAAGGTCGGGTCTGACCACTCCCTGTGACCCAGCCCCATGCAGCTGCACAGGCGGCTGACCTACCTCCCAGGGCGCCCGAGCAGAAGCTCTGCAGCTGATCAGTGTCCCGCACCCTCCTAAGTACACAACCCCGTGCATCCCCACATCCCGAAAGGCCTGGGTGTTACACAGGGAGGCCATCCGAGTTTCACTGTTAGTGTTTTTTAAAGTGATTTCCTGGCACCCTACAAACAGTAGCATTTTAATCCCAGACAGCAGCCGGAAGGAGCGATTCGTCATCCTGGTCAGAAGACATCGAGGTCTATTTGGCTGAGCACTTAGATATCCTCTTATATTGATGGAAATAGTTTAGAGCCATTTTCAAACATTTATACCCCACAAGTACTTTTTCCCAAGTGTATTGCCTAATTCGGCCGGAAGACTTTGTTTGGAAAAACCGAGTCTGGGAAGCACTCCAGCTGCGCCCACCTGGCACGGTGAGGCCTTTGCCAGGACACGGATTCGCATTGCGTTTCTCCGGGACCAGCCAATTGCTCAGTCATTACCCGGTGACCCTTAGCTATGCAGCTCAAAGTGTGACAATTGTGGGCCATGAACCCTCCAGGAAGGACCAACATCGCCACCAGTACTAAAACTAAAACCAGTGTTTAGAAAGTTGTGTACCAGTTTGACAGCGTGATTTTGCACCTGTTTAACCTAAGGTAATGGTTTTGTATTTTGTATGTCTTTTACAATTTTTATTTGTATTGCAAATTGAAATGCTGTCTGTCTATAAAGGATTGAAAACTTTAAAATCATAAACTGACATGTCACTCCCAATAGCGTGGAAAGCCCTGCCTGTATGGAAGAGACACAAAACCCTGGAATGAGCGTCCTGGCACTGCTGTGACACAGTACCACACGCGGGGGGATGGGGGAAGGGGTGCTGAAAACCACAGAGGTGGATTCTCCGCAGTTCTGGAGGCCAGACACTGACGATCAAGACGTCAGCAGGGCCACGCTCCCTCAAAGGATCTGGGGAGCAGGCTTCCCATCTCTTCCAGCTGCCAGTGTGGACAGGAACCCTCCCCACTTTCTGTGGCTGGCAGGTCATCGCTGCAATCCCCGCCTACCCGCACCCCCCTCCTCCCTGGGCACCCCCACATCATCTTCTTTCTGTGTGTGTCTCTGTGTCTGAATTTCCACTTCTTTCCACTCATGCTGGATGAGGGCCTGCCCTAACGAACTCACACTAACGCAATCACCTCTAAAAAAGCCTCTTTCCAAATACAGTCACCTTCCAAGGGACGAGGCTTAGGTCTTCAACGGATGTTGTTCTTCAGGACACGATTCAACCCTTAACAATCTTTAAACTGTGGCTCACAATAATGTGTTATTTGGCAGATGGTCCTACTGGATTTATACGTTTGAGGATGTATTACTTATACCTATTCTAAGTAACTAGTGGCTTGAAAATGAAATCTGTTTGCAGTCACTGTATTACCAGCAGTGGGATCAGGAACACCACAGATACACTTTTACTCGGGTTTTTGTCTTGTTGAGCCTTGCACAGCATCAAAGCTATGGCTAATACTCTTTTCTAGTGATAGCAGCATGGTTTAGAACTGATTTATGTGACAACAGGACACACCCTTGCGGAGGTCCTGCCTCGCTGGCAGGATGGCCAACCCTGGCCGCATCCCAGTTCCTGGGCTGTACCAGCCACAGGCCACCTCCTGCTGCTGACGTCGAACTCGGGGTTCCTGCCATCTCGGGCGACCCAGACAAGTTCAAGAGGATGCACGCTGGGACATTTACACTCTAAGGATAACTTTCAAATCATAGCACGAAATATTTTCAGGATTGGTATGGAAACCCATGGGGTGAAATTAAGCTATAGGAGGTGCTGGGATGCCAGTTTTAGTTATTTTTAGCATACAGATTCCTGCTGTACGAAGCACGTCCTGTAGCACAGACCTGCTCACCCCTCTGGACAGCAGTTCTCCTTGGCGACTGCTGTAAACAAGGGCCCTGAGTTAGGATCTGAGCCCTAGCTCCGCCTCACGGAAAAGGCGTGCCCCTGAATGAGTTAGGCAGACCTCTTCGAATGTTAAGTTTCCTCAACTGAGAAATGGAAATAGTCGCTACCACCTGTTATTTTTGGAACCGTAGATAGACCACATATAGATATACCATGAATATTTATGTGGAAATTGTAGATAACTTGTTTTAACATTATTAAAAGATACCTTGAAAAAAATACATTTTGTATGTTTCAGATTTAAAACATCTATTTTACATGTTTCAGATTTAAAACATCTATTTTACTTGTTTCAGATTTAAAACATCTATTTTACATGTTTCAGATTTAAAACATCTATTTTACATGTTTCAGATTTAAAACATCTATTTTACATGTTTCAGATTTAAAACATCTATTTTACATGTTTCAGATTTAAAACATCTATTTTACATGTTTCAGATTTAAAACATCTATTTTACATGTTTCAGATTTAAAACATCTATTTTACATGTTTCAGATTTAAAACATCTATTTTACATGTTTCAGATTTAAAACATCTATTTTACATGTTTCAGATTTAAAACATCTATTTTACATGTTTCAGATTTAAAACATCTATTTTACATGTTTCAGATTTAAAACATCTATTTTACATGTTTCAGATTTAAAACATCTATTTTACATGTTTCAGATTTAAAACATCTATTTTACATGTTTCAGATTTAAAACATCTATTTTACATGTTTCAGATTTAAAACATATATTTTATATGTTTTAGATTTAAAACATAAATTTATATATAAAATATATATTTATAAATTTATATATAAAATATATATTTATAAATTTATATATAAAATATATATTTATAAATTTATATATAAAATACATATTTATAAATTTATATAAAATCTATATTTATAAATTTATATATAAAATCTGTATTTATAAATTTTATATGGAAAATGTATATTTATAAATTTTATATGGAAAATGTATATTTATAAATTTTATATGGAAAATGTATATTTATAAATTTTATATGGAAAATGTATATTTATAAATATATTATATATTATATATAATAAAATATATATAAAATATATTTTTATATTATGTAATATATATTTTTATATTTTATATATAAATATATATTTTATATTTTATATATAAATATATATTTTATATTTTATATATAATATATATTTATATATTTATATATTTATATATATTTATATATTTATAGATTTTATAAATAATAAAATCTATAAATCTATAAATCTATAAATCTATATAAATATATATAAATATATAAATATAAATATAACATAAAATTTATATTTAAAATACATAAATATATATATTTGAGACAGGGTCTCACTGTGTTGCTCCAGCTGGAGTGCAGTGGCGCAATCATGGCTCAGAGCAGCCTCAACCTCCCAGGCTCAAGCAATCCTCTCACTTCGGCCTCCTGAGTAGCTGGGACTACAGGTGCACGCCAGCACGCCCGGCTAATGTTTTGTATTTTTGTGGAGACAGGGTTTCTCCATGTTGCCCAGGCTGGTCTCCAACTCCTAGGCTCAGGCAATCTGCCCGCCTCAGCCTCCCAAAGTGCTGGGACCACAGATGTGAGTCACTGCCCCCGACCCTCAAAATATTTTAAATTGCAGCTAACTTGCTCTAACATTATTAATATATGCCTTGAAACTATTTTAAAGTAATGGTTGCCATCTTATTTCCTTTATTTTTCTGAAAAATGGTTACTAGGATTCCCCCTAATAAACGTACTGGCCATGTGGAGACAGCAGCGTTAATTCACTGGCAGAGCGTGTTGCCTGTGGGTAACCTGCAATCTGCTTGAGGGAACCACGTGCCCAGGCCCCTGCAGCCCCTGGGAGAGCCTGTCAGGGATGATGAGCAATGGGCATTTGGGCTCAACAGGCCTCACTCCTTCATTTAGTCAACAATTACCGAGCTTGGCTTCATGCCCTCACATTGCTGGGCCCAGGGGTACAAAACTAAAAAGCATGGCCTCCGTTTCCCTATTCGAATCAGGACAATTAGGGTATCATCTTAAACCTGGGACTGTCTGTAATTTAAAATTTGGGGTCCAGGCACGGTGGCTCACGCCTGTAATCCCAGCGCTTTGGGAGGCCGAGGTGGGTGGATCACCTCAGGTCAGGAGTTTGAGACCAGACTGACCAACGTGGTGAAACCCCATCTCTATTAAAAATAAAAAAAATTAGCCGGGCGTGGTGGCACACACCTGTAATCCCAACTACTCGGGAGTCTGAGGCAGGAGAATCACGTGAACCCGGAAGGTGGAGGTTGTAGTACGCTGAGATCACACCATTCCACTTCACACTGGGCAACAAGAGCGAAACTGTCTCAAAAAAATAAAATTTGGGGAATGACATGCTTAGCACATGGCCAATGCATGTTTGCTATCGATAGTCAATAGTGGACAATATCAAAGAGGACTTAGGAACACACTGTTTCCTTAATATGAGGGTCTCAGGCGCTGGCTGGTAACATAGGTGGAGAGACTGACATAAGGAAAGAGCTTCACAGTATTTAAGCAGCAGCTTGCGACAAAAACGCAATTGCACACAGTTCATCAGAGCTGAGGAAGCACTGAAGTAGGTAAGGTTCACCTAAGGGAGTGCCAGGGCCGGGTAAGGTTCACCTAAGGGAGTGCCAGGGCCGGGTAAGGTTCACCTAAGGGAGTGCCAAGGCCAAGACTACTTTTGTACAATATGCACAGAATTTTTTAATGAACCAGTGAGTGTTGTTTCAAAGCCAACACATATATTCTAATTATTTCTTCATGCCAAGAAGCTGGAAGTACTTTATAGCAATTGGCTCCATTCCTGACAGTTATTGGGATTTAACAGCTTTATTGGCTGGGGGAGGAACACATGAACTCCTAAGGGCTAATACAAGCATTTGGGAAATTATCTGTTGTCTGGCGTCAGCACTGGAACAGGGCAGCAGAGCTGGAGAGTAAGAAGCAGAGCTGGAGAGGAAGAAGTGTTTGCTAAGTCACCGCGCAGGAGGAGACAGAATCAGAGGTGACGAATGTAAGTCCACCCATTGGCTTAAGATCCAGTATCCTGAGTGAGTTGCACAGATCCTCTCCTTCAGTCCTCTCAGGTAGGTGCAGTGGTGTCTCCCTGGAGCACAGAGAGGCCAAGTATCTGGCTCCAAATCACAAGACTTGCAGAGGGTAAGGCTGGTGTCTAAGGTCCCATCAGTTGAACTCCAAAGCAGGCTGTCTAGAAATTGGGTTCAGAGACCTCCCAGCCTGGAACCCAGTTTGATGGAGTCCCGCATTCAGGGGCCAGTAAACCACTGTACCCTGGACAACTCCATAAGCTTCGGTTATATTTTTAGGGCGGTTTTGCATGTTGAAATATTTGCATGCTTCGAGTCTACCATGCATGATCAGGCTGTCCCTGACCAGGGGAAAATTTACATAGTAAAATAGTATTACCCTTGAAATAGATTTAAGATAGGTCCTCCTTTTTCTTGACAGTATTACAACCCAGTTCAATTTCAGGAACTCTAGAGGTCCCTGCAGTTATGAAGAACTAATTAAAGGCATGAAATGTTCCTCTGCAAGTTTCATTGACCATATTGGGCCTACAGTCCATTTCCAAATAAATATCTAAGGTAAGAAAAATATGGGACTCCCCACAGACTACTTATCTACCAGATGGTGTGGGGTTTGGATGGATGTTTTCAGTTACTTCAGCAATTTTTTCATTAATTCAGTATTTATTGAGAACCTAATGTATGCCAAGCTTGTAAAATGCAGTGGGGGGTATGACCTATTCCCAGGTCTCTGGACTCTGGCAGAATGGTAGAGAAGATGCTGTCGGGCTTGCATGTTCAGAACACCGTGTCTTAGGTGACCTCCCGGGCCTTTGGAGGCCCAACCCCAGGGTGGCGGGATAGCCAGGTGAGGCTTTGTTTGGCCTGTTCACGTTTCTCTGGAAAAGAATGGGGGTAGTTAGGCCAGGCGCGGTGGCTCATGCCTGTAATCCCAGCACTTTGGGAGGCCAAGACAGGTGGATCACTTGAGGTCAGGAGATCGAGACCAGCCTGGCCAATGTACAGTGAAACCCTGTCTCTACTAAAAATACAAAATTTAGCTGGGTGTGGTGGTGCATGCCTGTAGTCACAGCTACTTGGGAGGCTGAGGCAGGAGAATTGCTTGAACCCAGGACGCAGAGATCGCAGTGAGCCGAGATTGCACCACTGCATTCCAGCCTGGGCGACAGAGTGAGACTCCATCTCTAAAAAAAAACAAAAGAGAAAAAGAAGTATTATTCTGCAGCCGAAAGGAAGTAGAGATGCACTAAGAAGATCACAGTAGAGTTTGGAACATTTTTGGAGTAAACTGAACAAAATAAAAACGGAGCAGCATGGGAATTATTTTAGCTTCCACCAAAAGGGTCTGTTTCTGCTATAGTTAACGGAAGTTTTCAATTTTCAAAAAATCCCAGTAGCTCGCTGAGTTTCAGCCTCCTGTAATTCAAGTACTGACAGCAGGTACTACTCTTCTTGGCAACAGAGTGAAAAAGGTTTTAAAGATGTTCCCGGGGCGTTAGCTTTGGTGCTGGAGTTGTAACGGCTCATTATGTGTATACAGCATGGAACTGGCAAAGACTGTCACAAGCAAAAAGAACACAAAAAGAGAAAGTAAAGGCTCTGGCTCTCGGTACTTATGGAAATCTCATCGTCATTAATTTGCACAAAGCCATTAAAAATAGCATTTACCAGCAGGGGTCCAGCGTTAATTAGAACCCAGCCTGGGAGCAGCTGGAACTCTCGGCGCTCCTGGCTCAGTCCTCGCCGCCCTGAACCCGTCTGCACCGCAGGGCCCGAGTGGGAGGCAGAGGCCACATTTCTGGATATGAGCAAAAGCTCCGACATTTCGTCCACTCTCGTGTTGTGAACTTTAAAAAATTCTGGAATCTGTTGAGAATTTGGCAATAAGTTTTTAACCACTAAATATGTCAACAACGCATCGCCTCTACTTTTACCAAAAAATAGGCGCACGAAACTCCGCTGTTTGCGCCCGCGGACACCTGTCCCCGCCTCCTCGCAGGAAGCGGCCCCCGCGCGTGGGCGCGGGCTCGGGCTCGGGCTCGAGTGGCGACGTGGGCCGCGGTCCTGGAGGGGGAGAAGCGCCCGGCGGGCAGGCGCGGGGCAGGGAAGCCCCGGGGAACCCACAGCCCCTCCGCAGACCCAGCCAGGGGGCGCGCGCCCGAAAACGCCCCGTGTGCACGCGCCCGCCCCCCTCCCCGCGCCCCGCGCGCGCCCCTCGCAGCCTGGAGCCGGAGCGCTGGCTCCGCGCGGCCTGGAGAGGCGGAGAGGCCTGTCCACCGCCCCCTCTGCCGCCCACGCCCCGCTGCGGGTCGGAGGAGCAGCTCCCGCTCGCAGGTGCTCGGAGAGGCCGGGCCGCGGCTCCCACAGGTGCCGGGAAGCGGCCGCGCGCATGCGCCGGAGCCCACCCGCCTGGCTGCGCGTCCCGGGCCCGGCGGCTGAAGAGGAGCCGCGGCGAGGTAGGGCGGACCCCGGGGAGGCAGCGGCGGGGCCTGGCGGGCGGAGCGGGAAGCAGCCCGAGGCGCGGGTCGGAGGGGGCGGCGGGTGGGAGGTGGTCGGCGAGAGCGGCAGTAGGCGGGAGGGGAGAAAAGGGGAGGCCGGCAGGGGAGAGGCGGGGAGGGGAGGCCGGCAGGGGAGGGAGGGGAGCGGAGCGGAGGGGAGGGGAGGGGGGACCGGGAGAGGAGGGGGCAGCGCTGCCCGCGGCGGGGTGGGCGGCGGTGGGTGGTCTCCGCTCCGCCTCCGGGAGGCCGCGTGGGGGGCGTGGGGGCCTCCTCGCGGGGTCTCCACAGGCCCTCCCCCGGGACGCGGCAACCCCGGCCGGAAGACAATGAGCCGCCCGCGCCGCGCCCGCAGTCACCGCCCCCGCCGAGGGTCCCGCCGCCCCAGCCGGCACGGAAGCAGGAGCAGAAGCCGAAGCCAAGCGCGCGGGGCCAGGGCGGGGGCTCCTCCCGGGGTTGCTCCGCTTGGCTCTCGGCGGTCGCGGGGATCGGCTGTCCGGAGCGAACGGGGGTCTCTCCTGGACTCGGGGCCCTGGGGAGGGGAGCGCGGCCCTTGGTCCTCCGCCGCTGCGCCCGGGGTGCGGGGGTGTCCTGGCTGCTGACCCCCGCGAGCCCCGAGCACCGCGACCCACCCGCCCCACCGCGCCGCGGCTCCCGAGTCCTGCCGGGCGCCCCTTGCAGCCCCCGCCCCATGTGCTGGGGAGACCCCCGGGCGGTCTGGGCGGGATTCCGCAGGGGTCCCTCCTCTCAGGCGGGGCTCATTCTGGAGCATGAAAAGAGGGTGAACCAAAGTCCCTCCACCTCTTTAGAGTCCTACAAAACCACGTTTCCCCCTCCACCCACTCCAGTGTCTATTCTAAGGAAAAGAAAAGGAACAAATCAGTGCAGCGAGCTTTATTCTACTCAGCCCACGAAAGGCGCCGCCGTCAGATTTTAAAGTTCCAGCCATCCCCTCAGGCCCTGAGTGAGAAGTTCGCCCGATTCCCCGCGGTTCCCGCCTCCATTTCCCACTAAGGAGCAGTTACTCAGGCTCCAATTAGGACCCCTTAATGGATGTCAATGGAACCCTTCAGCCTTTTATCCTGAGCTAATAGTGTGCTATTATTAGAATAATCCTCCCCATTCCTGACATCACGGAAGGGAGCGTTCCATTGCCTTCAGATTTGCTCCAGCAACAACCTCGTGTGTGCAGATTTATGGTAACTGGCATTGCAATGCTCCCATCAGGGCATAACTAAGTAAAAATTGTAATGAGGTAAAGCCTTTGAACTTTCCATGTCAGTTGCACAGGCATTGCTGGCCATAGCATTGGACAGCACATAATAAAATCAGTTAAAAGATGTTGCTTACATTATAGTGATGTGTAGCACAGCCACGTTCGGATCAATTACAGACCGCCAAGTTGACGGTGGTCCTGTAAGATTATAAAACTGTTTTCCCTGTGTCTTTTTCATGCTTAGAAATGTGTAGATACACAAACACCATTGTGTTACAATTGCCTGCGGTATTGTGCACGCTGCACAGGTGTGCAGTCTGGAGCAGGAGTCTGTGCAGTGGAGCACAGGTGTGTAGCAGGCTGCACCGCCTAGGTGTGTAGGTGCCCTGTGTGATGTTTGCACAGTGATGAAGTTATCTAACTATCATTTCTCAGAACCTGTCTGCATCTGAACCATTCGTGACTGTATTTAAGCCAGCATTGGGCTTGGGAGGAGGGGAGAAAGCTTAAATGTTGTGGCTCTGAGACTAAAGAAATTCCCAGGGAGCAGGACTCTGTGTTGACTGATGTCTGGGCCTAACTTGAACCTCAGAGCACCTTGCTCTGGGTGGATGGAAGAATCCGGAAAGGTGGTTTGGAGCTTATCGCATCATTTGTAAACTCCAATACAAACCCGCTTCAATGGGGTTTCCATATGTTCCGGTACAGGTAGCAACCTTGGCAGTGGGAGCCCAGCAGGTCCCGTCTTTGTCCCTGTGCTGATACAGAGAGACTCTCCGTGCTGTGGACGCCTCCATCTGGGCACATGTTTCAGTTGTTTTCTAAATACCAAGAGCACAGATTGCTCAGTAATAATAGCTCTCCTGCAAATCTGGAATCACTTAGGCAGCTGCAGTGCCTCTAAGCCTCCTTGCATCCAAGGCTGTGATCAAGGAGGACTGGTGTCTGAGTGGGCTTGAGAAGGGCCCGGAGAACAGCGGGTTTCCTGATCACAAATCAGCCTGTCATTCAGCATGTGTTCCCTTGGTGACTCAGGGCGATATCTGCCCTTCTCCGGAGGTCAAGGGCTCATCGTGTCAATTGTGGTCTTGAGTTTGTTTTTTTTTTCCTCTTGAAATCATTGTAATTAAGCTAAAAGTATAGTGTTGGTATCCAGCACATGTTTGCAAAGTATTTAACAATGAGCAAAAACTTTAAGAATAAATTAAAGCATCTAGTTTACTTTTTGCCAACAGCCAGGTTCCTGCTAGAAATGATTTTGAAATAAATGTTGTCTTGGAAATAGAAACCGTTGCATGTCTTATGTGCATTTTGTTTGAAGGATTAGCATGAATTTCCTTCTCTTCTGAATATTTGTGGAGTTCCCCTGCTCCCCCACCCCCCACCCTGCTGTGGGTCAGGCTCAGTCCTAGGTGCTGGGAATACAGTTGTAAGTAAAGTCAGCCTAGTTCTCTGCTATCTGCAGCTGAGACGTTAATACAGTGAAAGGCATTCAGCATATAATTACGTTAATTCTTAGGTAATAACACACGGAGATGAGTGCGTTGAAGGAGAGGAATACATTCCCTTGAATGCACGTAACAGAGGAATGTTAGGCCGAGAACTAAGGGATGAGAGGGGTGGCTCAGGAGCCCAGGAGGGGACAGTTTGCGGGAACATTGTGTGCAAAGGCCCTGTGGTGAGGACTAGAGCACGGAGAGGTCAGTGAGGGGCGCTGGAGCAGGGTGTAGTAAAAGTGTAATGTCAGCCGATTTTATGGCTGAGTTAAATTGATGGAGCTTCACACTTTAGAGCAAGGTCCTCCAACCCATGGGCCACGAGCCACATGTGGCCCAGGACAGCTTTGAATGAGGCCCAACACAGATTTGTAAACTTTCTTAAAACATTATGAGTTTTTTTTTTTTTTAAGCTCATCATCTATCATTAGTGTTAGTCTATTTTATGTGTGACCCAAGACAATTCTTCCAGTGTGGCCCACGGAAGCCAAAAGATTGGAGACCCCTGCTTTAGAGCTTGACTGAGTTTCATATGGATTAATTTTGTAGCATGGAGACTTCCCGAGTCCTAAAGTGAAATCATTAAATAGGAAGATGCACATAGAATGTTTTGTAAATGAAAAACCACGGTGCCGATGTTAGCTGGTATTGTTACTGTTTTATTAGAAAGGTGTAGAGTCGTGGGGACATACATATGGGTGTGGTTCTATGAAGTGTACCATCTTTGTCCTGGCCACCTCCATCTCATGCTTGGACTCCTGCAGTAGTCTCTGGAGAGGCTCTGCACATCCTCTCTTTGAACAGGTCCTCCTGCAGTAGTCAGAACAATGATTTTTATTATTATTATTATATTTTGAGATGGAGTCTGGCTCTGTCATCCAGGCTGGAATCCAGTGGCACCAT
Organism: Homo sapiens; assembly: GCF_000001405.40. NCBI lineage: Eukaryota > Metazoa > Chordata > Mammalia > Primates > Hominidae > Homo > Homo sapiens. The sequence continues at coordinate 160,966 of NT_187576.1, forward strand.
GTCAGCTCACGGCAACCTCCGCCTCCAGGGTTCAAGCAATTCTCATGTCTCAGTCTCTCGAGTAGCTGGGATTACAGGCGCCCTCCAGCACACCCAACTTATTTATTTATTTTTTTTTGTAGTTTTAGTAGAGATGGGGTCTCAGCATGTTAGCCAGGCTGGTCTCGAACTCCTGGCCTCAAGTGATCTTCCTGCCTTGGCCTCCCAAAGTGCTGGGATTACAGGCATGAACCACCACTCCCAGCTCAGAGCAATTATTTTTTAAAATTCTTACAATAGTGGGCCTTTCATAGCTTCCCATTCCTGCAAGATGCAGTTCACAGTTCTGAATATTCGTATCACGACCCTTGTTCCAATATCATGGTGGTTCAATAAGCCATGCACAGCTTAGTGGCTTAAAACAATAGCATTTATTTATATTTTAAGTTGCAGGGTACATGTGCGGGAGGTGCAGTTTTGTTACATAGGTAAACGTGTGCCATGGTGGTTTGTTGCACCTGTCAACCCATCACCTAGGTATTAAGCCCAGCAGGCATTAGCTCTTTATCCTGATGCTCTCCCTCCGCCGCCCTCTACAGGCCCCAGTGTGTGTTGTTCCCCTCCCTGAGTCCATGTGTTCTCATCATTCAGCTCCCACTTATAAGTGAGAACGTGGTGTTTGGTTTTCTGTTCCTGTATTCGTAGCAATAGCATTCATTTTGCTTAAAAGTCTGCAGTCTCGCTGGGCACAGCTCACCTTGGTGCCACTCAGCACCAGATGCGGAGCTTGAAGGCCAAGGGCTGGAACCATGGAGGCCACTGACTTGCTGCCTGAGGCTTGCGCCAGGAGGATTCACACACTGGGGGCTGGCGCAGCAGGGGCCCCTCGGGGACCTTCCCCTGTCACTGTGTGACCGTCCATGTACTCGCTGCAGCGTGGCAGCCTTGATGCAGTGGACTCCCTGTGTGTTGAGTCAGGGTCACCACGGACTGTGACCTGAGAAAACAGCCAGGTGGAACCGGGTCACCTTTCTCACGAGGCGGGGAGGTCATGTTGTGTTGCTTCCCCCTCAGTCCCTGGCCTGCCACGTAGAAGGGGAGGGAACGGGGTCTCAACTGTGAGCGCAGGGGAATCTCACTGGGCGGGATGGGCGTGCCGAGCAGGGTTCATCCATGCGGCATGTTTGGAAAATAGAATCTGCTCTTTCCACTAAGGTCATGTCCCTTCCACATAAAAAAGGCTACGGCGATCCCCAAGTCTCATCCTGTTGTGGCATCAAGACTTGGGCTCCAGGAAGTCATCATGGAAGTCAGGTGTGAAAGTGCCTCCCTGGGTTCCAGTCCTTCCTCTAATGCAAAGGCTGGTGTTCCAAAGCAATGAGAGACCCACCCCCAGCCCACAGTGCACAGCCCTGGGCAGGCACAGGAGAACTGCTGTAGGCCCTCGTGCTGGTCAGGGTTCTCCAGGGAAACACAACCAACTGGGTACATGTGTGTGCATGTGTGTGCATGTGTCTGCACGTGTGAGAGGGATTAGAGAGCAAGATTGAAGGACCTGGCTCATCCGATGGTGGTGGGGCAAGTCTGAGATCTGCAGGGCAGGCCGGCAGGCTGGATAGCCAGGGAAGTGCTGGCATTGCAGTCCCTCCTCCTCGGGAACCTCCGCCTTTTTAAGGCTTTGACTGATTGGACGAGGCCCACCCATATTGTGAATAGAAACATGCTTTACTCAAAATCTTCCCATGTAAATGTTAATCATGTCTTTAAAAAACACCCTTAGGCCAGGTGCAGTGGCTCACGCCTGTAATCCCAGCACTTTGGGAGGCCGAGGTAGGCAGATCACTTGAGGTCAGGAGTTTGAGACCAGCCTGGCCAACATGGTGAAACCCCGTCTCTACTAAAAACACAAAAATTAGCCAGGTGTGGTGGCACGCACTTGTGATCCCAGCTACTTGGGAGGCTGAGGCATGGGAATTGCATGACCCAGGGGGCGGAGGTTGCAGTGAGCCGAGATTGCGCCACTGCACTCCAGCCTGGGCTACAGAGTGAGACTCTGTCTCAAAACAAAACCCTTCATAGTGACATTTGGACTGTGATTGACTAAATATCTGGGTACTGTGGCCTAGCCAAGGGGACACATAAAAGTACCTATCATAACCTTCCTGTTCAGAAAGGGAGAAGTGTGTGGCAGACAGGGGTGTGTGGCCCACGCGGTCCTGAAGTGCAGCTGGGTGCAGGTTGGCAGCCTCGGGACAGGGCTCGGGCCTCATCCCGCGTGGCTTCCACACTCCTGGCTGCACCCTCTGGGCTCTTGGATCTCTTTGGGGAGTCCCTCTTCCTTTCCATGGAGAGGCCTCTGTTTGCAGCTGAGAGGTTTTCTTGCATCCTGCCCAGAGTACTTTGGGAGTGCAGTGCCCAGTCTCACTTTGTGCTGAATCTTTTCCCTGTAGCCTGAGCTGGCAGTATTTCATCTGTACAATTACCTGAAAGTGCTGTGGGGTTTTGTTTTCTATGAATCTCTTGGGATTTGTAGAATCCCCTGTCTAAGTATGACATCTTATTAGATGGGATTTGATATTTTGAGGACAAATATTGAGATAAGAAGATAGAGGCCCAGTCTGTGTGCCAGCCTAAATGATGTGAAATACTGATAATCAAACTTTTTTTTTTTTTTTTTGAGATGGGGTCTTGCTCTGTCACCAGGCTGGAGTGCAGTGGCGCAATCTCAGCTCACTGCAAGCTCCGCCTCCTGGGTTCAAGCATTTCTCCTGCCTCACCCTCCGGAGTAGCTGGGATTACAAGCATGCATCACCACGCCTGGCTAATTTTTGTATTTTTAGTACAGATGGGGTTTCACCATGTTGGCCAGGATGGTCCCAATCTCTTGACCTCATGATCTGCCTGCCTCGGCCTCCCAAAGTGCAGGGATTACAGATGTGAGCCACCACACCCAGCCTTTAATCAAAACTTTTAAAATGAGCTCCATGAAGCTACAGCCTCTGCCTCCACACTGCAGGCAGCTTCCGTGGGGGATGCCACGTGCTTCTGCATCGGGCTGTGGCATGGCCGGGTTGTGGTTTGTGGTGGCAGCGTGTGCTGAGAAGTGCTTGTCCCTGCCCTGGAGCCTCCGCCAGCTGGAGGTGGCACCACGCAGCCGCCAGGGCAGGGGCAGGGCAGGGGCAGCATGTTTCCTACTGGTTCTGTTAACTGTCTTTTCTGAGAGAGTGCCAGCGAGAGCAGATGAATGCCTTACCGTTTTCGGCACGACTTTAACAATCTGCTCAAGCTGAATGACCACAGAAAGCCTGCCTGCTTGTTGCATGGGCTGAGTTTCCCGCAGTTTCATGGGATTTGTGGAAATCTTTGCGAATGGTTGGATCACAGACTTCTTCTCAGCTTGTTTCATATGTCTGGCATTGCAACAGGGCAAAATAGTAACAAGGGCAGTAGGATCTCAGCGTCTGGTTTCTAATTTTAGCGCCAACACTAATTGGCTGTGTGACCCTGAGCCTGTCAGTGAATTTCATAGCAGAAACCTAACAGGCCAAGAGAGAGTAGGGTGATCTATTCGAAGTGCTGAAGGAAATAAAAACTTGCCAACCAAGATTTCTGTACCCAGAAAGGCTGTCATTTAGAAATGAAGGGGAGAGAAAGACTTTGCCAAGCAAACATCAGCTGAGGGAGTTCACCACCACCAGACCTGTCTTATAAGAAATGCTTAAGGGAATTCTTCTAGCTGAAAGAAAAGGACACTAATTAGTAACATGAAAACATTGAAAAGTGTAAAATTCACTGGTAAATGTAAGTACACGGTTGAATTCACAATACTCTAACACTGTAACGATGGTATGTAAATTAACTACATCTTCAGTATGAAGGCTAAAAGACAAAACTATTAAAACAGTAAAAGATACTGTGATGGTTAATTTCAAGGTGTCAACTTGAGTAGATTAAGGGACACCCCAATAGCTCGTAAAGTATTATTTCTGGAAGTGTCTGTGAGGGTGTTCCTGGAAGAGATTGGCATTTGAACCAGTGTGAGGAAGATTTGCCCTCAGTACCGTCCAATTGTCTGAGAGCCCAGATAGAAGAAAATGGCAGAAGAAGGGCAAATTCTTTCTCTGCCTCTCCCACTCTCCCCTGTCCTGGAGCTGGGACACCGTCTTCTTCTGCCCTTGGACATAAAAGCTCAAGGTTCTCCAGCCTTTGGACTCTGGGACTTGCATCAGTGGTCCCCTGGGTTGTCAGGCCTTCAGCTTTGGACTGAGTTATTCTATTCGCTTCCCTGGTTCTGAGGCCTCTGACAATAAACTGAGCCATGCCACTGGCTTCTCTGGTTCTCCAGCTTGCAGATAGCCTGTTGTGGGATTCTCAGCCTCAATAACTGTGTGAGCCAGTTCCCCTAGCAAATCCCCTCTCATCTACCGGTCTATCTAGCCTTTCTGTTGGTTCTGCTTCTCTGGAGAACCCTGGTTAATACAGCTATGGTAATATGTTAAGGGATATACAGCACAAAAAGCTGTCATTTGTGACATCAAAAACATAAAATGGGTGGGGGGCAGGAGTTAAAAGTATAGAGTTATTTTATTGAATCAGTTAAATCGTCAGCTTAAAATAGACTGTTACAACTATAAGGTATTTTATGTAAGCCTCATGGTGACCACAAAGCAAAAACCTACAGTAGGTACACAAAAGGTAGAAAGTCAAGAATCAAAGCATACCACAAGAGAAAGTCTAATCATAAAGGAAGACAGCAAGAGAGGAAGAAAGGAACAAAAGACCTACAAAACAACCAGAAAACAATTAAGAAAATGGGAATAGTAAGTTCTTACCTATCATAATTACCTTGAACATAAATGCATTCAGTTCTCCAATCAAGAGACATAGAGTGCATGAATGGGTTAAAAAAACATATAAGACCCCACTATATGCTGCCTACAAGAGACCCACTGGCCTTTGAGGAAACACAGGTTGAGAGTGAAGGGATGGGAACAGATACTCCACGCAAATTGAAAGCATTAGAGAGCAGAGGGAGCTATGCTTATATAAGATAAAATCCACTTCAAGTTAAAACTGTCAAGCAGCACTCAGAAGCTTTGTACAATGCAAGCAGCATTTTATAATGCCAAAGGGGCCAATTCATCAGAAGTAAACTTTTAGTATGAGTTGCTGAGCACTTTTTTTTTTTTTTTTAGACAGGATCTCACTGTGTCACCCAGGCTGGAGTGCAGTGGTGTGATCTCAGCTCACTGCAACTTCCACCTCCCAGGTTTAAGCCTCCTGAGTAGCTGGGATTATAGGCACACACCACCATGCCCAACTAATTTTTGTACTTTTAGTAGACATGGGGTATTGCCATGTTGTCCAGGCTGGTGTTGAACTGCTGACCTCAAGTGATCTACTCACCTTGGCCTCTCAGAGTGCTGGGATTACAGGCATGAGCCAGGTGGGCTCTTTTGATGTCCTGGGTGAGGCTTGGTTTAGATAATGTTGACTGTACCCAGTCCCCTCCTGCCACATGTTGGGTGTGTGTGCCCCGAGGCAGCAGTGACCTGCTAGAGGCCATGAGTTGGATGGACTCACTTCTGTGCCACCCACAAAAGCAGAGCCACACCTAGAACTTGGCAGCCTTGGGCATAGTCTGCTGTGTCCCCAGTGAATCCTGCCGCCTCTGCTGCCACCCTGTGTGCACCCCCATGCTCCAAAAAGGATGACCTCATCTAGGCCAGGTCATCACAGCTGAACTTCTCAGCCAGGATGTAACAGCCACCATACATCTGTCCCCAGTCACGATGCTCCTTTTCCTGAAGTCCTGTCCCAGGCAGCTGGGTGCTCCTTGTAACCCTGTGCCTGCCACCGCTCCGTGACCTGACCAGGGCGCTGGGGATTGTCTCGTTCCCTATTTCCATCATCCGTCGGGTTATCTTGTAACACCCCCCTCAGCACTGGCTGCATGACCTCATGATGCATCTTTTCTGCTTTTGGTCTTCACTAGTTGTGCTTGGTGGCACCTCCATGAGGGTCAAGCTGATGACTTTTCACACTGTCCCTATGGGACCTGGGGCAGTTTTGTGCAAATAAGACCATGAATGTTGAAATGTGTTACCTATAGGACCTGGGGCAGTCTTGTGCAAATAAGACCATGAATGTTGAAATGTATTTCACATGTGTTCAGCTTATCTCTCCCAATTAATTTGGAGACTGCTTGGATGCAGGAATTGCTTTTTAAAGAAAATTTTATTGAAGTCTAACATACAAACTGGAAAAAGTCACACATGGGGCTGGGCGTGGTGGCTTACGCCTGTAATCCCAGAACTTTGGGAGGCCAAGGTGGGTGGATCACCTGAGGTCAGGAGTTTGAGACCAGCCTGGCCAACAAGGTGAAGCTCCGTCTCTACTAAAAATACAAAAATTAGCTGGGCGTGGTGGCAGGCACCTTTAGTTCCAGCTACTCGGGAGGCTGAAGCAGGAGAATCACTTGAACCTGGGTGGTAGAGGTTGCAGTGAGCCAAGATCGCGCCATTGCCTGGGCAACAAGAGCGACCGTCTGAAAAAAATTTAGAAAAATAAAAAAAGAGTCACACGTGGGCCAGTCACAGTGGCCCATGCCTGTAATCCAAACACTTTGGGAGGCCGAGGTGGGAGGATCACTTGAGCCTGGGAGTTCGGGACCAGCCTGGGCAACATAGTGAGACCCCATCTCTAAAAAAGTTTTTTTTTTTTTTTTTTTTTTTTTTTGAGACAGAGTCTTGCACTTTCACCCAGGCTGGAGTGCAGTGGCGTGATCTCGGCTCACTGCAAGCTCTGCCTCCCGGGTTCACGCCGTTCTCCTGCCTCAGCCTCCCAAGTAGCTGGGACAACAGCTGCCCGCACCACACCTGGCTAATTTTTTGTGTTTTTAGTAGAGACGGGGTTTTACCGTGTTAGGCAGGATGGTCTCAGTTTCCTGACCTTGCGATCCCCCCGCCTCAGCCTCCCAATGTGTTGGGATTACAGGCATGAGCCTCCACGCGTGGCCCCGTCTCTAAAAAAATGTTTAAAAATGAATGAAAAGTCACACATGAACAGCTAGGTGAGTGGCCCCCTAAAAAGCACACGTGTGATAGGCACTCCAAACTTGACTTCCCACAGGAGCAGGAACTCATAGCATTTGGGCAGATGTGGCAGACTTTTGAAACAAACTGTGATTAGTTTAGTGGCATCTCCTGCAGTAAAATCTCGTATCATTAAACGAAAGTGGCAGCCGATCATTGGAAATGAAACCCCACTTTAAGGCCACGTACGTTTCAGGCCACGTTGCTGCTGTTTGGCCTTCTCGGCTGTTATCTGAAAGGGTCTCTGTTTGCAAAGCCCAACATAAGGGTGTTTCACAGCCTGAGTCGCTGCGATTACAAGGTCATGTGCTTTTGAATCAGGGTGGAATGGCCTGGCAGTCTGATCAGGTATTGCATTCTCATGCTCTAAGGGGCATCCACAGTATGCCCTGGGTCCTCGGAAGCCCCTGTACAAAATCAGAAGCCCTTCTGTAGGAACTCCTGTTGCCGACAGCCAGTCAGAGTGGGAGGTGGCTCACTGGAGACCCCCAAAGAGGGTGGCCGATGGCCGAATGCAGGTGACCCGGCAGGAGAAGGCAGAGCTCTTACAGGAGAGCACCTCGTGAGGTGTCCACTGGTGGAGCCCACACAGACCTTGGTGAGGGTGAGCTGTCAGGAGCTCGTCAGAGCAAAGATCAGGGTGTGCTTTGCTTCTCTGCAGAGAGGCAGCCTGCCTGACCTGGCCGACTCCCGCGCCACCTGGCTTTATTCCTCTGAAACTGTCTCATGCGCTTAGGGGTTCCCCCTCGGGAATTCCGAACACTGGACAGTCTCCAGGGGAGATGCTCTTCCACAGCAGCGTCTGTCCTGGCGCCCGGCGCCCGGCAAGCCACACACGGCAGCCTGCTCAGCTTCCAGCCTGGGTGCCATGTGGCGTTTACCAAGGTGGGATCCTTGTTTTCCTAAATAATAACCTTTGTGAGACTGAACTGTTCTCTCATCTCACCCCGAACACGCTACAGTCGTTAACTTCAAACCTGCATTTTAGAGAAAAACACGAAATAAAAATATGTTGGCCAGGTGCATTGGCTCATGCCTGTGAATCTCAGCGCTTTGGGAGTCCCAGGCTGCAGTGAGCCATGATTGCACCCCTGCAACCCAGCCTGGGTGACAGAGTGAGACCTTGTCTCTAACAAACAATGAAGTAAAAACCAGTATGTTGACAATCTTCATCTATAAATCATATTTAGTGAGACGTTAAAAGAGTTTGTAAAGAACGAATGATAACATCAGGTTGTTCCCATTCAGTCTCAAGGTATAATTGTAGACACATCGGTTTTGCATCCACACTCCCGCGTGGCAATTGCAGGACCATCTGGATATGAAACTGTCTCTTCCTGCTCACATAACTGCACTCTTGTTTGACAGACCACAAGTCTTGATTTCTGCATCAAAAATAGTAGCTAAAATATCAGTAACAATGACAAATCAATTCTCATGTCATCAACCTTCCTTCCCTTTGCACTCAGTCACCTGCTGGTTTGGGGTTGGCCACGTTGTGCTTGCCTTTGGGGATCTCAGGCATTTTCCCTGGATCTAAAGCAGCCAATGGTCATTGTTCCCCCATCACAAAGTCTGAGTGGCAAGTACAAGCTGAATATCCTACTTTTGAGAATCCTGCTGACAGTTTTGATGATGCAGGTGCAGTAGAATTGGGACTCTGTCAAATCTTAACTGAAACAAAACACAAAAAAGAAGTAGGAGACGGGTTTCTGCCCTCCTTTCAGTTTATACCAACGATGCAAATAAACCCATGAGATTATTAGAAAAGGCAGAGTTTGGGAATCTGTTCTACATCCAACTCTGCCATAACTTGTTTGTAATCTTGGACAAGTCTCTCTTTTATGAAACCAACAGCTCAGAACTTTAAAAAGGACAAAACACGAGTTTTTATTTAGATTCCCGTATTTCCACTTGGCTGGAACTTTTAGTAACTAAGTTACTCAGCAGCAGAGGCATGAAGAATTCTTACCTGGTGATTAACTGTACTTAGGTGTGTTTAAGGTTGTATGGTTTGCATTCATTTTTATTAGCAGGCCAGATTACTTAATTGATAAATAATGGTAGTTGTTTAAACATATGGCATTACGTTTTAAATTGTAAAATATTTCAAACACCATAATGCAATATAAAGAAACGCTCATGGATCCCACTAAGATTTAATACATGTTATCGTTTTGCCACTTAGGCTTCAAATATTTTTTGTTTGTTTGTAAGAAACTAGATGAGGCCAGGCGTGGTGCCTCACTCCTGTAATCTCAGCTCTTCAGGAGGCTGATGCAGGAGGACCAGGGGAGCCCAGGAGTTGAAGACAGCCTGGCAACATAGTGAGACCCTATCTCTCCAAAAAAAAAAAAAAAAAAAAAAAAAACCACGCACACACACACACAAAGAAGGAACCTGAATGATACGGTCTATGTGGTGAACAGAGACACTGGAAGCCCTGTGGTCCCGTCCCCGGCCTCCTCTTCAGAAGTGATCAATACACAAGAATCCATGCCTGTCCTTCCTCTCTCTGTTTTTACACTTCCATAAAAGACATAGGTGTTTTTTAATGTTTAAAATATACATAAATAGAATTATCCAGTATCTTTTTGCAACTGCAAAGCTTCCGAAATTCAAAATTTTGTTTATGAAATTGACTCACGTTGAGACATGCAGATCTAGGTCATTTATTTGAACAGTGTTAGCGTGACACAAAACCCATCTAGGAGTCGCTCAATCAATCCTTTTTTGTAGAAAAGGACACAAAGCAATCTTTCTAAAACCCAAGACTGATCATATTACTGTTCCCGTCACTGCTTCCTTTCTTTAAACGCCGTCAGCAGATCCCATTGTGGTCAAGGTGACCGGGCCCTTGTGCTGCCCCCACCAGACCCCAAGCACCCCTGCGCTCCGGCCACCCTCGGTCTCTAGAACCTGTCAAGCTTGTCTGTACCTCGAGGACTTCTCCGGCTGCTCTCCTGCTCCTCTCTCATGCTGCAGCATAACTTTCACATTCTGGGAGGACGCACCTGTCACCACAGTAGAACCAGGTTCATCTGTCCTTATCTTTTGGAGCCTTTATTATTATTATTATTATTATTATACTTTAAGTTCTAGGGTACATGTGCACAACTTGCAGGTTGGTTACATATATATACATGTGCCATGTTGGTTTGCTGCACCCATTAACTCGTCATTTACATTAGGTATTTCTCCTAATGCTTTCCCTCCCCCAGCTCCCCAGCCCCCGACGGGCCCCGGTGTGTGATGTTCCCCGCCCTGTTTCCAAGTGATTTCATTGTTCAGTTCCCACCTTTGAGTGAGAACATGTGGTGTTTGGTTTTCTGTCCTTGTGATAGTTTGCTGAGAATGATGGTTTCCAGCTTCATCCATGTCACTGCAAAGGACATGAACTCATCCTTTTTATGGTTGCATAGTATTCCATGGTGTATATGTGCCACATTTTCTTTATCCAGTCTATCATTGTTGGACATTTGGGTTGGTTCCAAGTCTTTGCTATTGTGAATAGTGCTGCTATAAACATACGTGTGCATGTGTCTTTATAGCAGCATGATTTATAGTCCTTTGGGCATATACCCACTAATGGGATGGCTGGGTCAAATGGTATTTCTACTTCTAGATCCCTGAGGAATCGCCAAACTGTCTTCCACAATGGTTGAACTAGTTTACACTCCCACCAACAGTGTAAAAGCGTTCCTGTTTCTCCACATCCTCTCCAGCACCTGTTGTTTCCTGACTTTTTAATGATCGCCATTCTAACTGGTGTGAGATGGTACCTCATTGTGGTTTTGATTTGCATTTCTCTGATGGCCAGTGATGGTGAGCATTTTTTCATGTGTCTGTCGGCTGCATAAATGTCTTCTTTTGAGAAGTGTCTGTTCATATCCTTTGCCCACTTTTTGATGACTTTTTTCTTGTAAATTTGTTTGAGTTGTTTGTAGATTCTGGATATTAGCCCCTCCTGGAGTCTTCTTGCTAGTCTCTTCAAGCCTTTGTCCTGGTTCCTGAATCCATTCAAACGTGTGCAGTGGCTCAACGCTTGCCTTCTGCACTGAGGCTTGAGCCCCATGGGGCTGGGACCAAGTCTGTCTCATTCCTTGCTACCATTTTAGTAGCTGGCGCGCTGTCTGGCACATTGTAAATACTTCATATATGTCTGCTAAGTAAATGAGCAAATGAATGAATATTGCTAATTAATTATCATTATTAACATATCAATGTAAATCTAACAGATTGACAGTTGTGAGCAATTGTAGGATTTATTCAGCCCAGGAATCTCTCATTTCCGATTCCAGCTGAGCGTCCTGGTAGGACACTCAACTTTGATTTCAGTTTTAAAATGAAACAGATTTATTTTAAAAGAGTCAAGTTGACCCAAACATTGCTCAGAGTTGGGTTTCAGAGCTGGACATTTCAGGAGAGTCTTTCAGCCGGTGCCTCTCTCCAGAGCCTTGGTGCTCTGGTGCGACCTTGGTATTCACGCTTTATGTTTGGCTGAATCAGTAATTCTTGAGTCGGGCCACAGGGAAGGGCAGATGCTTCCTATTTCAACGTGTTCTCAGTTTCCACCCCAAGGACACTCACAGAAACCTAGAGTAAGATTTGTACTCCTCTGAATCAAAGGCTCTTTTGAATGAGTACAATGATTTATTTTCATCCAGTTTTCTTTCAGTACTTCCAGATCTGTGATTCCAGTGAGCACAGGCTGTGTTATAACTAGAGCGAGGACAGGCGCCAGCGGCTCCCTGTCCAATCTTGTTTTGGACCAAGTTGACCGCACACTTCTGTGCAAGGACATCTCATTCCTCTTCTACTTTCAAGTATGGTCCATGCAGGTGTATCGTCGTGTCAGCAATGAAGGAATGATGGAGTCACTAAGCTCCATACCGCATGGATCTCAGACGCTTGCATTTTTTAAAAAATCCATTAATCAGATACAGGAAGCAGATCAGGAAATCTATGCAACAAGTTTCACAGCTGAGGTGTCCCCTCTCTGCACGACGCATCGCCTCCCCGAAGAGCTCATAGCAGGCAGTGGTTAAGGGGCCAGACACACGAGTGCCCCCTCACCTCCCTTGCGTCTGGCTGCGAACCTGACCACAGAGTCGGAAGCAGGCATCCTCATGGGGTGAGACCACAGGGGCTGGAATCCATGGCTCTGACTAAACCTCTTAAACTTGTGACCAGCAGGGGTGAATCCCTGCTAATTTGTGAGGGCCAGCTCACTAGGGAACAGATAACGATGTCTCAGGTGGTTTTTTTTTTTTTTTTTTTTTTTTTTGAGGCCTCTTGTTGAAGGCTCCAGAGACAGAGGAAGAGAGGAGAATATTGAACTTTGGTGTTGGTCAGCTGCTAATTTTGTTCAGTCTTCTGAGACTACAAACTTAGTATTTCTGTGCATTGAGCATTTTTTCATTTATGGAATGAAGACGCTGGTAGATCTGCCTGTCTCAAGTGTGTGAGCTGTGAGACTGAAATGGGACAGTTGCCGGGAAGATGCCGGGAGCCTGTCTGGGTAGATGCTGGGCCTTGGCGCCCTGTCCAGGTGGGTGCTGGGCCTTGGTGCCCTGTCTGGGTAGATGCTGGGCCTTGGCGCCCTGTCTGGGTAGATGCTGCTGGGCCTTGGTGCCCTGTCCGGGTGGGTACTGGGCCTTGGTGCCCTGTCTGGGTAGATGCTGGGCCTTGGCGCCCTGTCCGGGTAGATGCTGCCGGGCCTTGGCGCCCTGTCCGGGTAGGTGCTGCCGGGCCTTGGCGCCCTGTCCGGGTAGATGCTGCGGGGCCTTGGCGCCCTGTCCGGGTAGATGCTGCTGGGACTTGGCGCCCTGTCCGGGTAGATGCTGCGGGGCCTTGGCGCCCTGTCCGGGTAGATGCTGCGGGGCCTTGGCGCCCTGTCCGGGTAGATGCTGCGGGGCCTTGGCGCCCTGTCCGGGTAGGTGCTGCGGGGCCTTGGCGCCCTGTCCGGGTAGGTGCTGCCGGGCCTTGGCGCCCTGTCCGGGTAGGTGCTGCCGGGCCTTGGCGCCCTGTCCGGGTAGGTGCTGCGGGGCCTTGGCGCCCTGTCCGGGTAGGTGCTGCGGGGCCTTGGCGCCCTGTCCGGGTAGGTGCTGCGGGGCCTTGGCGCCCTGTCCGGGTAGGTGCTGCGGGGCCTTGGCGCCCTGTCCGGGTAGGTGCTGCGGGGCCTTGGCGCCCTGTCCGGGTAGGTGCTGCGGGGCCTTGGCGCCCTGTCCGGGTAGGTGCTGCGGGGCCTTGGCGCCCTGTCCGGGTAGATGCTGCGGGGCCTTGGCGCCCTGTCCGGGTAGGTGCTGCGGGGCCTTGGCGCCCTGTCCGGGTAGATGCTGCGGGGCCTTGGCGCCCTGTCCGGGTAGATGCTGCCGGGCCTTGGCGCCCTGTCCGGGTAGATGCTGCGGGGCCTTGGCGCCCTGTCCGGGTAGATGCTGCCGGGCCTTGGCGCCCTGTCCGGGTAGATGCTGTGGGGCCTTGGTGCCCTCTTCTTGTCCTGCTGTGGGCCTCTGTAGTTTGGCAGTGACCTTGTCCTTGGGAGGCACTCCTCCCTGCATGTGAGAAAGCTTGCTAGGGCAGCGGCTGCACCGTGCTCTTTATACACACCGCGTTGAACTCCAGGACTGCCTGGTGAAGTAGGCGTTTGCTTTTAGGTAAAGGATTACAGTTTCCAAGGATGGGAATCCCCGCACGCTAGCCTAAGCCAGAAGTGGCATTTATTAGCGAACTTACCTCAGACGCCCCCAGAAGCTGTCCTTCGGCACCACATGCTCCAGGGGTCTCACTCTCCTGTCCTCTTCCCATTTTTAAGTTTTCTGCTGTGTGCATTGTTTCTTTTCTTCTGCTGGAGATAATGAGCTTTCCCTCGATTCCAGCTCTGTGATCCATGAGGGCAGGGCCCTTGCTCCTGCATCAGCCCAGAGGCCCGTGCATCGCCAGAGGCTTTGCTCTCCCCACACCAGGTCAGAAGAGCTCAGGGTATCTTGTGGGCAATGAGCTGTGACCTGCCCAGCCAGGATCCCGAGGCCTGCTTCCTGGGGGTCCTGCACTGCCCTGAGGGAACCCAGTGATGGAGTGGCAGAGAAGGTGCCCACCGGTGAGTGGGCCTTCTCGTTTTAGGACGAGATCACTGAATGGAGCAAATTGCCTGGGCTCTTGGTGGGAGTAAGTTACAGGGAAGAGACTCCGACCTGGGTGTGTCTGACACCAAAGGGAAGGCTTCCAAACACCTTGACCTTCCTGGAGCTTTGCCAATGCGTGAAATGTGTGCTTATTTCATCGCGGTAGACACACAGGGAGGTAGGCGTCATGCACGAGGAAGTGCCAGAGATGGGAGGTCATCTACCCAAGGGCCTTTAGTTGAGGAACGTCTAACTTTCAAACCCACCCTCCCTCTTCTGAAAGGTCCCTGAGCAGCACCTGTTGCCACCCAGGACACGCACTCCTGGACTCTGGCCCCACCTGTTCATTCCACCAGGAAGAGGGGCAGGTTCCTGCCGGGCTTTGTCACTGCCTGAAGGGGAGCACGGGTGAGTTTCCTCATCCCTGAGCCCGGGTTTTCTCAACTGTAAAACGTGGCAGCGCTGCCTGCCTCCCAGGGTGTTTGAAGACTGTGTGGTAACTGATGTCACCTGCACAGTTCCTGCACACAGTACAAAAGCACAAATGTTAATTCCTCCACGTGACCCACACGTCCCCCAGATACACTCAGAGAGGAGGAACAGGCAGGGGAGGAAGGGCCAGACGGATGCCAGGAGAGGGGAGCGAGCTCGGTGGAGGCTTTTTCTTAAATTGGAAGCGGGGGTGGGGTGGGAAACACTGGCTGGAGGTGTAGGTACCTGGAGAGATTTCCCAAGGTTAGAAATGCTCCCCATAGTTTAGGAATATGAGTTTAAAATCATGCCTGTTCATAATAGATTTTTAAAAAATGTGTAAAGAGTAAAAAAAAAAATTCATCCCAATCCCCATCCTTATTTTCATACTGTTTTTTCTTTCTATATCTTAAGACTTTTTCAAGTTGGTCTATACTTTAAAACCCACAAGTTGTTTTGATTATAAAAGCAGCATATATTTTAGAAAATATTGAAACTCAGCATTTTATTTAGGAGATTTTAAAACCTAGCTGTAATCCAACATCCAGATATAACTATTGATCTCTTTTATTTATTTTTTTTTTTCAAAACCTTTTTTGTGAGCCCCTACTTGGAGCTGTCATGTGGATAATATCTTAATCTGCCATTCTTTGTGTAGTTTAAAAACTTGCTTTTATTTTGTTATTGTTATTATTTTTGAGACATGGTCTGATTCTGTTGCCCAGGCTGGAATGTAGTGGCATGATCTTGACTCACTGCAGCCTTGACCTCTCCCGGGCTCAAGTGATCCTCTGACCCCAGCTTCCCGCGTAGCTAGGGCTACAAATGCTGCATGCCACCACTCTCAGCTAATTTTTTTTTGTATTTTTAGTAGGGAAAGGGTCTCCCCATGTTGCCCAGACTGGCCTCGAACTCCTTACCTCAGGTTATCCACCCACCTCAGCCTTCTGAAGTGCTGGGATTACAGTCATGAGCCACCATGCCTGGCCTCTGTGGTTTCATCTGAGTATTTTCAGTTACCATTGTTTTAGTTTCCCTAGCTAACATGCATTCATCCATCCATCTATCCATCCAGTCGCCCATCTTTCTGTCCATCCATCGGTCCATCCGTCCGTCCGTCCGTCCGTCCGTCCGTCCATCCATCCATCCATCCATCCATCCATCCACCCACCCACCCATCCATCCATCTATCCATCCAATCACCCATCTGTCTATCCATCCATCTATCCGTCCATCCGTCCATCCATCCATCCATCCATCCACCCATCCATCCACCCACCCACCCACCCACCCACCCACCCATCCATCCATCCATCCATCCATCCATCCATCCAGTTGCCCTTACACAGTCCAGCCTGTGCTAATGGTAGAGTGAAAGGTAATCCTCCTTTCTGTGAATTTTATGTTTTTATGGAAAGGGATGACACATACACCTCCCTATCTGTAATGATACTATGTGGTGCTAAAATAAGACTTTCTCTGCAAACACAGACTGTAGAGCAACTAAAACCGGAAGTGAGGAAGTCTTATTAGAGAATGCACCATGGCAGCTTGAGCCTAAAGAAGGAGCAAGAATTCTGCTTCTCAAACCAGGATGGGGGTTGTCTTAGGCATCAAGAATTGCACAGGCAAAAGCTATCAATATATGAATACACAATACCCCCTACACACACACACACACACACACACACACACACACACAAAACCCCATAGATGGTTTATCAGGGGAGCCACAGGCAATTCCATGAGCTCGTGCAGTAGGACAGAGGGGAGTGAGGCATGAGGGCGGGTGAGTTGGGAGCAGATTGCTCAATACTTCGTTTACCGGCCTACGGAGCTTAGACTTCAAGAATATCTATTGTATAAAAGCTCTTCTTCAGGAAATTCCCAATAATTTTACTTCTTCCAATTAAGTCCTGCTAGGAGATTCAGCCTACTGTTATTCCCCTAAATGACCCCCAGGAGGGCAGGTGGGGGACAGCTGGTGGAGCGAGGCCGGGCCTGCCCCAGGATCCCAGTGCTGCCCCATCTCCTGCTGCGTCAATGCTCAGAACTGCGCAGAGCACCCTGACTTGCTTGGATTCTGTCTACAGGATGCAGGGGCAACCGGCGACCCGCCTGAACATTCCAGAGGCTTTGCTCAGCCCCGTGCATGGCTGTGACAGGCGTCAGCTCAGACAGGGCCGGGAGTCTGAATGACTCAAGAGGTGTCATGGCACGGTGGCTGATGGCGTGGGCAGTGGAGCCAGTTGCTTGGCTCATTTCTGGCTCTGCCCCTTAAAACTGCATGGCTTATAAAATGCATATTGATGAAATCACATAAATGGCTAATCACAACACCTCCCTCCCAGAAGGCTCCTGCGGGTGCCACGTGTTAATATGATGTAGCACACACCAGAACAGTGCCTGGCAAAATAGACGCCCGCTGCTCTGTGTCCTTTCGGACTCACGTGTTGTCAGGTCACACTGCAGTCCAGCTGGTCTCTTAGGATGCCCTTCATAAAAAACAAGCTAAAAGAGGCCAGGCGTGGTGGCTGA
This sequence comes from Homo sapiens, assembly GCF_000001405.40. NCBI lineage: Eukaryota > Metazoa > Chordata > Mammalia > Primates > Hominidae > Homo > Homo sapiens. The sequence goes on from NT_187576.1 coordinate 178,172, forward strand.
CGCCTGTAATCCCACCACTTTGGGAGGCCAAGGTGGGCGGATCACTTGAGGTCAGGAATTCGAGACCAGCCTGACCAACATGGCGAAACTCCGTCTCTACTAAAAATACAAATACTAGCCAGGCGTGATGGTGGGTGCCTATAATCCCAGCTACTCGGGAGGCTGAGGCAGGAGAATCCCTTGAACCCAGGAGGCAGAGGTTGCAGTGAGCCGAGATGGTGCCATTGCACTACAGCCTGGGGAACAAGGGTGAGACTCTTGTCTCAAAAAAAAAAAAAAAAAAAAAAGCTAAAAGAGTATATACATTGTGCTGTGGTGGGACAGACACTCTAATGCATGTTGCTAGGTATATTATGGAACATTTACTTATTCAGTTACTCAAGAAACTCCACCGTGCTGTAGACACCCTCCCCATTTCTAAACTACACAGAAAATATTGCTTACAATTGGCTTTAGTTTTCTTTTATCCATGTAGTATCTCGTTGCTTGAACCACTGTAGGAATCCTGAAGGCAGACACTAAGAGCAGAAGCCACTTTTCTCATTCCCCAGGACAGCACAGAACCTTGCTTTTAGTAGCCGTACGGCCAAGTTAAATATGGGCTGCATTTTACAAGGAAAATGTATTTCCTGAGTGGTGTTTCCTCCTGGCTAGTTTTAGGCTGTGTAATTCTGCACATTTTCATGGTCCCTTTACACTATTTTCTGTGCCTTAAAGCATACTGAGAAAATGTGGATCAGGGCTGGGTGTGAGGACGGCCAGTTCCACGGGGCATCAGTGTCAGTGATGGCACCGACTCCCTTCTTGCTTCACCCACCCTCGGTCCTGCCTGCCCAGAAGCTGTGGGCCTGTTTTCATTTGGGCCTGGAGAGGAAATAACCTTGAAAAGCAATATTTGTAACAGCAGTTGAAAGTGAACCAATACATTGAATCAAAGAGAAATCCTGACCGGGCATGGTGGCTCACACCTGTAATCCCAGCAAATTTAGGAGGCCGAGGCAGGTGGACCATTTAAGCCCAGAAGTTCAGGACCACTCTGGGAAACATAGCGAGATCCTGTTTCTACTAAACATACAAAAATTAGCCAGCTGTGGTGGTGCGCCCCCATAGTCACAGCTACTTGGGAGGCTGAGGTGGGAGGATCTCTTGAGCCCAGGAGTTGAAGCTGCAGTGAGCCATGCTTGTGTGACTGTCCTCCAGCCTGGATGACAGAGCAAGACCCTGTCTCAAAAAACAAACAAACAAAAATCCTGAGATTCCCTACAGGTTTCTAAGATGCTATAATTTTTCTTAGACTTATGGCCCTTCTTTCTTAATTAACCTTGCGATTCATTGGCTACTTAACTGTGTGAATGGCATCTTTCTGGTGCTGATGGAGGCCATGTGGGCACGGCCCACCCAGGCGCTATTCCCAGGGACGCTGTGGTCTAACAGGGTGTGGTGGGATATAGGCAATGCGTGTAGGACGCTGGAAGGAATTTTTTTTTTTGGACGGGGTTTCACTCTTGTTGCCCAGGCTGGAGTGCAATGGCGTGATCTCGGCTCACTGCAACCTCCGCCCCCTGGGTTCAGGTGATTCTCCTGCCTCAGCTTTCTGAGTAGCTGAGATTACAGCCCTGTGCCACCAAGCCCGGCTGATTTTGTATTTTTTTAGTAGAGATGGGGTTTCACCATGTTGGCCAAGCTGGTCTTGAACTCCTGACCTCAGGTGACCCACCCACCTCGGCCTCCCAAAGTGCTGGGATTACAGGCTTGAGCCACCGCGCCTGGCTGAAGGACTGAGAAGCAAAACATACCACAGAAGTTTACATAAACTCCCTAAGTCAATGAACGCATTCTTTAAAAAAAAATTAAGCTGACTGTAATGATTTGAAAGGAAGACTCTTTTTAGCAAGCAGTATTATTAAAATAGAGCATGATATTTTATTCTGAATAAGTCCTAATGTCCACATTAAATATATAATGTCCACATTGGGAAATCATACAAAATCTTATTTTTTAATTTGTATTAATCGTAAAGAAATGTATAGAAACTTAGAAGTTTAGATATTTATAAGGCCCAGAAGAAACTTACATCTTCTGGGGGAAAATGCTACATATATTTTATTATTTACATTTAATTAATACTATTTATATTTAATTAGCCCTTGTTCTTATGAAATGATTTCCTAATTACCAGCAAGGAGGAAACTGGTCACTCCCTGTCTCCCCCGCGCGCCCCCCGTGCCTTCCATGGAAACTGCAGTGCTGACTTTCTGTGTCGCCTGGTTGTGACTCCAGAAGTGGGCTCAGGAAACCCTTGTTGACGATCACCCAGGGAAAAAATCCTTCCAAACCCTCCGGCGGGGGGTGGGCGAGTTTCAGTAATTTCACAGTAACAAGGATGGACGCTCCTCAGGGAGCCTCTTAGTGGAATTCTGATTCTGGAGCCAACCACAAAATGGTGGCGGTGGGAGGAATCCCTGTGGAAATCCCTGACTTCCCATCCAAAAACATCTGACCCTAACAGTCACCGCGGTTGCTGATGCCTCAGAGGACTGCTAGACCCAAAGGCCAACTCCTCTCCATCTATTTTAAGGTAAAAATTTCAGTAATGGGTCATTCTGGAAAAAAAAAAAAAAGTCTTAATGTTGAGTTTCTTTTAACATAATTTGAGACAGAAAAGGGCCTCCTGCTTAACCTCATTTCCCACATGGTGTGTGACACCACGTCCATTCTGCAGGGAGACCCGCGGCAGGGCAGGCACGTTCAGTGCTGTGAGACCATCTCCCGGAAGGGCTGCCCAGAGCCTCCTAGAGGGGCGGCGGAGGGCTCCCGAGCCCCTGATGCAGCCTTGCTGCTGCTACTCAACAGCGTAGCTGAAGATCTTGGTGTCAGAAACAACATCGCTGATGGTGGTGGACAGGGAGCTGCTGGCCTGCTTTTGCCTGTGGCAGGTGATCTCAATGCAGTGGTGTCTGAGAGGCCTTGTGATTCCTCCCAGTGAGAGTGCGACGCTGTACCATGTTGAGACCATCCCCTGCTCTGCCAACTTGCTTTGTAATGTGAGCCAAAGGGCACGCAGGGGGACGGCGGCAACGACAGAATACGATAGGGCCACCACCTCTGCTGGAAGGGGCTCCTCAGAAGGACACAATTTAATAATGTGTGTGTGTTGGAAAAGTAACATAAAGACCGCTTGAATCATGACTTTTGAGATGATTGAGTTTCATTATTTCTTGGGCCAGCTGGAATAAGAACCAGTTCTAACCCAGGTGTGAGTTGAACATCCCAAATTTGAAACTGAAAATGCTCCAAAATCTGAACTGTTTTGAGTGCTGACATAATGCTCATTGGATCCTTTCAGATTTGGGGTTTTGGGAGTTGAAATGTAAGTATAAATGCAAGTATTCCAAAATTCAAAAAATGGGAAATCCTGAAGAGCTCAAGCATTTGGGATGAGGGCTACTCAGCCTCTAGCCAGACAGCCTCCTTGTTGGCACAGCAGAGATGGGTCCCTCGCTGTTGGGGGCACTGTGGGCTGCTTTCTGGTGTGTCTGTTTCATCATGGAGATGTCTCTCTTGCTTAATTGTAGTTATAACAAAATGTATACTTATCAAACACTCTTTCAGGCTTTGAACTGATTTCATAGGACTTTGCAGGGCAGAGTTCCAAATTTAAGCTTTTAAAATGCATTTGACTGATTGCATGACTTCCCTTCAGTCTGTAATGATTAATTACATAAAGATGACTCTCGGGATGGAGGCTCCTGTACATTGCAGGACAGTCCAGCCAGAGAAAGAACTAGGGAGCTCCGAGAGCCCTTTCTAGGCCAAGAAGAAAGTTTACTACACTGGATTTTAGGGGCTATGTCTTCTGTATCTTACAGAAGCAGTGTTAAACGAATAAGCCAACTGAGACAGCCAGTTCTCAGATTTTATTTCAGACATGAGGTTCATGTGTATTTCTTATCTGATAGAGAAGTTTGTCTTAGATTTGCTCTCTCTCTCCTTTGCATGACTCAGCTGGCTGGAAAGACTCTGCAGTCTTCAGGGCTGGTGCCCTTCACCGATGCAGCTTCACAGCTTTTCCATTTCGGGTCACCGTTACATTGTGGTCCTTTCCCCGGCCCTGGACTGGCCACCACTGGACAGCAGGATGGGGGCCTGGGGTGAGCACCTGTCAGTGTGGGCATGGCTGGGTGAACACAAGGGACCCTTGTGTCCTGCTTAGCTATTGTCTGTGACCTACCCTGGGGATCAGAGCTTCAAGGTTCTCAGAAACCTTCTTAATATTACATTCCCCAGGCATCTTATGACAATTCTATGCACATAGGGAGTGTGCCAACATTTTATTGTGAAAGATATCTGGAAGACAGAGGGAGAGAGAGAGACAGGGAGAGTCAAACGTGGAGTTTCCAACTTGAAGACACTTTTATTTCTGAGAATACTGGGAAAGCCTTTTCAGGGACAGAGGGACAGGAAGAGCAGGGAATTTATAGTAACCAGGTAATGCTATTGCACATAATAAGTAGAACTTTAGAAGATGCTGGGGGTTAAGTATCATTTTACCCATCTCACTTGAGAGCTGAACACGCATTCTGTATAAAGATAAGCCTGGTCATGTTTTGGATGGTTGTGTTGTCCACATTCTTTTCTTTAGAAGGCCAGAATGAAGTTGGCTTATGTGGACTCTAAGACTCTAAGTTTCTTCCCAGTATGTTAGGGAGTGTCCGTGAAGCGTTTGCCAATTTAAGAAAGATATTTGATTGTATTCTATAATGCATCTGCCGGCACTCATATCTGCCTTCCACATACTTCATTCAGTCTTTTCGCTTTGATTTTCCTTTTGCTGCATTTAGGCTGTTTGGATAATTGCTTCTCTGAGGTTTTTCAGGGTTGTAATTCTAAGAGTTTAAAGAGATTTAGGAGTTGGCGCCATTTGGGGTCCTGAATTCATGCTGTTGGCTGAAGCTGATTCCAGAGAAGCATCCTAACGCCTTTCTACAAATGGTTGTAACCGAATGTGAAATAATTAACTGGGAAACACTGAAAGAAAACTTGTGATCTGTTAATAAATTAATAAAATCACACAATCCAGTCATGCTTTCTCACTAAAAGGAGTTCTTCATGCTACTTACACTTTTTATGTTGAAAACAGTTAATTGTTGATACTCGACTGCTTTTGACCTACAGAACTAGCAACTTCATATGGTTCAACCGATGCGTGTCAGGCCTTAATGTTTGGTGGTGCCAATTGCTTGAACTGGACTCTCCTGAGTCCTCAAAATCAGGAGAGGAATATCGAGAGGGTACTTTAAAAAATTCCTAAATAATTCTGCATGTCCTATTCATCAAACTCTCCAGCAGAGAAAAATCACAACCCCTTTACAACCAAAACTGAATTCTATAATCTGAACGTTGGAGAGGGAAGGGTGGTAGACTCCGCTGACACGAAATAACCTTACTGAAAAACGCACAAATATCCTCTCTTTTTGTCCTATAAACAGGAACAAGAGTGTGGTGAGAGGACGCGGAAACACCTGATATCCCAGCAAAGGAAGCTGCAGAGGAAGGGTCCTGCCCCGTGAGCGAGGACAGCCTCCAGGAGCACAGCGGCTTCTCCTAACATCCCCCTGGCAGTGAATTACGGATGACCCCGTATATGAGGAGGTGTGGATGCCGACACACGGGGAGAGCTCCTGAGACCAGCACACAGGACCAGTGTCCTCCCCGTGACCTTGCAGTTGTGTAGCCACAAGTGGGAGCCACAGAGAAGGAGAGCCCATAAGGGGACTCTTTTCAAGACACGGTGTTAAATCAAGGCTCTGAAGTTGGGGCCACAGCCGGTCTCAGCTTTCTGTGTTCTGGGGGCGCGGTGATATGACAGCATGTGAAGTGAGTGGGTGAGCACGGACTCCTGAGAGCGAGGGCGCACCCAATACCTGGTTATCTGGTACTGCAGAGAGACACCTAGTCAGCCAGCGTTGCAAAGAGGGATAGCTAGTCACTCAGGCTGCAGAGAGAGACACCTGGTCACCCAGGCTGCAGAAACAACCGCAGTCAACTGCAGCTCCAGTCATTGCTGGATGTTGGCTGACGCGGTCCTGGCGCCAGCTGGAGATCCATTCACCAAGACTTTCTGGGCAGATTTAAAGTGGCTGGGGTTCAGAAGTTCAGCAAGTCGGACACACCCCTCCTCGCTGGAGAGGAGAGGGCAAAGGCGAGGCGGGGGAGCAGCGTGTGAGATTCCCCCCTTCACACACACAACAACAAAGCGTGGACACACAGAAGTGAAATCTGATCGCGTGCCAGGAAAAGCTGTGAGGCTGGAAACCCCGGAGTAAGGCTCGACCTTGGCCAGACCTGCAGGCTGCGGAACCGGGGGCGCGCGGGCGCAGCGCAGCACAGCCCGGCCATGGAGCACGCGGTGGCCCCCTGCGTCCTCTACCCAGGGACTGAGCCCGGGGCTGCCGGGGAGAGCGAGAGCGAGGGCGCCGCGTCCCCGGCGCAGACACCCTGCAGTCTCGGCGCGTCCCTGTGCTTCAGCTCCGGGGAAGAGTCCCCGCCGCAGTCCCTCGCCTCAGCGGCGGAAGGCGCGGCCACCTCCCCGCCCTCCAGCGGTGGCCCGCGGGTGGTGGAGCGGCAGTGGGAGGCCGGCAGCGCGGGCGCCGCGTCCCCGGAGGAGCTCGCGTCCCCTGAGGAGCGCGCGTGCCCGGAAGAGCCCGCGGCGCCGTCCCCCGAACCGCGCGTTTGGCTTGAGGACCCCGCGTCCCCCGAGGAGCCCGGGGAGCCCGCGCCCGTACCCCCGGGGTTCGGGGCGGTGTACGGGGAGCCGGACCTGGTGCTGGAGGTGTCGGGGCGCCGGCTGCGCGCGCACAAGGCGGTGCTGGCGGCGCGCAGCGACTACTTCCGCGCGCGCGCGTCGCGGGACGTGCTGCGGGTGCAGGGAGTGAGCCTGACGGCGCTGCGGCTGCTCCTCGCCGACGCCTACAGCGGGCGCATGGCGGGCGTGCGGCCCGACAACGTGGCCGAGGTGGTGGCCGGCGCGCGCCGCCTGCAGCTGCCCGGCGCCGCGCAGCGCGCCACCGACGCCGTGGGGCCGCAGCTGAGCCTGGCCAACTGCTACGAGGTCCTGAGCGCGGCCAAGCGGCAGCGGCTGAACGAGCTGCGCGACGCCGCCTACTGCTTCATGAGCGACCACTATCTGGAGGTGCTGCGCGAGCCCGCCGTGTTCGGCCGCCTGTCGGGCGCAGAGCGGGACCTGCTGCTGCGCCGCCGCCTGCGCGCCGGCCGCGCCCACCTCTTGGCCGCGGCGCTCGGGCCGGCGGGGGAGCGCGCGGGCAGCCGGCCTCAGAGCCCCTCGGGGGACGCGGACGCGCGCGGGGACGCGGCCGTCTACTGCTTCCACGCGGCGGCCGGAGAGTGGCGCGAGCTGACGCGGCTGCCCGAGGGCGCGCCGGCGCGGGGCTGCGGCCTGTGCGTCCTCTACAACTACCTCTTCGTGGCGGGCGGCGTGGCGCCCGCGGGCCCCGACGGCCGCGCGCGCCCGTCCGACCAGGTCTTCTGCTACAACCCGGCCACGGACAGCTGGAGCGCCGTGAGGCCCCTGCGCCAGGCGCGCTCGCAGCTGCGGCTGCTGGCCCTGGACGGTCACCTCTACGCCGTGGGCGGCGAGTGCCTGCTCAGCGTGGAGCGCTACGACCCGCGCGCCGACCGCTGGGCCCCCGTGGCGCCGCTGCCCCGGGGCGCCTTCGCCGTGGCGCATGAGGCCACCACCTGCCACGGCGAGATCTACGTGTCCGGGGGCTCCCTCTTCTATCGCCTGCTCAAGTATGACCCGCGGCGCGACGAGTGGCAGGAGTGCCCGTGCAGCAGCAGCCGCGAGCGCTCGGCCGACATGGTGGCTCTCGACGGCTTCATCTACCGCTTCGATCTGAGCGGCAGCCGCGGCGAGGCGCAGGCGGCGGGGCCGAGCGGGGTCAGCGTGTCCCGATACCACTGCCTGGCCAAGCAGTGGAGCCCGTGCGTCGCGCCCCTGCGCCTCCCCGGCGGCCCCACGGGCCTGCAGCCCTTCCGCTGCGCCGCCCTGGACGGCGCCATCTACTGCGTGAGCCGCGCGGGCACCTGGCGCTTCCAGCCTGCCCGGGAAGGCGAGGCCGGCGGCGACGCAGGCCAGGGCGGCGGCTTCGAGGCGCTGGGCGCCCCCTTGGACGTCCGGGGTGTGCTCATCCCGTTCGCTCTCAGCCTGCCTGAGAAGCCGCCCCGAGGGGAGCAGGGCGCCCCGTAGGCCGGCGGGGTCGGCGGGCGTCTCCCTCGGCAGGGGTTTGCGGGGCCCAGGTCCCTTTGGGCCCGCGGAGGAGGACGTGGTGGGGAGTCGGGGCCGCTGGCCACGCTGGTGGTTTGGACACTTCGAAGGAGCCCCGAGGACGCTCTCAGGGCCGCTTTCGCTTTGCTTTCCTTTTGCTTGTCTTTGCTTCTGGGGGTGGATGCCTTGAGACCCAGGAGGTGTGCGGATGGGTCCCTTGACAGACAGGACACAGAGAAGGCTGTGGGATCCAAAGGGTCAGCCTCAGGGTACAGTGGGGGTTCCTGAGGCAGCCTGCAGCCGGCCCCGGGGTGTCCCGAACCCCGCAGAGCACCGAGGCTGTGCGCAGGAGCCTGGGACCCTCAAGTAGGTCGCCGCGAACTATCGGGGGAAGCACGCAGAGAGGGTCACGCCTTTTATTTTTGGCTTGAGATTTAAAATTATAACTGATAAGTAAAGCTCTTTCTGATTTAGTTGAAAATTTCGTACCATGTGCTCGCTTTGGTTGGCTCAACTCCAAAAAGAGTAATTTAATAAGCATTAAAGGTAAAATCTTTGATTACCAGTAAGGTTTCTTGTTCAATATGCATTGGAAGTATTTCCTTCCCCACACCATTGCTACTCAAACTCACATGCCTAGAGCAGCTCCGTCTCACTGTTGGACCGAGGGGGCTTTCATATTTTCAGTTGAAAGGATGTTAACTGATGTAGCGATGATTTACCATTATTTAAATTTTAAGTCTTCAGTGGCTAAATGTGACCAAACAGCACATCATAAGTAGGAAAAACTTACCAGGGTGCTTGTCTATCTAAAAAGCAATCTTTGATAGTCCACTCTGTATGCCCAGCCGCTTTCATAATCTGGAACGAGATAAAATATTCCTAAAAAGCGGGGAAAATCATTTTGCTTTGACAGTTCTATAAAAAAAAGTGTAGGCACATTTTAAACCCACTGTATATGATGTTTTCAATGTGGATCGTGTAGTTCTGATGAGGGAGATTAATTTTTACAATCAGTATTCTAAGTGTGGCCGAGTGACAGTGGGCATAGATTTATAACAAGGAAGTGACGTGCTTATCACCATAGATTTGCAAGTAAACTGCATGTATTTAATTGTATTGAATTGAGTTCCAAAATACCCTAATAGAATTAACACGAGGCTCACTGCATTGACAGGGTATGAGGATTAAAAACAAATCAGTTGGGTCGTTTCTCATTTAACATTTTACTTTTCAAGTGTGTATACAGAGGACTTACTATTATGACTTTGAGGATGAGATCCATGCTCACAAATAGAGGCGAACATTTGAACTCCGAATCCAACCCATTTTCTTACTGTAAGAGGAAAAGTTACTGGAACGTAACTAGTTGAAATCCTGCCTACTTTAATATTATTTGTTTGTTAATCCAGTAATGGGAACTGCCATCTCTGTAGAAATCAGTGGGTAATTGAAAAATAGGTTATGCTTTTTAAAGAGTCTGTGGTTATGAGAGGTCTCAGTTAAGTGTGTTTAGAAGTGATCAGCTTGAACCTTATGCATGACTCGGGGGCTGGAATTTATGATCTGGGTTACGGTATGTTCTGGGGACGTGTCTGCTTGCCCATGGTTACTCATGAACTGAGGGGATAGCTTGGCAACTTGGTTAATCATCTTGGGAAAGAAAAACAGACTTCATATCGCCTGACTTGATTGGCCTTTTATAGGAGTATACTGGAGAAATGGTTGTAGAAACAGTATTTACAGCAAAAGGAAACAAATAATGTTCATTTTAAGCAATGTACCATTCACACTGTCCTGCCTTTTCCTCTAGAATTTTATTAATGGTAGAAATTTTTATATGAAATGGGACCAGGACCAGGCTAATATTTTCAGTCCTTAAATATCAAACTCATATGCTGTTATCACTGTGATTTTACTTGTGAAATCATTCCTGTAATGTTTATTGTTTGAAAATGAAATATTGAAATTAGGCTTCCAGAGTAACACTGTCCCCGGAAAAGGATATGAGAAGTGGTGGATGTTGGATGGGGGTGGTTGCACAGTCCTGTGCGGTTCCCATGGCTTTCCAGCGTTTCATTTAGTGAAGGAATGCTCACACTAGATGTAGCACAGCTTCCTGTGGGGCCCGGCAGCAAAGCCCCAGGTGCTCCCTGTCACCTCACAACAAAATGCACTAAGAAACGTAAAGAATAAGAGGAATTAATACCCACCATTAAAGGATGTCCGGCCAACCTATTGTGGAAATTTATAGAATAGTATACACCACAGTTCTGAATAGTGATATCACATAAAAATACATACTAGAGGACCTGCCACGCCATGAGCAGTGTTTTTGCTTTTTGGGGGCCAGTCCCTGGGGTGTGGAGCCGCTAGGGTTTGCACCCATGAAACAGAGAAAAGCCACACCCTCCAAGGTGTGGCTTTCATTTTGGGACTGCTGCAGGGAGGGCAGAGGCATTGCTGAGACTGCCTGGCAACGGCTGATGCCCCAGGTAGGACCTTTTCCAATTCAAAGTGGTGTTCTAAGTCTGCGTCCAACACTGTGTAGGAAAAAGGTTGGTGCAAAAATATTCCTGGTCATCCACCCATTAAAATAGTTAGATGAGGCTATTGCCTTGATGACAGCTGTCCACACTCCTCATGAAATTAACCCGTATGCCGGGGCATTTCCAAATGTCTGACTCGTGAAATTAACCCATACGCAGGGGCCTTTCCAAATGTCTGAAAAGGCAGTGGTGTCTTTTGGGGAAAATGTTATGCATGGAAGCCTGACCTTTTGCTTAGTTGACAGCAATCCCTTCTGTATTGCCAATCAAGGTTCATTTGAGATGCAGAGGAATGAGCTTGAGCCTTCCTCCTTTTCCTTCCGGTTTTATTCTTCCTCTTGGGAACATCCCTCCACTCCGCACTGCTTCCTGCAGCTTTGTAGAGCTGGATTTGGAACTTCGGGATTTGGTTTCTGAGTCTGTGGAGGCACCGACTTCTGCTGTAAGAAAATGAATGTTGTGGAAATTCTTTGGCTACTTAACTAAAACTCGTGACTGTATAAGTTTGGCTACAAATAAGTAAGAAATTAATCATCTGCTCTGTTTCTGCTAATTTCTGGTGTCACTTCAGTAATTCTGGTAGCAGCCGTTGAATCTGTCAGTCTCTTAGGTAACTTCCTGTAAACGATTTGGAAATAGGATGTTTTCAACGTTCTTTTGTCTTTTGCTGAAGTCAGGATAGATTCAAGACATAATCTCTTGTAAGATCTAAATAGAGCAAATGTAAACAAAAGTGCATTTTTGTATTCTTGTTAATTTTAGATGCTTTCCTAGCTTACAAAAAGTTCTGTTTTTGGGTTAAAAATCAATCAACTTTCTGATATTTCCCCTTCTGCAATGTTATTGTTCATAAGAAAACACGAGCTGAAAATGGAAATCTGCAGTTGTTTCAGTTGTCTTGAATTTCTTTCAGTGGCCACATCATTTCCACGTTTTCCACATCCGGGAGGAAGCCTGGACTGTGCAGCCTTCGGGCACCCGGCACAGACACTGTGCTGGCAGGAGCTTCAGACACGCCAAGTGGATGGATTTGGATTGAACGCATATGAAACAGGAGACGGGTTCTCATGTGAGATCAAAGCTCCTCCAAAGCCTGTTCAAGCTCTAAGCGATTCTCAAATGTTACCATTTATTAAAGGTAAACTACACCTGTTGAAGGCCAAGTTCAGGGCAGCTGTTGTGATCTGTGTAGTTAATGTATTTATTAATGCTTGACTTTTAAAATCCTGGGCATAAATAGTGCAGAGCCTCGTATGTTTGTCAGTTCATGCCGAGATGAAATAAATCACGCAGAAAGTGCCAGTCCTCCTGATGTGCCCCGAGTGCTTTTCTCTTTCTCCACAGCGAGCGTCAGATGCGGCTTTTTCTCCTGTGAATCAGGGAGCGTAGCTCTGCCTGCGGGACCCAGGGTTGACACGTCCTGCCCGTTAAGTGAGGAACTGCCCTCACCGGCTCCTGAAGCTCCCCTGGCACAGAGGTTCTAAGTTGGGGTGTCTGTTCCCACTCCCAGGTGCCCTGGATTCCTCGGTCTGCTCACGGGTCCCAGCGGGGGATCACGGCACACCACCTAGGACCTCGGGAACACCAGGATGGGCTGCACAGGAGCAGGTGGAAGCCGAGGCCAGCGCCTAGACTTTGGTTCCTAGGGAAGGCAGGTTGGGGGAGCTGCTTCGCTGCACTGGTTTGTGTCCTTCCAGTGGGCTTTGTGCTATCACGGTGGTCTCCAGTTGCCTGGTACCGGGCCCAGGGGTGATACAGGGCAGGGCTTGTGTGTGAGAGTAGCTGAGGAGGGCTTGGGGGTGTGGACTGCGGCCAGTTGGTCTGGCCATGAGCTCCCAGCCAAGCCCTTCCCATCTCTAAGAATGAGCTGACTCAGGAGGACAGCCTGTCCCTGGCCAGGCCAGCAAGCTGTAAGATGCCAAAACATCACAAAGCACAGAAAATGAAAGAGGTGGTCAGTAGGACCGTCAGGCACAGTCCCCTGCCCCTGGAGTGGGTCGGGAGGTACCAGGGTGGGCAGGGAAGAGCATTAGGGCCATCCCACGTCTTCCCCGGTGTCCTGTCCCCTTCCACCAGCAGCACCTCCTCCATGAAATTTCCCAGTTGCAGTGGGGCTTGGGGGAACTAATGTAGAACATGTCCTCCCGCCCACCCCCCAGGTAAGAACGAACTGAGAAACGGCTCAGCAGCCAGGCAGGTGGGACTCACAGCCACTGCTTCACCCGCAGGGGCTGTGCCAGAGAGTGGTGCTGGGTTTGTTGCCACGTGGGCTTGTGAAGGCCACCGGAGTCAGTGCACACATCCTACCACCCCAGGGGGTCATATGCACTCAGCCCCCACCCCAGGGTGTCAGATACACTCAGCCCCACCCCAGGGTGTCACTTGCACTCAGCCGCACCCCAGGGGGTCATATGCACTCAGCCCCTACCCCAGGATGTCAGATGCACTCAGCCCCCACCCCAGGGTGTCAGATGCACTCAGGCCTATCCCAGGGTATCAGTTGCACTCAGCCCCCACCCCAGGGTGTCAGATGCACTCACCCCCCCACCCCAGGGTGTCAGATGCACTCAGCCCCAACCCCAGGGGGTCAGATGCACTCAGCCCCCACCCCAGGGTATCAGATGCACTCAGCCCCCACCCAAGGGTGTCAGATGCACTCAGCCCCAATCCCAGGGGGTCAGATGCACTCAGCCCCCCACCCCCTACAGGGTATCAGGACACCAGGACTCCTGGAGGATGCAGCTCCCAGAACTCCCTGTGAGTGAGCACAGAGCCCTGCTCCTGGGGGGCAGGTCCCATGGGAGAGCCCAGATGTGAGGGAAGGGCTGCTCCCCACATTCCTCCCCTGGGGAGAAGAGGCTGGGGTAGGAGCTGCAGAGAGGCCAGGACCAGGAGCCTCAGAAATTTCCTTGCAATGGAAACAGGCCTGGAGCCACGTTCCCCGGGGATGCACCTGTCCTCTCGTGGCCACTCCATGTCCTGGGGGAGCACAGGGGTAGGTGCCTTTGCATGTTTCTGAGCCGTTGGAGCTTAGAGATCACTCTCTGCCCTCAGACTGGGCTGAGGTCGGATTAGAATGTTAAATACCAGGCAGGGCCTCGTATTTAACCACTGGGGTCTTCAGGACCCCGTGGCCTCCAGCGTCTCCAGTGCCGACCCCAAGGCCCAAGTGTGGGCCTCGAACCCAGCTCGACACAGGAGGGGTGGCCTCGAGCCCCGCACCCGCAATGGAAAAGGACACGGGCCTCACAGGCTCCTGGGGTCTTCACTGAGACAGCTGAGGAAGAAAACGGTCTGGAGCCGATGAAAGGCGTGGCCAGGATGAGGGAGGAAGACGCTCCTTCCCGTCCCGTGTGCTTGAGGCGTGGGCCGAGTGAACGCTGTGGTGAGACCTGGTGCTCCTGCATGTCGCCACCACCCTGCCCTCAGAGCAGATAAGGCCATGGCCGTGACGACACCCAGCCATCGGGCCACCTGGGCTTCTTTCTTCCTCTGATCCGAAGACACCCTCCTCCACCCTCACCTGGCCTCCTACCAAGGAAAAGTTTGAGTTGAAAACCTGTAGACACAAACATTTTTCTTTTTTCTTTTTCGTGTGCTTCTTTTTTTTGTGATGGGGTCTCCCTCTGTTTCTCCCTCTGTCGCCCAGGCTGGAGGGCAGTGGTGCACTCTCAGCTCACTGCAGCCTCCAACTCCTGGGCTCAAGTGATCCTCCCGCCTCAGCCTCCTGAGTAGCTGGGACCACAGGTGCATGCCACCATGGTCAACTAATGTTTTTAGTTCTGGTAGCGATGGGGTCTCACTGTGTTGCCCAGGCTTGTGTCAGACTCCTGGCCCTAAGCTGTCTTCCTGCCTCAGCCTCCCAAAGTACTGGGATTAAGGTGTGAGCCACTGCAGCAGGCCCAAACGTTTCTAGACACAATTTGTACTTGAGCCAGAACCAAGTGTTATTGTTCATTTGTCAGGGGTCTTGAAAAAATTATTTTTCCTCTTAAAATCTTTATTTTTCATGCACTCAGCCCCAACCCCAGGGGGTCAGATGCACTCAGCCCCCACCCCAGGGTGTCAGATGCACTCAGCCCCACCTCAGGGTATCAGCTGCACTCAGCCCCAACCCCAGGGGGTCAGATGCACTCAGCCCCCCACCCCAGGGGGTCAGATGCACTCAGCCCCCACCCCCCACAGGGTATCAGGGCACCAGGACTCCTAGAGGATGCAGCTCCCAGAGCTGCATCCCAAAAAAAGGAATGTTGCTAAAAGTATATTCGTAAGCAGAGTGGAGACAGAAGCTCTCCAACCTGAAGTTGTTATCTTAGTTTTTCTCATAGCATTTTCTTCTGTGGAAATAGAATTCTGTTTGAACTCTTCTATGGCGTCACCATTTTCCCCTGCTGAGCTTTAGGATTTTTATAATAAATGAGAATGGTTTTCTTAGCTGAGTATTTTGAATATTTTAAACCTGATATAACACCAGGAAACACGTGGGCCTTTTAGACTGAGGCAATGAATCTTATAAATTGAGGCAAAAGAAAGAAGTGAGAACAATTTGCAGAAGTCTAATATTCTTGCTCAGTGAGAAAGGGGGACTTTTCACCTCTTCAGACAAATGAAATTAAAGCTATTCGTCTCCCCCCAACCCCCAATTTTTTTTTAGACAGGGTCTCACTCTGTCACCCAGGCTGGAGTGCACTGGTGCAGTCTTGGCTCACTACAACCTCCGCCTCCTGGGTTCAAGCTATTCTCTGCCTCAGCCTCCCGAGTAGTTCAGATTACAGGCGCACACCATCGTGCCCGGGTAATTTTTGTATTTTTGGTAGAGATGGCATTTCACCACGTTGGCCAGGCTGCTCTGGAACTCCTGACCTCGAGTGATCCGCCTGCCTTGGCCTCCCAAAGTACCAGAATTATAGGCATGAGCCCGCGCCCAGCGCAATTAAACCTATTTGTGCACAGAAGAGCTGACTGTGCTCAGTTCCTCGGAGGTCTTGAAGGAGGCGTGTTAAGGCCCTCCCTTCAGAGCCCATCTTGCTGGCATCACCGTGTACCATGCCACGCTAGGGTCTTGACACAGTGATGCGGCCCTGCTGCTGGTGGGCCACGCTGTGTGGCAAACACCTTAGAATGTGTTCTCACGCCCTAAAGATGCGTCCAAACGCTTCAGCAGCAGAAACTGAACAGTTGAATGCACACAGCTGCGGGCTGATGAATTCATCATCCAGGCCTGCTCCCTGAGAGCTCCGGAGGGCGGGAATGGGTCGTGGAGCCTGGGTCGTCAATCCCCACACCTGAGAGCTCTGGAGGGCGGGAATGGGTCGTGGAGCCTCGGTCATCAATCCCCACAGCACGCTCCTCACTAATGGTTGTGACTCAGTAGGTAAAACGCTGGCGGTCGCTCACAGTTCATTATTGCAGCTCTGTTTTCTGCTGTCTGTATAGTCTGGGACACGCCACTAAGCCTCATCAACGTTCTTAGTTTCATGTTCCTAAAATCTGAATCAGAGCAGTCCCCAGAGTGCTAATGAGACGGCTGTGTGGAGATAGCCATGGCAGAGTCCAGCCTCTGGGCCCGGAAGAGTCACTGCAGCTACTCCTTAAACACAGGGATTCTGTGTCCTGACATGAGAGATTCTCACGTGCTATATCCCGGATGCAGCCAGAGATGTGCATTTCAACAGGGAATTCAGAGGTGAGTGCTCGCATTGCCACGCTGTTAAAAACGCTATTGTAGGACCTCCCAGCAGGTGGCTGAATCTAAGCACGTTTAGGATCGCTGTCCGTGTGGAGCTCGCCAGGTGGTTGGTGTCCTCCCCACACGCTCTCCTGGCAAAGATACTTGTGGCTATTAACTTGGATCACCCCGAAGAGACTGTGGCTTGTCACAAACCCCATGTAGGATAAAAGAAGGCATTTAGGCATTGAAAACAAACCCTCTTACAGTAAGAGAATCCCAAACAGTTCCCAGGAACTGCAATGTGAACAGCCTGACCAAGCCACGGTGGGCTGAGGAAGCAGAGACTCCGTAGCACCTGAGGACCTCAGCCGCCCATCCTGACAGGTGCAAGTGCGCACCTGTAATCCCAGCTACTCAGGGGGCTGAGGCAGGAGAATCGTTTGAACCTGGGGGGTGGAGGTTGCAGTGAGTTGACATTGCACCACTGCCCTCCAGCCTGGGCTACAGAGTGAGACTCTGTCTCAAAAAAAAAAAAAATCTGGCTGAAATCTCCTTCTTGTAACTTTGCCTGTCACAAATTTAGCTTTCTAGTTCAAAATGTACTTGAGGTGAGGTCCCTGTGTGAATCACTGTGAGAGGATTTATGACTCCGTAAAGTGGGACACCCACGCTTAAGACGCTTACAGAGAGTGACAGAGGCGATGAGCTCATAGTAAAATAAAGCGGAGGGGAGTCCAGCCTGCAAGAGCGGCACCGAGTCCTCTAATACTTACTCGCAGCCAGGAGCCCGTAAGGACACAGAGAAGCAAGCCTCTAGCTGCTGGAACAGATGTCCCCAGCTCCAAGAAGCCACACAAACATCCTGTGTTCTCACGTCATCTTTGTTTGTAATCTAAGTATCGTTCTCACATGCACGACTGTCATTTCTAGGCTCACAAAGCAGATGATTAAGAGCAGAAATGCGGTGGCCACAGGGACACAGTAGGTTGTCCCGCGACGAGCCAGTGACAGGAGGAGAGGGAAGGAAAATGGCAGCTGGGGGTCCGGAACGCAGAGCAGTGTTTACTTTCGGCATCCAGTTTTGTGCTTGGTAAAGTCTTAAGGGCGGGAGGTTGATAATAGTATTATGATATTAACTGCAGATCATAAAACATCAAATTCTTTTTAGCATTCTTTGATCATGAGCCAAAGAAGATTTTATTTTTCAGACAAGTTTTAGGCTCACAGCTAAATTTAGAGGAAGGTTCAGAGTTGCCGTAAGTCGCCTGCCCCCAACACATATAGTGTAAACCCCACTGTAAACACCCTTGCCAGAGTGGGGCGTTTTTACATCAATGAACCTACAGCTCATCACCAGCCAGAGTACACAGTTTACATAAGGGCTCACTCTTGGTGTTGTGAGTTCCATGGGGTTGGACAAATGTGTAATGACATGGATCGGCTGCATCATTGCCAGAGCTCAATTGTAAGATCATATCATCTGCAAACAATGAGAATTTGACTTTTTGCATTCCATTGTGGATGTCCTTTATTTCTTTCTCTAGGAAAGGACCTTCAGTAGTATGTTGAATAATAATGGTGAAAGTGGTCATCCTTAGCCAGGTGTGGTGGCTTATGCCTGTAATTCCACCACTTTGGGAGGTCGAAGAGGGTGGATCATTTGAGGTCAGGAGTTTGAGACCAGCCTGGCCAACATGGTGAAACCCCATTTCTATTAAAAATACAAAACTTAGCCAGGCATGGCAGTGGGCAAGCTACTTGGGAGGTTGAGGCAGGAGAATTATTTGAACCTAGGAGGCAGAGGTTGCAGTGAGCTGAGATTGCACCATTGTACTCCAGCCTGGGTAACAGAGTGAGAATCCATCTCAAAAAACCAAAAAAAATTGGGAATCTTTGTCGTGTTCCAGATCTTCAGAGAAAGGCTTTCAGTTTTTCCACATTTATTGTGTTCCGCTTTTATTGTGTTGAGATATTTTCCATCTATACCCAGTTTTTTGAGAGTTGTTATCATGAAGAATGTTGAATTTTATCAAATGCTTTTCAAGCATCAATTGAAATGATCAGATGCTTGTTGCCCTTCATTCTGTTGAATGATATATCACATTGATTGATTTGCCTATCACAAACCATCCTTGCATCCCTGGGATAAATCCCCTTTAGTCATGTTGAATGTCTTTTTAATATATTATTCAATTTGGCTTGCTAGTATTTTGTTGAGGATTTTTGCATCAATGTTCATTGGGGATACTGGCCTGTAGTTTCTTTTTTTTGATGTGTCTTTGTCTGATTTTGGTATCAGGGCAATACTGGCCTTGTAGAATGAGTTTGGAAATTTTCCCTCCTCCTCTAATTTTTGGAATAGTTTGAGGAAGATTGGTATCAGTTCTTTGTTAAATGTTTGGTAACATTCTGCAGTAAAGCCATTTGGGAGGTCGAAGAGGGTGGATCATTTGAAGTCAGGAGTTCGAGAAGAGCCTGGCCAACATGGTGAAACCCCATTTCTACTAAAGATACAAAACTTAGCCAGGCATGACGGTGGGCAACTGTAATCCCAGCTACTTGGGAGGTTGAGGCAGGGTCCTGGGCTTTTCTTTGCTGGGACTTTTTATTATGGCTTCACTCTTGTTACTTGTTATTGGTCTGTCGGGTTTTGGATTTCTTCATGATTCAATCTTGGTAAGTTGTATATGTCTAGGAGTTTGCCCATTTCTTCTAGCTTTTCCAATTTATTGGCCTATAGTTGCTCATAGTAGCCTCTAAAGACCTTTTGAATTTCTGCAGTATTGGTTGAAATGTCTCCTTTTTCATCTCTGATTTTATTTATTTTGGTCTTCTTTCCTTTTTTCTTAGTCTGGCCAAAGGTTTGTAGATTTTATCTTTGCAAGTAAAAAACTTTTCATTTTGTTGATGTTTTGCATTGTTTTCTTCATTTCAATTTCGTGTATTTCTGCTCTGATATTTATTCTATTCTTCTTTTAATTTTGCGTTTGGTTTGCTTTTGCTTTTCTAGTTCTTTAAGAGGCATTGTGAGGTTGTTTATTTGAGGTTTTTCTACTTCGTTGATGTAGGTGCTTATAGCTATACACTTTCCTCTTAGTACTGCTTTTGCTGTATCCCGTAGGTTTTGGTATGTTTTGTTCCATTATTATTTGTTTCAAGATATTTTTCAGTTTCCTTGTTAATTTTTTCATTGACCCACTGGTTATTCAGGCAGATATTTAATTTCTATGTGTTTGTATAATTTCCAAAATTCCTGTAGTTATTGATTTCTAGTTTTATTCTATTGTCATCCGAAAAGTTACTTGATGTAATTTCATTAAAAAAATTTTTTTGAGACTAATTTTGTGGCCTAACATATCGTCTATCCTTAAGAGTGATTCATGTGCTGAAGAGAAGAATGTGTATTCTGCAGCTCTTGGGTGAAATGTTCTGTAAATAACTATTAGATCCATTTAGCTTATAGTGCAGATTAAGTCCGATGTTTGTTTTTTGATTTTCTATCTAGATGCTGTCTGATGCTGAAAACGGGGTGCTGAGGTCCCAGCTATTATTGTGTTTGAGTTTCTCTCTCTTTTTTAGCTTGAATAATATTTGCTTTATATATCTAGGTGCTCCAGTTTCAGGTGCATATATATTTACAATTGTTTTTTTTCTGAGATGGGGTCTTGCTCTGTCGCCCAGGCTGGAGTGCAGTGGCATGATCTCAGCTCACTGCAAGCTCCGCCTCCTGGGTTCATGCCATTCTCTTGCCTCAGCCTCCCGAGTAGCTGGGACTGTAGGCACCCACCACCACACCCGGCTAAATTTTTCTATTTTTTAGTAGAGATGGGGTTTCACCGTGTTAGTCAGGATGGTCTCAATCTCCTGACCTTGTGATCCGCCAGCCTCTCTATATTTACAATTATTATATCCTCTTGCTGAATTGACTCCTTTGTCATTATATAATGACCCTGTTTGTCTCTTTTTATAGTTTTAGTCTTGAAATTTATTTTGTCTGATGTATGCATAGCTATTCCTGTTCTTTCTGATTTCCATTTGCATGGAATATCTTTTTCCATGTCTTTATTTTCAGTAGTGTGTTTCTTTATAGGTGAAGTGTGTTTCTTGAAGGCAACAGATCACTGAGTCTTGGTTTCTTAGTCCATTCACCACTATGTGCCTTTCGATGGGTGAATTTAGGCCATTTATATTCAATATTATTATGATAAGTAAGGAGTTACTTCTGCTATTTTATTATTTATTTTCTGGTCTTCCTTTCCTTCATTTTTTCCATCCTGTGTTCTTTTTAGTGAAGGTGATTTTCTCTGGTAGTGTGTTTTAATTTCTTGCTTTTTGTATATGTGTGTTTTTTTTTTGTATCCATTGTATGTTTTTTGATTTGAGATTATCACGAGGCTTGCAAATAATTCCTTATAACCCATTATTTTAAACTGATGACAACTTAACATTGATTGTATAAACAGCCAATCTAACCAACAAACAAAGAGAAAACTAATAAAAACCCTACACTTTAACTTTGTCCCCCTGTTTTAAACTCTTTATTGTTTCTATTTTTATCCTGTTGGACTATCTATGTCTTGAAAAGTTGTTATAGTTATTATTTTAATTGGTTCATCTTTTAGTCTTTCTACTCAAGGTACGAGTAGTTTTCCCATCACTATTACGTGTTATGAGATTCTGTGTTTTTCTGTGTATTTACTATTACCAGTGAGTTTTGCACCTTCAGATGATTTCTTATGGTTCTTCAATCTCCTTTCCTTACAGATTGAAGAACTTCTTTTAGTATTTCCTGTAGGACAGGTTTAGAGTTTAAGAAATCCCTCTGCTCTTTTTTTGTCTGGGAAAGCCTTTATTTCTCCTTCATATTTGAAGGATATTTTCACTGCTTATGCTATTTTAGGATAAACGTTTTTTCCTTCAGCACTTTAAGTATATCATGCCATCCTCTTCTGGCCTGTAAAGTCTCCACTGAAAAGTCTGCTTCGAGATGGATTGGAGCTCCATTGTATGTTATTTTTTTCTTTTATCATGCTGCTTTTAGGATCTTTTCTTTATCCTTGAACTTTAGGAGTTTGATTATTAAATGCCTTGAGACATTATTTGGGTTAAATCTATTTGGTGTTCTGTAACCTTCTTGTACTTGAATATTGATATCTTTATCTAGGTTTGGAAAGTTTTCTGTTATTATCCCTTTGAATAAACTTTCTACTCTAACCTCACTCTCTCTGTCTCCTCTTTAAGGTCACTACCTCTTAGATTTGAGCATTTGAGGCTATTTTCTAGATCTTATAGGCGTGCTAAGTTCTTTTCTATTTTGTCTTCTCTGACTGTGTATATGCAAATAGTCTGTTGTCAAGCTCACTAATTCTTTCTTCCGCTTGGCCAGTTCTGCTGGTAAGAGACTCCAGTGGATGATTCAGTATGTCAATTGCATTTTCAGCTCCAACATTTCTGCTGGACTTTTTAATTATTTCAATCTCTTTGCTAAATTTATGATAGGATTCTGAATTCCTTCTCTGTGTTATTTCAATTTTCTTTGAGTGTCTTCAAAACAGCTATTTTGAATTCCTTTTCTGAAAGGTCATATACCTCTGTCTCTGCAGGATTGGTCCCTGGTGCCTTATTTAGTTTGTTTGGTGAGGTCATGTTTTCATGGATGGTCTTGATGCTTGTGGATGTTTATCAGTGTCTGGGCACTGAAGAATTAAGTATTTATTGTAGTGTTCACAGTCTGGGCTTGTTTGTACCTGTCCTTCTTGGGAAGGTCTTTCAGGTATTCAAAGGGACTTGGGTGTTAGAATTTAAGTTTTCAGTCATTGCAGCCATATCTTAGGGGGCACCCCAAGCCCAGTCATGCTGTGGCTCTTGCAGACTTGTAGGGGTACTGCCTTGGTGGTCTTGCAGAAGATCCAGAAGAATTCTCTGGATTATTGGGAAGAGATTCTTGTTCTATTCCCTTACTCTCTCCCAAACAACTGGAGCTTCTCTCTGCATGCAGAGCTGCCTGTAGCTTGGGGAAGAGTGACACAAGCATCCCTCTGGTCACCACCACTGGGATTGTGCTGGTCATACCTGAAGCCAGTACAGTACTCACACAAAGCCCATGGTAACCACTGACCAGCTACTGCCTAATTTGCTCAATCAGCAGGTGGCACAGCCAACCAGGCTTCTTTCCTTCCCTTTAGGGCAGTGAGTTTCCCCCAGCCCTGGGCAGGTCCAGAGATACCATCTGGGAGCCAGGGACTAGAGTTGGAAACCTTAGGAATCTAGCTGGTGCTTTATTCTACTACAGCTGAGCTGGCATCCAAGCCACAAGACAAGATCCTTCCCTCCCATTTTCACAGGCAGAGAAGTCTCTCCCCGTGGCCACCATTGCTCCCAACCTGCAGCGAGTACTGCCTGGCTACTGTCAGTGTTCACTCAAGGCCCAGGGGCTCTTTATTCAGTGTGTGATGAATGCTGCCAGGCCTAGAACTCTCCTTTCAGGGCAGTGGGCTCCCCTTTGGCCCAGGGCAGGTCCAGAAATGCTTTCCAGGAGCCAAGGCCTAGGACTGGGGACCCCAAGAGCCTGCTTGGTGCTCTACCCTACTGTGGCCAAGATGGTACTGAGACAGAGTACCCATATTCTTCCCTCTTCTTTTCTCCAGCAGAAGGAGCCTCTCCTCTTAGCCATCACAGCTTGGAATGTGCTGGGTCACACCTGAAGCCAGCATGTCTTACAGTCTCACCCAAGGCCCCCGGCATGTACTACCTGGCTACCGCTGCTGATTATTCAGGGCCCAAGGGCTCTTTAGTCAGCAGGTGACAAATCCTGCCAGGACTGGGTTCTTCTCTTCAAGGCACTGGATTCCCTTCTGGCCCAGGGTGTGTCTAGAATTGTCATCCAGGAGCTAGGGCCTGGAATGAGGGCCTCAGGACTCTGTGCCCTATTCTACTGTGGCTGAGTATCCAAGTTGCAAGACAAAGGCCTCCTCAGGTTTCCCTCTCCTCTCCTCAGGGGAAGGACGAAGTCTCTTCAGGAGCTGTGAGCTGTGCTGCCTGGGGTAGGAGAAGGGGTTGCACAAGCACTCCCTTGGCTGCCCTGGCTGATATCTCACTGGGTCATGTGTCCCCCCAGTCCATTGACTCTGAGCTCAGCACAGCACCAGGACTTGCCCAGGAGTTGCAGTCCTTGTGGTCTAGGCTGCCTTTTAAGTTTATATGGGACTCCAGAGCACGTTAGCACGTGGCGGGGGGGCTTGCTAGAACTCAGGTTCCGACCACTGCGGTGGGTGATTCCCAGTGTTGCTTTCCACTGTGACAGCAAGGTTTTCTGGGATGCACCAAGCCTCTTGGATATAATGGCTTTCTAACTACACTGTGATGCCAAGTCATGTTTCCACATGTGGCCCTCAGCACAAAGCATCCTGACACGTTCTCACCAACACTTGCTTTGATGCAACTTTTCCATTTGTCTCCATCAGATAGGAAACTAAAATCTCTTGTTTTAATTTGCATTTCTCTGCCACCTTGTGGGACTAAAAGTGCCTTCATTTACTGGTTAACCACTCACTTCTGTGACCAGCCCATTTAGCTTCTTTGTATTTTTTCTTTGTTGTTTTCTGTGGATTTATAATTTCTTGTAGATTTAGATATTACCATTTTATGTATTTTAGAAATGTTAAATATATTCTTCCACATAACTGTTAGCATTTTTTGGTGGGATATTTTATTGAATAACAATCCTTAATTGAATATCATTGAATATCAAATCCAATACTTTTTTTCCTGATGGTTTCTCTTTTTGGGGTTAATCATTAATCTTTTAACAATGAAAATATTTAATATTTGTTAATAGTAGTATGCAATATGTAAACTCCCTAATCTCTTAACTTATTGTCAAGATTTCTTATAAGAGGAAATAAGAATAGATTTTATATAAGAAACTCTGCCTCCACGCATGTTCTCTTAATATACGGAGGTGTACAAACCGCTATTCAAGTTAATACACAAATAAGTCATCAAGAATGTGCTATGTCCTACAACAGAAAGTTGTGGGGAGCCTCACAGCTTACAGTGAGGGCGCCTGGAGGAAACCCCGGCTGTCTCACATCTGCAAGTGAGGGAGAGCTGTGCTCTGACTGAAGAGAAGTGTCACATAAAAAGATGAAGACTTTTATTGTAGGAGGGACGTCAAATGAACATTTGAAAAAATGAATGTAAATCTTAAGTTTCATTAGAATACAGCATGTTTCCTTGCACTTACATATGGCCTTCAAAAGACAAAACCTAAAACAAGAATCAGGAAAAGGAATCAAAATTGGACACTAAACAGGACTGTCAACACCTAAGTCATAACCAATAGGTGGTGTCGAATTAGGATACGCTTGAGAAATGGGGTTTGAAAGAGAGTTGTCTGTGAGAGATGCTAAACAATAAACAGCACCAGGCTTATAAAACACCTTCCCAAATCACATAGAACAAAGCATCTTCTATGAATGGTGCAGGCTGGATGTCACAGCCTCCTCTTCCCCCAAGGCCTGTAAAATGAAGTCAGTTTTAAACTCGGAATTGAACATTGTCACACAATTTAGGTATCAGCTATCACTGACGGTGGGAGACTTCAAAATAATTTTGCACGTTCACAGACTTTATAGCTAATCCTGTGAGCAACTCGGCGTGTGGCCTACATACCTGTGAAGAATTGTCACAGTGATTTCCAGATCCAGAATGTAATTTGCCCAAAACCAGGCTTCCAACCTTGACACATTTATTCCACCCGTTAAACACCTGTGTGCGCATAAAGACATCTCGGGAGCTGTCGTCCCTCCATCAAATCACAGGCTCGGGTGTGACGGTGTGAGCTTCCTGGACTTTCAAGCAGATTGAGTAGCTCAGTCGGAGGGAGAAGCTTAGAGACGAGTGAGATTAAAATGTGAAGCTATTTGTTTTTCTGAAAATTTGATGTTACCCTTTGCAGCACAGTCTTCAAAGTTTCTTCTGCCTCCATGGCATAATTTGGAAAATCTCTGAAACGTCAAATGGTCCTAATGTAATTGACCTTACATACACAATCTAAGAAAAAATGTAATCTATCAAAAAGATACAGCCTGTCCATTAACAAAATCGCCATGTCGTGTCATCCTTCAAATACATGCAGAAGCCAGAACAGTCACATTTTCTCTTTGGTTTTAGACAACAGACCCTGCTGGAGTCATAATACAGGACAAGTTGATACAAAATCTATTTAATTAAAGTTGCCCTTTTCCTTGAGATGAATTTCCTGGGAGTTATGAGGTCAAGCATGGTTCCCTTTCCAGCTAAATAGCTGCCCAACAGCTGTTGCTATTTGGAACATGTTTACTCCTAAAACCGCTCTGTAGTTCTGTGGTTCACATGGTGTCTTAGTCTTGCTGACACTGTGGTGCTGTGTGGCTCTAACGTCAAATTCCATTGTGACTGAGGAATGAACTACAGGCCTTGTGCTTTCCTGACAGTCCCCTCCGAGGGGACAGAGTGCCACAGAGTCACCTAGAAACAGCCTGGACGGGCACAGATAGCAAGACGTGCACCTGCGCAGCCCGGGACTCTCCTAGCGGGGCAGGGCAGAGCCAGCAGGGAGTCAGCACTCAGCCTGCAGAGGCGCTGGGCACCGGACGCTGATGCAATAAAAGCACTTCACATTTTCTATGGAAACTGGCTTTGGCAATTTCCATTTGTTTTCTTTTTCTGCTGTTCTGCCGCCTCCCAGGCCCTTTCCTTGTGAGGATGTGCAGAAAGGACGTCTCTGGCTCTCTGGCGAGCTCTGCACCCCAATGCTCCCCCCACCTTCCCTGTCACAGATCCCCCTCTGTGCAGACAGAGATGCAGAACACAGAACAGAGAGTGCCCATTGTCTTCCCCTGTGTGTAGAAGGGATGGGGACCAGGGATTGAGGACAACAGCCCATTCTCTGCACCGTCCAGACCTTGGAACCCGCTCCCTGTCTCCCCCGTGGCACTCAGGGAACACATCGGAGAAACTCTTGGTGGCCTCTGCTGTTTAAAGAGGTCATCGCAGTGAAGAAAAGAACATGAAGTTGTTAATTCCTTATGCTTTTTGTTAACTATTCCAGGATTTCCTTTGAAGTTCCTTTCTGTGTTCTTTTGAAAAGGTCAAGCTATGGGGCTGAGTGATTTGTAGCTGGAGTTGTGGACTCGTTCTGTGACCCTGGACCCTTAGGCATGGCTGGGCCTTCTGCCTCACTCTGTCTATCTGACTCCTCTGTCTAGTTAAATGTCTAATCATTCTCGTGGCACAATGCAAACGCTCCCCCGTTTGTCGTTTGGGTTGAACACATCAGATATTTGGATTCTGGGTACGGCTGGATAATATCAAAGCGTTTCTGGAGGTAATTCTTTCAGTCAGCACTGAGCTCTGGGTGTACAGCGGGGCAGAGATGAATCAGCACCCAGCTCCAGCTGTGCAGCCGGGCAGAGATGAATCAGCACCCAGCTCCAGCTGTGCAGCCGGGCAGAGATGAATCAGCACCCAGCTCCAGCTGTGCAGCCGGGCAGAGATGAATGAGATGCAGTCGTGGCTCATCCCACTGTCGGGGCGGCCGGGAACTGAAAACGACCCCATCCAGTGAGGCCCGGCAGGCATGGCCTGCTGGCGAGGGTGGCACCAGAGTTTGGGATGGAGCCGAGTTGAGGGGACCTAGGGAAGGCATCCTGGAGGAGGAGGCCAAGCCGAGAGAGCCTGGGATGCCAGGGGCTGTGAGCAGGGACCAGCCTGGCAGGGGTGAGGAGCATGGCTGAGGCTGGGGACCTGGAGTGGGCATCTCTGGAGATGCCAGGTGGGCTGAGAGGGAGGAAGGACAGTGAGGCCCAGTGAGACTCACCTAGCGTGTGCTGCACTGTGTGTGAAGCCACCAGACTTGGAAGGACCATCGCCAGCTGGGCCAGAGCACTAGGGACCTACTCAATGCCATGAATGTGTCAGGGTGGGTAGAACCAGGGCTACCTCTAGGCAACAATGCACCACGTCCTAGTACCCACAGCCAGGGGATCAGGGCCTGGGTAGCACTCGCCCAATTGACATGCGTGAGCTCTGTGCTCCTTCACCCGACATGCGCGGGCTCCGTGCTCCTGCACCTGGTGTCCATGGGCTCTGTACTCCTGCTGAGGCAGTGCTGGGCGTCGGCACTGATCATGGCCAAGGTTGGAGGAGGCATCTCGTGGGAGGCCTGCAGGTCCCAGGAGGGTGGAATCAAGGCAGCCAGCCTGAGCCCAGGGTGGAGGCTCTGCCTTCCCAACGGGGGCAGGACCCAGAAGAAGAGTGAGGCCACAGAGGCAGATCCTGGCCAGGCCCCTGGAAGACAGCAATGTGCTGAGAACCTTCCTTGAGAAAGAGTGGAGGCCCCGGTGACCACAGCATCATGACTGCTGAGGGACAGGACCAGAGAGTCTTCTTCCTAATTGCTCCCCTCTCCCTTTCTCCATTTCCCCATAAACCCTTGAAACAGAGGAGCCTGTGCGTGTGCTTGCCCTTGGGGCAGCCAAGAAGTGGCAGCAGAGAGGCCTGCCTTCCACAAGGCACAGCAGCAGGGACCACGAGTGACCTGGGAACACTGGCCCCAGCCTCCCTGCCTCCCTCTGTCTGCCCCGGCCTCCGCACCCAACAGTTGTGAGATGTCGGTGTTTCTGTTGCTAGGCATTCCTGTTGCTGCGCAGCAGCCGGGGCTGGGACAAAGGACTCGCTCTTCTAATGTTTAAAGCGCAAAGCGAACCACGTGTGGGCCCAGCCGGCCCTCAGGAGGAGCTCCGCGGCTCCTCCCATCTGACAACTCCCCCGACCTGCTGGGCACTGAGGCCTCTGCTGCGGGGGTTGCCGGTGCCACTTCCCCTCTCCACAGCCGTGCGGTGCCCAGCTTAGCTCACGTTCACAGTTCTTTCAGCAGATGTAGCCGTGGACAGCAGCCTGGTTACAGTGGGATGTGCAGCTGGCCGACCCCCTCTAGCCATCCTGCAAGTCACTGTGAACGCCCTCACGCTCCAACAGCAAAGCCACTGCTCAGAAAGAGGCTGGGCTCCTGCACACCTGCCAGCGATGGCTACCCGTGTCCATCCTGTTCACTGAAGGGGAGCGGCTCCTGGAGGGTGAAGCCGCTGTGGTTTGAGGGTGAAGCCACTGTCGTTTGAGCCCTCGGCCCGGACGCAGCTGATGCACCAGCCACAGAAGCACGGAGGAGTCAAGAATGGGAAGGACAGAAACGGTTCCTGACCTCGGGAGCTGGAGGTTGAGTGGGTTCGTCTAAAAACCAACTGAATAGTAAATGGGTGAATTAGCATAATGACGAATGCATATCGATCAGTGTTTCAGAAAACTGCATGCTTTTCATCACCAGTTTTGATTGATGACGAGGTTATGTAAGCAATTACTCAGAATGATCACAAGTCGTGATTATGCTAGGAAGGGGAGCGTGAAGGGTGCCGTGCTTGAGACTGGATGGGACGCGGCCCGGGGAGAGGAGGCTCTGGGGGCTTTGAGAAGCGACGGGGCCATAGGGCGGAGCGGGCCTGGGCTGCAGGGGAGGAAGCAGCAGGGGCCTCGGGCCCGCGGGAGCTGGGCAGGGATGGAGGCTCTGCAGGGAGGAGGAGGGAGGCTTGCGGCCTTCCCAGGGCCACGGGCCAGGAGGGGGAGGCGGCCGGGCTGGGTCAGAGCCGAGGAGAGGGCGGCATCGGGAGCTGTTCTCAGAGGGGCCGAGTGACAGGAGGCCGTTTCTGGGTCTGGGTTCTCACCGTAAAAGAAGACGGTAGAACACAGTTCTCAACACGGGCCTCCTGCTCGGAGGTGATGTGATTCAGACCGCGGCTCCAGGGTCTCGAAAATTTCCGCGTAACCAGGAACCGCAGGTCGAAGGCCAGTACCGCATCCAACACCGCCATCTGCTGGTGAGCGGGAAACATGACGCCTCGGGGCCAAATGGGAAGAGCACGTTCAGGATATTGGATTAGAGAAATATCAAACTACTTTAAATTCCATCACAGCTGTCAAAACCAAACTGGGGATGTAAAGAATTTTTCAGCTCATTGTATTCTATTTACATTGCTCACACACAATAAATGCTTGCTAGAGCACTGAAGTGCATTTTTATTTTCAAACATAATGCATGTCGTATGATGAAGGAAATCATTTCGCGATCGTGTTAATCATAGGACACCCTGCAGGCCCCCCTTCATGTGAGCCTACCGTGGTGTCCTATGTACATTCAAGTCTGATGAGTTAGTAGTCACTATAGACGGGATGTGGTGGCCCACACCTGCAATCCCAGCACGTTGGGAGGCTGAGACAGGTGGATTCCTAGAGGCCAGGACTTCGAGACCAGTCTGGCCAACATGGCGAAACCCGGTCTTTACTAAAAGTACAAAATTAGCTGGGTATGGTGGGGCATGCCTGTAATCCCAGCTACTTGGGAAGCAGAGGCAGGAGAATCGCTTGAACCCGGGAGATGGAGGTTGCAGTGAGCTGTGATTGCACCACTGCACTCCAGCCTGGGCGACAGAGTGAAACGGTCTCAAAAAAAAAAAAAAAAAAAAAAAGTCAACATAACGTCTGAGCCTAGTGGATTCCACCGACCAACAGGAGCTTTGAGCCTTTTGGAAAACCTCAAATTATATTTTTATACATATTAGCATAGTGAAAACTGCAGTCTTTCCTCACATTTTCAAATGTTTTGGAAGCATCTGCTCTACACATTTCTGTTTAGACTTTCCAATGTAAGTTCATCTATGACATTATGACTTCATCGGTTTAAAACCCTATTTTGCGAAGGGCCTTGCTTTTGTGAGGTGGATGGGGGGGTTCCTATGGCTTCATACTGCGCGCTCTGTGAGGGTGGAGGCATGGCACTGAGCCGAGCCAACACACACTCGTGTGATTTGAAACTTTGCTTCATTGCATAGCAAACTTTCCGTGTCAAGCTGCAGGGTTACTGCAGGGCTTTAGAGCCATGTTTGAAACCTGTCCACAGATCTCAAAGCAGACTGGCAGAAGGAAAGCCGTTTATCAGACAGGCCAGAGGCATCCCACAGCGGAGTCACTCTGTAGCCAGTTTAGGAATGTCACTTTCCAAGTGACTAGTCAGTGGGCTGGGGGGCTCGTCAGGGACTGTAACTTGCACGGGCACTCCTACCACACACTCCCGTCCCTCCGTAAGTATCTGCTTTGCCTGAGGCAAACACGCTGCTATTTTTTTGTTTGTTTGTTTTAGAGTCTCGCTCTGTTGCCAGGCTAGAATGCAGTGGTACAATCTCAGCTCACTGCAACCTCCGCCTCCCGGGTTCAAGTGATTCTCCTGCCTCAGCCTCCTGAATAGCTGGAACTACAGGCATGTGCTACCACGCCTGGCTAATTTTTGTATTTTTAGTGGAGACGGGGTTTTGCCATGTTGGCCAGGCTGGCCTCAAACTCCTGACCTCAAGTGATCCACCCGGCTTGGCCTCCCAAAGTGTTGGGATTACAGACGTGAGCCACCATGGCTGGCCCAAGCTGCTATTTTAATTAAACTTTTTTGCACATAAAATGGAAAAAAAAAGTCACTCTGTAACTCGGGTGATCTAGACCAGGGGTTTGTAAACTTTTTGAGAAGAACCACATAGTAAATATTTTAGGTTCTGTGGGCCTATCAGTGTTTGTCAAATAGTCTTGTTTTTATGTGGTTTTGTTTTTACAACCCTTTAAAAAACATCAAAGCCATTCTGACACGAGGGCTGCATGCAGCCGGGCAGCTTCTGCCGGAGGCTGTGGCTTCCTGGCTCCTTCCCTAGAGCTGTCCCTCACTTCGCCTGCATGCCCAGAAACACATTTTCTTATGTTTCCAAAATAAACATGTCCTGTGAGTGAGGTAGATTGCCATCGATGTGGGCCATTGTGAGTGTCTGATTAGGGTCTCATGAAAGTCTTAAACTTTCGCCCAACTTTCTTCTGAACTTTCCATGAATTTTGTGAATGTACCTTTATGTAGAGTTGGGATCATCAGTGGCCAACAGCCCTCTTCAGCATTTGCTGTTCTCGTATTTCACAGGGATGCATCACGTGCTCTATAGCATTATTATGATTTATCTCTGGCAGATAAACATTTGGGACCAAGAAGCAAAACTTCTAGCAATGGCCTATGGGGTAGACTAAAAGCCACCAAAAGCCCTCTGCATGCGTCCAGCCACAGTGCAGCCTTCTTAGGGGCCGTAGTCACAGCTGGGCATGGTGGAGACACAGGGGACGGAGCAGGCGGCACTGAAGACTCTTCCCTAAGTTGGAACACACAGGACTTGAGTACGTGCTCAACACTCGGTGTTGTACATTCTGGAAACACGACCTCACGCAGCAATCGACCTCCCACCACGTCTGCTGACAGCACTGTGCTGGAGTAGACTGTCGGGGGTCAAAAGAAACACAGGGCTTACTCCCTGCTCCGGGGGCTGGGGGTCTGAAACACAGATGTGGGTGCAAGAGCACTCACCTGTAATAGTTAAATAGCAATTTAAGGCTGTAGGTCACAAGACTCAAACAAGCTTTGCTGTGAGTGTTACACGAGTCAGCGCGGCTGTGGTAGCGAAGCACCCAGACCGGGCGGCTTCAACAGCAGGCATTTATCGCTCACAGTTCTGGAGGCTGCAAGTCCCAGATCCAGATTCTGGCTGACTCGGTGCCTGAGGAGGGCTCTCTTCCCAGCTTGCAGACGGCCACCTTCTGTTGTGTCCTCTCCCTCCTGCAAGGACACCATCCTACCACACAAGGGCTCTATCCTCAGGGCCTCCTTTAGCCTAAATTACCCCTTTGTAGGGCCCATCTCCTGACACAGCCACACTGGAGTTAGGGCTTCACCATGACCTGGGGGCGGGGGTAGAATTCACTTCCCAGCAGACATTCCTGCAAGAAGGTGGCAAGGGGCTCACACTTCTGAGGCTGAGATCCTTTGCTGGGACTCCAGGCTTGCTCATATACCACACATGACCCTGAAAATCTACTTATTTATTTATGAGATATGGTCTCACTCTGTTGCCCAGGCTAGAATGCAGTGGGGCGATCTTGGCTCACCGCAGCCTTGACTTCCTCCTGGGTTCAAGTGATTCTCCCACCTCAGCCTCCCAGGTAGCTGGGACCACAGGTGTGCACCACCACCCCTGGCTAATTTTTGTATTTTTTGTACAGACAGCGTCTCAGCATGTTGCCCAGGCTAGTCTCGAACCCCTGAGCTCAAGCGATTGGCCCGCCTCAGTCTCCCAAAGTGCTGGAAGTACAGGTGTGAACCACCGTGCCCAGCCTCTCAAAGCCTCCATCGCTTCATGTGTAAAATCACAATAATAATAGAATCTCCATTACAGAGTCATGGAAACGAAAATAAAATAACACAGGCACTAGGGTTAGAAATGCCTGTCAATTAGCAAGGGACCAATACCTGTGGATCATAGTTCAAAAGGGCCTAAGTGGTATTCAAATTCCCAGTAGCTGTTGTTAAAAAACACACATCTATATAGTGAATGTCAAAAATAAACCTTATATAGTTCAGAAATGTTTAAGAAAGAAAAAAACTGAATTTGAGAAATTAATAAGGAAAACAGAAAAGGAGTCTGAGAAGGTGCTACTATCTCCTCACCCTGTTTTCAAATGTTGGCTGGAATAGTTTTATAAGGAGATCCACTCCTCACCTACACTTGGTTACTGAGTGGTACCATTTACATTCAGGAGGCTGGAAAAAAGAACTTGATTTTTCCTTTTTGTTTACCCAGTTTTTAGTATAAGAAGTTGGTTTCCCATCCCTCTCAGAAGGTAACCCATTCAATGAACTCGTGCTTTTATCCACATCTGATTGATTCCTCGCAATTCTTATCCACATCTGGTTGATTCTTTGCAATTTTATCCACATCTGGTTGATTCCTTGCAATTGTATCCTTTATTAGAATTGAATTTGTCCCGTTTTCAATTCCACCTGTAGAGTTAGTTTATTTCTCATTCTCTCCATATGGGACTGTTTATGGAATGTAACCTCAATGTTTCTGTTGCTCATTTGTATAAAAGTGCTTGTAAGATTAAGAATTTAACTTTCCTGAACCTCTAGGAGGAGGGTGGGGACATGACGCTCTTATAATTTCACCGACTGTTCTCTACTCTTGTTTTTGGTCCATGTTTTAAAAGATGATGTCTCACTCGCTGAGGTTTCCTGGCCTGCTCCCTTCCCCCATGTGGATCTGGTCACTGTCGATTTCCTGGCTCTGCTAATCCTGTCTTGCTCAGGCTTAATCCCACTCCCAGGAGTTGAACTTTGGCTTACGGTTCTGCCTTAGAAAGGACCCCCCCAGGTTCAGTTCCCGGGCTGAGCCACTGGCTGGGCACAGGGAGACTTGCGGCATTTCAAATGAGGCTCCTCAGAATCAACATGCGCTGTGACTGTAAAATACACACCACGTTCATAGGTTTAGTGTGACGAAAGTAAGATTTTATTAGTAATTTTATGTGTGATGTAGTTGAAATGGTAATCTTTTGGATATATTGGGTCAAACAAAATAAATCATTAAAATTAAGTTGTAGGAATAAATTTTCCTATTCGATAAGGTAGCTTTTCCAGGTTATATTTACATTGACCTCTGCAGGCATCTGGTGTGGTGGGGAAGCATCAGCCTGGGACTCCCATAAGCGGCTCAGGGTTTGGGGTTCTCCTGGTGATGCTGGGGGCTGCATGGAGATTTGAGCTTTGCACCCAGCTGCATCCTCGCCCTCAGGGAACGCCTCTTTGGGGTCCCTGGGGAGCTCACTGACTGGATTCCTCCCCTTCTTTCAGCCAGGTTTCATTTCTGACTCCCAAGTCAGGCTGTCACTTGAAAATATTTTTTGCGACTCACAGAGACTGTCAAGAAGAAGATTGTTGTCATATTCATTTTGTGGGATTTTATTATTTCCTTCTTTTTCAAGCGGATAGTCTTCAGTTCTTGTGTGTGTATGTGTGTGGTGTATTTGTGTGTGTTGTGTATTCATGTATGTGTGCATGCATGTTTCTGTTGTTTATTCATGTGTGCTTGCATGCATGTTTGTGTGTGTTGTATATTCATGTGTGCATGCATGCATGTTTGTGTGTGTGTTGTGTATTTGTCTGTGCATGCATGCAAGTTTGTGTGTATAGTGTATTTGTGTGTCCATGCATGCATGTGTATGCATGTTGTGTATTTGTGAGTGCATGCATTCAAGTTTGTGTGTTGTGTATTTGTGTGTGCATGCATGCATGTTCATGTGGCATATTCATGTGTACATGCATGCATGTTTGTGTGTGCTGTGTATTTGTGTGTGCATGCATCGTGTGTGTTGTGTATTCGTGTGTGTGCATGCATGTTTGTGTGTTTTGTGTTTGTGTGTGCATGCATGGATATTTGTGTGCTGTGTATTCACGTATGCATGCATGCATGTTTGTGTGTGTTGTGTATTCACGTGTGCGTGCATGCATGTTTGTGTGTTGTGTATTCGTGTGTGCATGCTGCATGTTTGTGTGTGTTGTGTATTCACGTGTGCGTGCATGCATGTGTGTGTGTGTTGTGTATTCGTGTGTGTGTGCATGCATGTTTGTGTGAATGTCAGGATTCTCTAGAAAAACAGGACCAACAGGATGTAAAACACAAAACCCAACATAAAAGGATATTTATCTTAAGGAATAGCTCATGTAATTATGGAGGTGCTGGGTGGGCTGGAGACCCAGGGAAGAGTTGCCATTGAGTCTTCAAGCCGGCCCCTGGCAGAATCCTGGGAGATCAGGCTTTTTGTCTGAAGGCCTTCAGCTGAGTGTGTGAGGCCATCCACACTGTGGAGGGCAATTTGCTTGACCCAAAGCCCATGGATGAAAATGCTAATCACACCTAAAAATGCCTTCATGACAATGTCAAGAATAATGATAATCAAAGATTTCGGTACAGTGGCCTAGCCAAGCTGACACATAAAAATTAACCATCACGATGTGCAGATATCTATAATATATTCTGTGGAGGTAGATAGTCTGTAGATAGATATCTCTGTCTTTATCTGTGTCTTTTAATATTTTTATTGAGATAAAATATATTTACATAATTTATCATCTTTACCATTTTAAGTGTACAGTTCAGTGGTAATAAATACATTTATAGTGCTCTCTGTTTTCATCCACCCCTTTTCAGGTTTTCAAAGCTTATTTTCATCGTAAGCATTGCTGTAAATAACTAGCTTGCCATTACCTATACATATGTTGTTGGTTGGATACCATTACTATGACTAGCTACAGCCAAATTAGGATTAATATAACTTTTTGTTCAACATTGCAAAAGGTTATTGGTATAATGTTATTTACATTTTAAATGTTCTTCTCTCTTCTGTAAAATGCCTCTGAATTTCTTCTTAAAGGAACAGCCATCGCTGGGTTTTTCCCATAGAAGGATGAAGACCGCTCTGACGGTGTGGCGCTCCCTCTAGTGGCTGAGAGTCGCTAACTCACCGGCGAGGCTTCCCAAGGCCGGAGGGCGGCTTCTCAAAAGTTTGTTCCAGAGATGCCTCGTCACCCCTAACACCCTAGTATACAATCCAGGAGGCGAAAACTATTTTGATCATACGGATGAGACCGTGGCTGTATTAAGAATGTGTGTGTAATCCACAGCGGTATAACGAAATTTGGAATATCTGCGTGACTCCAAACTACTATTTTCCAAATGACCGATGCATGATGTTACAAAATCACAAATGGTAAAAGATCCCTTCAAAGTGCAAGAGGGATGAAGATATTTTAATGTAACAGTGTGCAAAGTTCACTAGTGCAATCTCAGATTCCAGATTGCGACGAATCTTTAAGAAATTAGATTTTTAGTGTAGTGAAAAAGGCTATTCACAATTATCTAGAAAGACTACTAAAATTATTCTCTCTTCTTCAACTACACAGCTGCTTGACACAGGTTTTCTTCATGTATTTCGATCCAAAATGGAATCACAGCAGATTAAATGCAAAAGTACCTATCCAGCCATCTTATCTGAAGCCAGACATTAAAGAGATTTGCAAAAAATATAAAAGACTTTCACTCTGCTTATTTTTTCTTTAAAAAAGTTTCTTAAAAAAGTTATTTGTGTTAACCTATAATGGAATCATTATTATTATTTCAAAATGAATTAATAACTAAATATTATAAAACATAAAATCTCTAATGTGGTCAATATAAGTAGATATAACCTACCTAAATACAAGTTTTTAAAAAAAATCAATAATTTTTAAGGGTGCATAGGGATCCTGAGACCAAAAGTTTGAGCTTTAATCTAAAGAGATAGTATTTGATCATAAGCGAATGATAATAATGTGTAACAGTGAATTTAAAAAACAGGATGATTTGAGTCATATGATTATACATGCTTATATATTGTTGATTTTCAAGAAATTAACATCGTTTCATTTGTACATCCAAAAAGGTAATAGTTGATGCTTACCTCTACTTTTTACAGTATTAACACAGATTTCATTCCTGACTTCACCCCCATCGCTTAACTCAGTTTTTTATTTTCTTGGAAACATCCACATATAGAAATATTGAATGGGCACGCCTGTAATCCCAGCAATTTGAGAGGCTGAGGCAGGCAGATCACTTGAGGTCAGGAGTTCCAGACCAGCCTGGCCAACATAGCGAAACCCCCTCTGTACTAAAAATAGGAAAATTGGCCGGGCACTATAATCCCAGCATTTTGGGAGGCCGAGGTGGGTGGATCACGAGGTCAGGAGTTCGAGACCAGCCTGACCAACATGGTGAAACCCCATCTCTACTAAAAATACAAAGATTAGCCGAGCATGGTGGCATGCACCTATAATCCCAGCTACTCAGGAGGCTGAGGCAGGAGAATCGCTTGAACCCAGGAGGTGGAGGTTGCAGTGAGTCGAGATTGCACCACTGCACTCCAGCCTAGGTGACAGAGCAAGACTCTGTTTAAAAAAAAAAAAAAAATTAACTGGGCGTGGTGGTGCATGACTATTATCCCAGCTACTTGGGAGGCTGAGGCTGAGGCTGAAGAATTACTTGAACATAGGAGGCAGAGGGTGCAGTGAGCCGAGATTCCACCATTGCATTCCAGCCTGGGTGACATGAGCGAGACCCTGTCTCAAATATATATATATATATATATATATATATATATATATATACATACACACACACACACACACACACACACACACAGATACATATTTATTGAGTGTGTATTATCTGTCAGTTCCCAGGAACAGTTTTTAACAATAAAAAAAGAATGAGACAGTTTCTGCCTCTCCAGGTGTAGAAATCAACTCTCATTTATTTATGCTTTTGAAAATGATTTGCTCAAGTTTCTGAAATCATTTCTTAATTTAACTCAAGAAGTTCATCTTTTAATTTATGAAGAACTGAGTACTCTGAGGCCATAAGCACAAGCCTGTGCATTTTATATATAATTGAGCAAAATTAAAATTTTATGTAACAAACTTCTCTATTAATTTAGGATGGTTTAACCTTTGATGTATTATCCGTGCATTTTTTCTCAGGGTCCTTTGCCAGTGGCGAAGTCTCTGATATGAAATGTTTAAAGGAAAGTGGCAATGAGAAGCCCACGGTTAGTGAGGCGATTCTGTGAAAACACTGCGTGCCTACAGAAGAAAATAATCAAGTACAGCGCTCTTGGGGAAAACAGGCAAAACCTGAATCTTTACTCAGCTGTTAATCAATCTAGAAGGAAACATGATGGTCTTTTGGGGAAAAAAATGTTATCAGAGGGAGCAACTGCCTTTCAATGTTTCATTTTGTATGGAATATCTCCTAAATGCACATAGTTCTGCAAAATGTACAATATCAACGACTTCCGCACCTGGGCATTAGTTGCGTTGATGCTGCTGATTGTATTAATAATTCGGGTGGCTGTAGGTGCATGCCTGTTGTCCTGCAGTGTTTATTAATCATTTCATTCTCACGTGGTCCCAGCTTGGGTGACAAGTTGTATGGTTCCTAATTGTAGCAGGATCGTGGGATTTGGGGAAGAGCCAGATCTCAGGGACGCCTTTGTCTAGCTCCTCCATTTTCACCCACTTTCATTTATTTAGTGCCTCGTGCGATGTCACAGAGCTAGTGAGTGCGGCTGGCGAGGACGCATGCTTGGCCGTGGCAACCGCGTGGCACCAACCAGCGCCGAAGGGGCTGGGGGCTGAGTGCAGACCCCGAAGAAGGACTGGCTCCTCGGTGCTGATGGCTGTCCTTCTAAACCAGAGGGGAGTCCAAAAGCTTCAGTGCAGGAGGAAGGCAGTGAGTGTTAGCCCTGACCTGCGCTGAGCCCTGAGAAGAAAGCTTCCTTCGCCCGCGTCCTCCCGCTGGCTGAGTCAGCCAGGACCCTGCTGTGCGAGGTCCATATGGGGCAGGTGCATCTGCCAACACGGCCAAACTGAAGGTTCGCTCGCACCAGGACCAGTCGTGGGTGAACTCTTTGCACGCTCTTGACGTCAGGTAGCACAGAATCTGGCCTCCTGGGGAAACTGGGGAAACTGGGAAACTGGGGAAACTGGTGGTGTTTGCAGCCTTGCCCTATCTGAGCTCCCAGCTATGGGCAGATACTGTCTCTTTCCAGTCCCAGGATCCTCCTATTCCAGTCCATGTTTACCCAGGAACGAGGCCTCCAGGACACAACGGTGAAGAGAAATAGTAATGACGGGACAGTGGATTCTTGTGACCATTTCTGACTTCTATGTGTTTAAAACGCTTTTGACCTGAGAAACTGGTTTTTGATGTGTCCCCACCAGCCTCACACTGAGCCTGACTGGCAGTGCAGAAGTTGGGAGTATCAGCTACCTGAGGAGGGGTCTGGCTCGGTCACATGCAGAACTGGACTCTGGCCCTACCTGGGCCTCCACCTGGGCCTCCATCTGGGCTCTGGCCCCACCTGGGCCTGCACCTGGGTTTCTGCATCCCCTTCCTCTCCTGGAGGCAACATCACAAAGCCTAGACATCAAGATATTTGAATTTTAGTCCAAACCCTTTAAACGCTCTGCAACGTGACCCCTGCTTTTTGTTTTTGGTTTTTAAACCTGTCTGGGCCTGATTTCCACATTTGCAGGGTGAAGTGAGCGGTTGGGGGTGATGATTTCCTCTGCTCTGCCCAGGTCTGGGATGTCTCTGGGGCTGGCATCCACCTCATCTTGGTCTCTGCCCTCCCAGCTCGCTCTGGAGCCCTGGAGCACGCGATTCACCTCCTGCTCCTCACAAGACTGGGTGGCAC
This sequence comes from Homo sapiens, assembly GCF_000001405.40. Taxonomy (NCBI): domain Eukaryota; kingdom Metazoa; phylum Chordata; class Mammalia; order Primates; family Hominidae; genus Homo; species Homo sapiens. The sequence goes on from NT_187576.1 coordinate 217,920, forward strand.
CTGACAGTGAATGGCTCTTACGCCTGACATCTATGTTTGTTTTATTACAAGCGCTCTTCTTATGAACACACGGCTTGATTGCATTGTTTGAGATTGCTAAGCCTTCAAGCACTTTCAGAACGGAATCCTCCCTGGGGACAGCTCGGTGCCCTCTGGGTCCCGTTTCCTGGATCCTGTTCTGAGCCGGGCAGCTGGTAGCCCTGTTCGTGTGCGTTAAGGCTCGGTTCCCCAGCACAATCATTCAGGATTGAAACGATAGCATAATGGAACTTAGAGAGGATCATCTAATCCCACGCTCACCTTACAGATGAGGAAGCCAGGGGTCGCGGGTAGGTGAAGAGATTTTCCATGGGGCACGAAACTTCAACAACAGATTAGCAAACAGAAAACTAGGCCCAGCGCCAGTGCCCTTGACAACGGGCTCAGGGCAATTTGGCGAGACGGAGCTGGCCCAGCCTTGGTGTGATTACAGAATGCCATTTGGAGATAAACTCCCCAATAGCTGGAGGCCACATGCCACCGCCTCTGAAGATAGAAACCCATCAACAGTCGCTACAGGACGAAAGCCATGCCTTCCCACTGAAAGAAAATGTATTTATTGAGCTTCTACCACGTGCATGGCACTGTTTCAGTCAGAGGGAAGGTGCAAATCTAGACCAGTCGTCATCGAGGCACAAACTTTTGGTCACCTGGGCCGGGTACTTCAGGAGAAAGGCCTCCTGTCTTACAGTGCTAACTCAGCAGACCGGCAGTTTTCACAGCTTTAGAACACAGCCAGGAGGATTGCATTAAGAATGACATTATAACCCTGAATTTTATCAAGATTTAGGAAATTGTGGTTACCTAGACACATGATAAATGACCGAAGTCTCGTACTTTCCTCTCCTTGTGTGCATTAGGTCTTTGTGGACTCAGTGGGAACTGAGAACAATTCCATCCGTACGACGTCCAGATGAACCTTGCTGGTCGGAGAGGAAACTTCTGACCACCCCGAGCTGAGCTTTGTGTTCCTCAGGCCCCAGTGTGTAGTCATGGCACGCCCTATGCCCCCGTGGATGGATACCAGGGGTGTCATGCAAGCAGGTGCTCGTATGTTATCTGCCAGGCACGTAGCCATGGCCTGCTGCCAGGTCTCCTAGGATATGTTTTGATTAACAAAATATGGAAAACTTTGCGCTGTATTATAGAGATGCTGAGTAATGCCCAACCTCCAAGCAATCTAATTGCCTTACTGTTTGGGAAGAATATCGGTTTTATCACCACTAAATGTCTTGTTGCGATTACAGGAGGCAAGTTAGCTAGTTTATTTGGTTGGTTTGTTTAGTAAGCAAGTATTTTTAGTGTATTTTGTGTGCTGGGCTTTGAGTGAAGTCCTGGGACCTCCCTGGTCAGAGGAACCCCCAGTGCTCATGGTCCAGTGGGTGACACAGGCTGGCCAGACATCCCTGCCGTGAACCACACTGCAGACATAAAGGAGGGCTTTGCAGGAAAGAAACCCAGCTCTTAGTGAATCTGCCACAGGGGAGCCTTACCTTGACTGGGGTCAGAAAAGGCATCAGAAATATCGGGGCTTCTGCTGAAGTTTGTACAGGGAGCAGGACCGTGGAATCCGAAGGATGGGAAAGAGCCTGTGCATGGCTGGGGGCTGGTGGAGCAAGGAGCTTAGCTCCACTGACATGCAGAGCGTCGTGAAGACTGGAGTGGGGGCCAGGCCACACAGGGCTTCACATGGTACGTCTGCTGCTTGTTAAAACACGAGTGGCTTTCAGGGGTGTTTGGGTGATGTGCTCTGATCTGCACTCTGAGACATTCTTTTGGGCCTTAGCCTGGGGGATAAGCATGGGTGTGGGGAGCACAGGACCTCAGCCTTAGCCTAAGGATGAGTGTGGTATGGGGGTGCAGGGCCTCAGCCTTATCCTGGGGGATAAGTGGGAGTGGGGGGACTGCAGGCTGTCACAGGACCTGAACGAGACACTGTCAAGTGTGGACGAGTTGGGTGGCAGTGGAGGCTGAGCAAGGTGCATAGTTGTGAGGGGTATTTAGGAGGGAAAATTTTAAAGCTGTGTGGGCCTCAGGGAGGTATCAAAGGTTTCTGGCATGAGCTATTCATGGGTATAAAATACTGGACAAAGAGATCAGGTGGGCTCCTGAGTTTAGTCTTTGACCTGTTGAGTTTAAGTTTCCATTTTATCATTCAAAAGGAGTTGTGAAGGACAGCTCAACGTGAGTGCAGCCTCCCTCTGGAAGCCATCAGGGAGGTGAGAGTAATTAAAGCCATTCCTACACAGCATGTGTTTGGGTCGCCTAGGAAGGAGCAGGGGATTAGACAGGAAGAGTGATTTGAGAAGTGCGTGGGAACAACTTCCATACTTCATGGTGGGCTGAAGGAGACAGAGCCAGCCGAGGGTGGAAGAAGAAAACAGGCAGAGGAAGAAAACAGGAGGAGTGTGGCACGGCGGAGGCTGAGGGAACCGTGCTTCAGGAAGGGGTGCGGGTCAAGTGGACCAACTAGCGGGGAGAGGTCAGGTAACCTGAGAGCTGATAATGTCCTGTGGATTTGGTGACACAGAGGTCACTGGTGGCTTAGAGCTATTTTGGTTAGTGATGTGATATGAGTGGAAGGGAGGTTGGAATAGGGTTAGTGGAAAGTGAAGAAATGGAAAAAATGTGACTATACACAACTCTTTCAAGAACACTGTCTGTGAAAGAGAGAGCAGCAGCTGGAGGAGGAAGTGGGTCTGAGAAAGGATTTTTATTGTTTGTTGTTTTTAAGTTTAGAAGAGACCTGAAAAATGTTCCAATAATGATGGGAAAGGACCCAGTTGAGCAACAGAGCTGCAGTCGTGGGGGACATAGGTGTTAGGGACTGACTGTATCCCCATCCTAAGCACCATGAAGGAGAGGGATCCACAGCTCAGGGATGTCGGCCTCAGGGAGAGAAGGTAGTTGGGGTAATGGGAAGTTGATGGAGCTCGTATGTTTGGCTTTAGTTGACTTTGTGGATTAGGAGAGGAAGTTATTTGCATAAAGTAACAGTGAGTGATTTTTGATTGAAACCTAGACATTTTGGGTATTATGTTAAGAGACTCTGGGTCTTATATATATTATATTTTAATGGGCACCATACTGGCATAGGAAAGAGGTGCTGTCTTATTACTGCAGAAGCATGATCAGGTGGGCTAGAAGTCCAGATTCCCTGATCAGAGGTGTGTGTGTGGCAGGGACACCTTCTTTCTGCTTCTAAGTGTCCACTGATACCACCCGGGCTGCGTTGCTTTCGTTTTTGAAAGAACCTTTTTTTTTTCTTTTTTTTTTTTTTTGCTGGGTATAGGATTCTAGGTTGACGGTCTTTTCTTTGAGCGCTTAAAAATACTGTGTCACTGTCTTCCTGTTTGCATCATTTCTGATGAGAAGTCTGATGTCATTCTTATCTTTGCTTCTCTATACATACACTATGTTTCTTTTTCTTGCCCTGTCTTAAGGTTTCCTTTAATCGCTGGCTTTAAGCAATTTGATTATGATGTGACTTGGTGTAGTTTTGTTTATGTTTCTTGAGCTTGATGTTTGTTGAGCCTCTTGTGCCTGCACAGTCATAGTTTTCAGAAAATTTAGAAAAAATGTGGACATTATTTTTTCAACTATTTTCTTTTGTCTGACTTCTTTCTTTGGGGACACTACATGTATATTTGTCTGCTTCATGTTTTCCTCAATGCTCTTTTCATTCATTGGGTGTTTTTTTTTCTCTTACTATTTTATTTTTTATTTATTTTCATTAGTTGATAAAATAAAATATTAAGAGAAAAAACACTGAATGAATAAAAAATAAAAACATTTTTATTTTCTATTTTTAAGTTCAAGGGTTATCTTGGATATCTTCAGTCTTTTCTTCTGCAATAACATGCTATCGATCCCACCAGTGCATTAAAAAATTCTCAGGCATTATATTTCTCATCTCAAAAAGTTTGATTTGGATCTTTTTAATATCTTCTGTGTCTTTATTTAGTATGTTCAATCTATTCTATGTCTTTTTGAGGGCATGGGACATAGTTATAACTGTTTTAATGTCTTTGTTTACCAAATTTATGGGCATGTTACTATTAATTTTCTCATTATATGTTGCATTTTTCTGGTATGTTTAATTGAATGTCAGATATTGTGAAGTTTAACTTCTTGGTTGCTGGATATTTTTGTATTCCAGAAATATTTTTGAGCTTTACTCTGTAATACAGTGAAGGGTTTTTTTTTTTTTCCAACAGTTTGATTATTTCAAAGCTTGCTTTTAAATGTTTTAGTTGACATGAGATCAGCCTTGAACACAGGGCTGGTTTTGATCCACTACTGAGTCCATGCCCTTTTGAGTATTTTTCAGATATTCCATGAATTTTGAGGTTTTCCTTTCCAGACACTGTGTGCGCTGGGATTATTCCACGCGAGGGAATGTGATCCACAGCATGGGGGTCATATTGGCCTTAGGGAGAAAGGAGAGACAGGAAGTTTTATGAAAACTGTCAAGTTCTTAACTTCATTCGTTGTATTTTTTTTCAGTTCTAGAATTTCTATTTGTGTTTTAATGTTTTCAGAAACACATTCTAGGAGAACATCTGGATGACTTTCTGTATGGCAATGACTTTTTAGATATAACACGAAAGGCACAATTGATGAAATAAGTAATTGATAAGCCAGACATCAATAAAATTAAATATATCTGCTCTACAAAAGACAAGATCAGGAGAATGGGAAGGCAAGCCACAGACTGGAAGAAAATACTTGCAAATATACATCTAATAAAGTATGGCTGCCCGCAGAACTCTTAAATCTCAACAATGAGAAAAGAAACAACCCAATGAAAAAAATGGGCAAAAGGCCTGGACAGACAACTCACCAAAGAATACACACCATTGGCAAATGGAGAGTCTCCCTCGTTTAACATGGCCCCACCTTTCTTGGGGGTCCTAAACCCCAACTCAAGAGCACCAGAAACCCACCAGCAGCTCTTCTTTGCTTTCTCACCACTTTTTGCCTTCTGCTCATGGAGTGCTTTGAGGTGAAACCTGGTGCTGAGATGTGGGCTCTGATCTTTGAGCCTCCCCTCTCTTCAGGATCTTGGCCTTTCAAATCCTGGATGCACTGTCAGGCCCAGACTCCAATTCTTATCTCTCCAGCTTCACAGTATTGCAGGAAGCTCTGCTGTTTCCCCCTGCTTCTCAACAGCGGCACTCTTTCCTCTTCCTTACCTTCAACCCAGCCACAAATCGGCAAGAGCCCAGAGATAGAAAGTGATGTGCAGAGAGAGTGCCCACTTCAGGAAGCACAATTCTCACTAGGACTGGGCCTCGAACCACTGGCTGCTCTCACAGCTCTCTTGTGTATCATCTCTCTGTCTGTGTATCCTGTCTATCTATCTATCTATCACCTATTGATCTATTTCCATCACTGATCTATGTCTATCTTTCATCTCTATCATCACTCTATCACTTTATCATATATTATCTATTTACCTATCATCTATCTTTCTATCACTCTATCATCTATCTATTATCTATCATGTAACTCATATACCATCAATCTCTTTATCAATCAATCTATCTAACCTATCATCATCATCATCATCTGTCTATTCATCTGCCCATCAGCTTATATGTCCATTCACCTATCTGTTTTTCTCTCTTTCTTTCATTACTCTTTCGCCATCTCTCACTCTCTGTATTTTATCTGGATTGTTACTTGTTCTGGGTAAGAATGTTGTCCTACTAGAAGCAACTTTATCACACATAAAAGTGAAAGTCTACTTCAGACATCTCATGTCTTATATATTACCCACTACATAGAGTTATAGTATTAAGACTTGCTGGTACTCTGAGACATAGTAAATGCTTGATAAATATTAATTTAAATGTATTTAAAAGTATATATATTTTAAAGTGTCTATATCTATATCTATCTATATCAATATCTATCTTTCTATCTATCTATCTATCTACCACATATATTTTTGAGCTGAGGTAAAGAATTACTAAATATAGCCTAGCTTTGTCAATTCTGTATATTTCTGTTTAGTTCTGAGCCACTATTAACTATTATACTTAACAATAGTAAGTTCTTCATGTCTCTTGAATCCATTCATTGGGCAGTTAGTTCAGAACTCCTTTATTAAGCACAGAGAATGTGCTAAGTTTGGAGAGAAGAAGCCCACACTTTGGTGGCTGCTGTGGCAAGAGTGTCTGGGGAAGAGTAAGATGGTGTAGTTGGGGAAATCTTTACTCAGAAATTGATGTGTAGTTACAATAATATTGGCCTCAAAAGAGGTAGCAGGTAAACTTACTAAGGACTATAAAATAAAGTCAAAATTTTGCAGAAAAGAAAAAAAAAGCAAAGGAAACCTAAGCATTTATTTTCCTACTTTCCTGGAAAATGATTCAGAAATGCTGGAAACATTGGGAATTTGTGCGATTCATGTCGCTAAAGGGTTCCTCATTACTGAGCTGCTGCTTTCTGTGGACACGTGTTTAACTGACTTAATGAAATGTTAGAAGGAAGGCGCTTCCTCTGAATGTCAGCGACCTATTTCATCAATTAGTGGATTAAGCATGGCCTCAAAGAGACATGTATTGAACTTCTTGGAAATTAAGAAGGTGACAATTGTATTTCTCTAAACAAGGTTACTCTCACAATCAACATTTTCAGAAGGTTCACATTTAAACATTACAGTTAATTCATCTAAGTGGATGTGATTTTCTTGAGGTTTAAATTCTAAATACAGAACTGCACAACCATAAATAGGAACAAAGACATTCTAAAGGCAGAAAAAAGGAACAAGGTTGGGTATGGTGGCTCACGCTTGTAATCCCAGCACTTTGGGAGACCGAGATGGGTGGGTCACTTGAGGACAGGAGTTCGAGACCAGCCTGTTCACCAATATGGTGAAACCTTGTCTCTACTAAAAATACCAAAAATATATATATATATATATATATCCGGGCCTGGTGGCACACACTTGTAATACCAGCTACTTGGGAGGCTGAGGTGGGAGGCTCACTTGAACCCAAGAGTCGGAGGTTACCACTGCACTCCAGCCTGGGCGACAGAGCCAGACTCCATCTCAATCAATCAGTCATCAGTCAATAAAAATAAAGAACAAAACTCTTTTCTTTAAAGTGGGGCTGTTTTCTGAGATTCAGGTTTTCAGGATTTGGGAATGAGAGGCAGTGCTGATGGGGGCTGATGCCCTCAAGGGAGTTTTCTGCCTCCAGATTTTCCAGTCTCCCTTCTGCGGCCTGTGCACACGTGCTCTGTGGGGACCAGACGCCTTTGTTGTTGGCCTCATCACCCCCTGGTTTGGGAGAGCACGGAGGGTGACCCCCTGCCCCTCCCTGTGCTGTGGCTGCAACTGCGAAGCCTCTTTCTGGTGAGCTGTCATCCTTTGAATCATAAAACTGAATATTTGGCCTGTTGGATGGATAATTTCTAAAATACATGGGATGGATAATTTCTAAAATACATGGATAATTTCTAAAATAATTTCTAAAAAACAGAAAATTTGTTTTCTGAGACGGAATGCATGGAAGTGAACAAAATATCTTAAGAATAATTTTATTTCTTTCAAATATCCAAACTGATTTTCCTGAATCGAATGTCAGTTTTGGCTCTGTGCAATATAACAGGGGTCCTGAACCCCAGCCTCGGGGTCCGTGGCCGGTGAGGAGCTGGGCCGCATGGCACGGTGAATGGCGGCCACTGAGTATTCTTGCCGGAGCTCCAGCTCCTGTCAGAGCCGCGGCCTTAGATTCTCACAGTAATACAAACCCTACTGTGACCTGCACACGCGAGGGATCTAGACTGGACGCTCCTTATGAGAATCTTATGCCTGATGATCCGAGGTGGAGCAGTTTCATCCCAAAACTATCCCCCTCTCCACCGTTCTTGGAAAAATTGTCTTCCACGAAACCGGTCCTTGTTGCCAAAACAGTTGGGGATTGTTGCTGTATAGAACATAACTTCACCCATGAATGGTCTGGCCTGGGGTTCCACAGGATTGAAGGCACGTGGTTTTAGAATGTCACTCTTTGCATTTCGATCTTCTTTTCTATGTTGTGGGAAATCCTCAGTGAGGCCAACTGTTTTCCATTCACAGGCTGCCAATTTGAGCTGTGGAAATGAGATTGCTGGACTCTTCCTTTGTCTTAGTCAGGATTCTCTTGATGGCCGATGATAGAAAGTCAGCCCAAGGAACTCTGGCAAGAAGGAGCCTGTCTGCCCCAGAGCTGGTGTGTCTGGTGGAGAATGCGGGGCCCATGCCTGGTCCCACCGCCTCCCTCCGTCTTTTGTCCCTTCTTGGCTCCAGGCTTCCTGCAGGTGCACCTCACCCAGGGAGTTTTGGAAGCTACATCCCGGGTGGGCAGGGGCAAGCATGGCTCAGGGAGATGGGGGTCTACGAGGAGGGTGGGGAGGGGTCTCCTGTCCCCAGCAGAAGGCGAAGCTCTGTCCCCATCAGGAGCCTATCTGTGTCCCGGGTCACACTCTGCTCTCTGGGTGGTGTGGCTGAAAGATCCAGGCTTTCTTAGACGCAGCACTGGATTTCTATATCACAGAAGGAGGGCACAGCCACCGTGAAATGTCAGAAAAGGAGGAGGAGTGTGCTGGCCTTTCCTTCTCTCAGGAGAGGCCCCTCCCCGGGATGAGATTGTCCCCTCCTGAGATGCTAGGACTGGGACCCAGGCGACTGAGATGCCAGGACTGGGACTCAGAGGACTGAGATGCCACCTGAGGGGACGAGGCACCATCACTGCCCCTCCAGTGTCGGCCACACTCAGAGGCAGGGGGGCAGAAGGGCTGAAGGGAAGTCCCCCAGGTCCCTGAGAAATGGATTCGCTAGAGAAGGAGATGCTGATAAACCGGAAGTAAACATTGCTTGCTCTGGTCTTGCTGTTTGCAACCCCCCCAAAATATGTGGGTTAAAACCCTAACCCCCAAAACGATGGTGTGAGGAGGTGGGGCCTTAGGGAAGTGACAAGGTCATGGAGGTGGAACCTCCCGAGTGGGATCAGTATCCTCATACAGAGGCCCCAAGAGCGGCCTGGCCCCTTGACGTGGTGAGGACTCAGGGACCGCGCCGTCCCAGAACCAGAAGGCTCTCCCCAGGCAGTGTCTGCTGGTACCTGGATCTTGGACTTCCAGCCCCCAGAACTGTGGGAAAGAAGCTCCTGTGTTTTATGAGCTACACGGTCTATGGTGTTTTGCTAAAGCAGCCTGAATAGACTAAGAAATCACTCAACAAACACTAATTAAATTAAATGCTAGGCCATCAGAATACGAAGGGGAAGAAGACAGAAACACTCGCCTCCTGATCCAGCATCCAGAACGCTCTGGGGCCCAGCAAGAGGCTGTGCTCGCGTCTTTCTCGTATCTGATCTTCGCCTCCATCCACCTGCTCGCTGGTCCTTGGCTGTGCCTCTGATACCCCAGTGTGAGAACGTGGAGTTTCTTAAGGCAATTCTCATATCATATTTTCTCTACTTGTCACAACAAACTTACAGGAAAGTTGTTATTCCATGCGTTTTAGAGCTGGGGAGCATAGCCCCCGTGGGCTGAGCAGCTGGCCGAAGTCCTCAGCCCCTGTGGTGAGGTGCAGCTGGAGTGTGATTCTCCGGGTCCTCAGATGGGGGCATCCCCTTGAGGCCCCGCCTCTTGGCCAGGCTGCAGCCCAGGACCGTGCCAGGTGTGTGTTATCTATATTTGGACACACGCTGTGCGAAACGACGGGCACCCTGCAATTATCCGTGTGGTGTAGACGCAGTGTACGTCTGTGGTAATGGCTATAAATAAGCCCCGACTTGCCGACTAGGCACCGCTCCTCTTTTGGGTAGGCAGTTCTTGCTAAAATAGCCCTAAGATACAATCGAGTGAAGACCTGAGTCGTTCTTGAAATAAAAAAAAAAAACGAACAAACACACGAACATGCACACACACGCTCACAAACCCAGGGGCTTGTGCACCTCCCTCCCTCCACAGCCGACCTCAACTCGGGTGTCCAGGCCTGCGAATGGCACAAATGCTCACTGAAATCCATGTCATTATTAAAGACTCATTCAGGAGTTGCAATTTATGAGCCAGGGAACCTGTAGCTCGAAAGGATTGAAGATATGTCTGAGAATTCACACGTAAGGATTAGAACTCATGGAGGAGAGTTGCGGGGAGGGAGCGTGGGAAGTCAGTGCCCTGCCCTCTCTTTCTGGGTCGGGGGCTGAAGTGTCACACCCGGTTTCCTGGGAAAAGTGCAGTTTGGGACTCAGAAAGGACACGTTCCAGTTTTGAATCGTGATTTCCCCCGCCCTCAGTTTGAACAAGAAGCTTTTCCTCCTGAGGTCAGGCTGGTGATTTACGATGTGGGTATTGATGTGGGGAGAGGCAGGCCCAGGCGTCTATATATAGCAGCTCCTCAGACCTTAAACGGGAGGGAGGCACAGGCGCTTGCTTTGCAGGAGTCAGCTCTGCCTTCCTCGGCTGGAGTGTGGGTGGCTTGGTGAGCCGGTGGTCAGGAATTCTCTCTCCTCCTTGCAATTTTCCTTTCTGTCTGGGTAAGTGTCTTTCTCTTCTTGCCTTTTCTAATTTGTGGCTTTAAGGGGAGGACCGGTAACTTCTGCACTCACATTTTCTAAGTACCTCTACTTCAGGGTCAAGAAGAGAGAGCCAGTGCACCCCGTCGCAGGCACCCTTTACTGTGGAAAACAGAGCAATTAGTTCTGGGATCTGTATTTCTTTGACGAGGTTTTATGCTCAACTAACATTTTATTTCCCACAGCCGTGGTCTTTGCTAAGTGCCGTTTAGCACCCTGCGGCGTGTGCTTTGGGTTTTAGCCCTGGTCTCATCGTGGCCCCAGGGGGCCCCCCAGTCAGTGGACTGATGTCTGCAAGTTTCATGAGATTCTCAGAAACGAAAGCCTCCCCCGAGGAGAGGGCTGACTTATAAAGGTGTGAAATAATAAAACTGGATATTTTCTTAAGGGAAAAAAGAGTCGAGGGTCATTCAGCTTAGACCTAGCCTATATTATCCACGGTATGGGAAAGAGAACAATCCTTGTCAGGACTTGCAAGTTTTTGCCCAAAAATGACAGCGTTCTTACGGCTGTTTTCTTCTTTGTGCTGTTGGGTGTGTTGTGACCCTTCAGACTTCTTCAGCTCCACTCCGCTGATAGAGGCTGTGCCTTCTCAGGGCGTGCTCTTGAAATGCAACCTGCTGGAGAAAGACAGTGGGGCTGGGTGGTTGCACGTGGAAGGCACCGGAGGCAAACGGAAGGAAGGGGTTTGCCATCACTGGGAACACCTGGCCTTTTCTAATTCTCCATTTCACATTCCTTTCTTACTAAGTAGAAGTAAAACAGGACTCAAAGAAAGCGTGGAACAAAGATAATTTAAGGCGTTATTTAATAAACCAAGTCCCAAGCTAAAACTTGTCTTGGGAGCCAAGGGCTTAGCCACTTGTGGCACAGGCCAACGCTGCTTGTCTGGGAGTCCCTTTCCCCTCTAGAAAGCTTTAATTTGGTGTATTTATTGACTTTGACATTTTTAACTGTAGAAACAATTTCCTTCATTAAGTGGAAGTCAATGTTTTGTACTTCAAACATTTTTGCAAATTAAAACCCATCCTGGTGACATGAGGAATGGGCTCCACACGTTGTTTGCAGGAAGGAATTAGGATGGGGATATCAGACACGTGGTCCCCTGCACTGGAGGAGAGGCTCGCGTTTCATCCTGGTGTCATGATTCCTAAACGTGTCAGGAGCATTCCGGGAGTGGCCGGGGAGCTGGGCTGTGGTGGAAAGTGGGCTGGACGCTGTCAGGAGAGTCAGCTGGCACCTGGGTTCGGCCGTGGCCCTACCGGTGACCCGGGCGAGTCATATTTCCCTGGGGACGGTCTGTGCTAACAGTACAGCGTGGCGCCAGGATTATCTACACACAGGCTGTCCAAGCTGGGGGACTGTTAGCTGCCACCTCACTCAGCCCCCTGTTTTACAGCAGAGCAGGTGGAGGCCCCTGAGCTGAAGGTCAGCAGGTCCCCACTGGAGTCTCAGCCTCCCAATGCGCCTGAGCCCCAGGGACTCACATCAAAAACTACCCTGCGAGGAAAAGCTGCTTTCTTTCTCTCTCTCTTTCTTTTTTCTTTTTTTTTTTTTTGGTTGGTGTGTGTAGGGGGTATTTAACACATGTCTGAGATAGTTCCTTAAAAAGGAAAACAGCTTTCTATGTAGACAGTAGAGGGACATTGGGGAGCTGATCGGCCCAGGTCCTGTCATTTTCTTTATAGTGTCATAAATAGTACAGGTTGATCATTCCAAATCTGAAGATCAGAAATCCAGAATGCTCTAAATTCTGAAACTTTGTGAGCGCTGGTATGACTCTCAAAGGAAATGCTTACATGAGCATCTCAAGTATCCAATTTCTGGATTTGAGTTGCTCAACCAGTAAGTATAAATGCAAGTATTCCACAGTCTGAAAAACAAATCGGGAATTGGAAACTCTTCTGGTCCAAGCATTTTGGATAAGGGATGCTCGACCTGTAGGGTGCATTTGGCAAGTCCTCTCCAGGGTTCCCTCCACTCAGAAGGGCCCTGTGCTGCCAGGGCTGCAGGCACCCAGCACGTGCTGAGTCAGTGGGGATTTGCTTGCAAAGACGTCATCACACCCGGCCAGGAGGTGGTGGCCCAGGCTGGGTGAGGGACACTGGGGAAGTTCTAACATAGGAAGTCCCCCAAGGAGTGAAGAGATTGCGGAGGGGACACACATTCAGGGTGGGTGAGGCTGGACGTGCAGTCCTGCTGGTTTTCTGGGTTGGGCATGTGATTGATAAAAGTGGAGTTGAGGGCACATTGGCACTGGGAGTCAAATGCGCAGAAGACTTGAGCTTGCTACTCTCCCGAGCCAGGAGCTCTAAGGTGTTTTCATTGTTGAAATCCAAGGGTTCTGATTTAGGCTTGGCTGGCACGTTGCAAGTGACCCCATACTTGTGGAATCAACTGAGGCTGATGGATTCTGCAAAGCCTCTGACACCTCCTGATTTTGGTGGTCCTGAGCATGAAGTGAGCAGGGAATACATGTGGGGATAAACGTGGCAAAGTGCCCTGTTACCCCCATCCAAAGACTTCCCGGGGAGACTTCCACAGTAAGGTACCATTGGAGTGAGGATTGCAGGAAGTGTGCACACGTGATCCCAGCTCTGCCTTGCTAAGCACTACAAAGTGTAGCCCCTCACACATGAAGTGTTTGAAGACTTCCAGGCCCACAGGACCGGATGTCACGTCAGTGATACATAGGTTGCATTGGACAGGACGTTACAGACTGGTTGACGGATAGCTAGTCTGTGAGCTCTCAAGACCTGAGCCGTTTCACATTCTTCCAGGTCTTAGGTCTAAGGAGGAGGATTTCCATCCAGGGCGATTCTCCTCTTATTTCAATGTAGCTCATTCTCTCCTTTGACCTAATAGGTCACATTTTGACTCTTCCCTTTACCAAGAAATACAAACACATCTGAGGTTTAACTCAACATAAGTGTAAGTAGATACTGTGATGACACATGAGCCCCTGCTGCAATAGCAGGTACTGGGGATTGCTCATGCGTCTGCTGGAGTGGAATTGCCTGGTATTCGTCAGGCTGATCCCAGAAGAACCTTGGATAGGAAACCGGATGGAAGCTGAAACGTCTTCCCCAACCTTGGTCCAACTTCATTTCAGTGAGCTCTTCCCAGCACCCTGCTGGTGAACTCCAGAGAGAGTAAATGGGTTTCTGAGCAGGAAGCGTTTCTTGAAGATCCACCTTGATTAACTCATTGGAAAATCCCAGTGAGCTGCATCTGGGGAGATTTCAAATAGTGAAGCAATACATAGATTTTCTCAGATACCTTTTCCTGTCTGCAGAATTCTTGAACCATGATAACAGCAGCAGCATAACAGAGACAGCAACCGATTTCGGTACCAGGGCCAGGGCCAGGCATGATGCAGATTCAATATGGAACGCCAGAGCTAGAGGAGCTAGAAGCTACCCCAGGCCTCATCAGAATGCTGGAGTCAGAATTCGATCCCAGGTCTACCAGACATCAAAACCTGGGCGCTTGACCTCTGCACTATGATACTGCCTTCAATATCAGGGCGGGTGGAGGAGATATGCTTTTATTTATTTATTTATTTATTTTATTTTTTATTTTTATTTTATTTTTTTTTTGAGATGGAGTCTCGCTCTGTCACCCAGGCTGGAATGCAGTGGCGCGATCTCGGCTCACTGCAAGCTCCGCCTCCCGGGTTCACGCCATTCTCCTGCCTCAGCCTCCCGAGTAGCTGGGACTACAGGGGACCCCCACCATTCTGGCTATTTTTTTGTATTTTTTTTAGTAGAGACGGGGTTTCACCATCTTAGCCAGGGTAGTCTCAATCTCCTGACCTCGTGATCCACCCGCCTTGGCCTCCCAAAGTGCTGGGTTTACAGGTGTGAGCTACTGCGCCCGGCTGCTTTTATTGTGTTCTATGAGGTGCAACGTTCCGTTATATCCCTGGAGTAGAATGCATGCTGGTGCACTCTAAAACACGGCTGGGCCCTCCCAGGGTGGGGTGGTTGGTCGACTAGTTGGGTTTTCAGAGGCAATATTGAGAGAGTTAGTGTGGCAGTGTGAAAGGCCCAGAATAAGGATGGCCTTGGGGCAGGGGTAGCCTCTTCTACATGCTTTTGGGGAAGAATTTCTCCTTTCTGGCCCTCGTGTCCTGTTTTCTTCCCTGTAGAATAGGAGTTTGGGTAATCGCTAGTGATCTTTCCAAGTTCTACAATACTGTGATTCTCGGAGATTACAGAGTTCAAAGGAAACAGCTCATAAGGAGCAATTTATGTACTGTGGTAGGTTTTCTAGCACGTACCCTGGAGATCTGAACTATGAGAAATTCATCTCCGAGCAGCCCTTGGCATTTTCCACCCAAGTCTCATACCCATGGCCCGGGATGTGGGTGGCACCCCTGGGGCTGTGCCATGGGGCCTGGCCTAGGAGTTCTGTCTTTAAATAAGGACAGATCCTCGTCATTTAAACAGAAAAGTAAAAAATGGAGCTCAGGTTGTGAGTCCTTTTGCACCTTGTTTGGGAAATTAATGACTGCAGAGATTTAGGAATACGGTCCCTACGTAACTTTGCCGTGATGATCAAGTCACTCAGCACGTTGGCATTTTACGTGTTTTGGGTGAACATGTACAGCAGATTGCCATGTCTAATACCTGTAATGCTGCAAGTTCCCAGAGAAAAAGATGGAACTCACTCATCTCCTGTTTGGGGAGAATTTCATCCACACTCTCGAATTTCCCCACATCCCTGAGGCTTTCATGCCAGGCTCTGTCCTCACTTTTCCTGCTCACCTCCTGCTACGCCTGTCTACCGTAACCAGTGAGACTTCAGACGGCAGATTCCAGGGGGCATCTCCAGCCAGTCCCTTTTTCCACATCCCCCTTTGCATGGTGGAGAGACTGCCCGTTCCCCAGGCAGACACCCGCCACCTCCGCTTGTGGCTGCGTCTTTCCAGAGTGATTTCTGGTCACACCCACCCCTGCAAGTCTCCCATGATCCTGGATTCTCCTGCCCGACCTTTGCTTATGGGCTGCCCTCCTTTCCCACCTCCGCCTGGCAGTCCCACCTGTCCACCGAGCCTCCTCTCAAATGTCACCTGCCTCGTGGGCCACTCGGCCGTCCTGGCCTCCTGCCATTCCCAGGACACCTTCTACCTGCCCCGGGCTCTTGGCTCTTATCGTATGTTCTCTTGTATTCTAAGTGTTTGTTTACTTCTCTAATCTGCTTTAATTATTTTTGTACTTCCCACTTATATTGCTTTGAACTTTGCCCTGAACACACCAGGGGTTCTAGGAATACTTGTTGAGTTCACAATGAAATGAAACAGCAGCCCAATCTTCCAACTGTTGTGGAAGAAAACAAAAAATAAAGTTGGGTCCCTGGGAAGTTAATAGGCTTCCTGACTGCTGGTCTAAGGTGATTTCTGGCCATGTAATCTTTCATTTTTTCCCTTCCCAAGGGGGTTTTATTAACTGGAGTTCATTTTCCCCTTTGGAATGATGCAGAAATGGCAGAGGCCTCATGATGCTTGCGAGGGAGCTCAGTGTTGTGTGTGACTCTCTTTGTAGGAGCACGCCAAGATGTCCCTTGTGACTGTCCCCTTCTACCAGAAGAGACATAGGCACTTCGACCAGTCCTACCGTAATATTCAAACACGGTACCTGCTGGACGAATATGCGTCAAAAAAGTAAGCTGACATTCGCTGATGAGACGCGCAGAGCTTTGATTATGGGGGTCTGACATTTAAAGGCTTTTCCAGTTCCGTCAGCCCTGGAGAGGCACTGGTTTGCAGGGAGTCAGAGAGCAGAGATGGCAGCCTCTCCCGTGCCCAGGTCCTGCCACGGAGCAGCACTCTGTGGAGCTGGCGTAGTGTTCTGGCAGGTCCTGCTGGCCGAGTTCAGCTCCTGATCGAGGTGGGGAGGCAGGAAGTCCTTTGTATGAGCTCGTTGATTTTACTGCTCATCACATGCCTTCCAGAACTAGGATCTAAAAATAAAGCCACCCAAAATAAAAAGCAATGAGATTGAAACTGGTGGGAAAGGCTGTCGGTAGGAGAGAAGTTAATGGGTGGCAGAGTAAAGACAGAATGGGAGGCAATATTAGTGATTTGGCTACATCGATCATGGATGTGCCGAGATCAAGAATCCCTGCCTCTGGGGCTGGTGTGCACCTGCATCTTCCGGAAGCTTCTCGGGGATGGCCTCATACAGGATGGCAGCTCACGCCCCCATGGACACTGTTTGTGTAGCAGCAAATCTGCAATCTTAATGGGCTGATTGGAAGGCTGTGGTGAAGGGAGGGAGGGACCGCGGGCAGGCGTTCTGCAGCCCAGGTGCCTGCCTCATGTCACCCACACCCTATGTTTAGAAACGCTTAGGGTACTTTTATTTAGTTGCCATCCCTTGTGCCAAACAAAGCCAAACATTTGCAGCCCCTCCCAGCAGCCTTGGGGTGTCTCAAATCCCTCAAGATATATATAATCCTGGCGTGGAGCCAGAAAGACTGTGGCCGGCACTGGCTGGCTCTGAAGGGAGGTGGCACCAGCCACAGTGAGCTCAGGGAGAAAGCACCCCAGGGCGGGCATGTGCGGGGTATGGGTGTGGGCACACAGGGACACAGGCTTGGGTTTGCCTGTGTGCAAGTGTGTGTACACTTGTGTAGGTTTGTTTATGTGTGCACGCGCTGTGTGTATGCGTGTGCATGTGCTTGTGGGAAGGCGTGTCCTTGCATTTATGCATTTATTTGCATACACATGTGTACGCATGTATTGTATGTGCATATGCATGCATGTGTGTGCATGTGTGCATATATGTGTGTAGGTGCATGCCTCTCATATGCCTGTGCATGTGTGTGTTTGTGTGTGCTCTGCATATACCAGTGGTTTGGGGTGTGTAGAGAGAAAGTGATGTGTGTCAGGATAAATTTCCATACTGTGCCTGAGCATGCATCTCCTAATCGTGTCCATGTTCCTGAAGGCGAGCTTCCACCCAGGCATCTTCCCAGAAGTCCTTGAGTCAGCGGTCGTCTTCACAGAGAGCCTCCAGCCAGACGTCCCTGGGAGGAACCATCTGCAGGGTCTGTGCGAAGCGAGTGAGCACGCAGGAAGATGAGGAGCAGGAGAACAGAAGCAGGTGAGCACATGGCTTCCCTGACTCCACTTGTGCCCTGCGTGGGGTCACAGTGGAGGGACAGTGGGGTGAGGAGGGAAGAGCGACCTTAGCTGAGAGGGAAGATCAAGGAACACAGGCCATGCCTGGGGTGAGAGGGAGAATGCTGCTGTTTCCCAATCACCTGCTTCTCTTTACCATCATTATCTCAATTAATCTGAACAAGAAAACTACTGGGCACCAGCTTCCCACCATTTTGCAGAAGAGAGCGTTGCTGTTCAGAGCGCTCACGCCACTGCCCAGGATTCCATGTCTCACGCATGTCCCAGCTGGGCTTAGAGCTCCAGGGTCCGTGGCTTCCAAGCCAAGCTCAGTCCCTTTCCAGACAGAGCAGGATAAGCACACATGAAAACATCAAGACCTAGCAGTGTGAGAGTAATTCTGAATTTCCACTTGCAACCTCTGTAGCTATGCAGGAACAGCCGTGGAGGGGTGCACATTCAAGCAAGGTCATCTTCCTAAGCGGGAGCCAGGGTTTTAAACAGTTGTCGTGTGGAAACTAAAGAGTTGGGAAGGGATTCTATAAATTGTCATGCTTTACATTTCAACAGAGGCAGCTCGTGGGGTGAAATGTCATGGGAATGGGATGGATTAATAAAAATGCCAGTCTTAAAATTATTTCCAGATGACGGAGAAACAGGTGGTGATATGGCTTTGATCTTTTAAGGACAAAGTGAACAGTTAAACGTTCGCGGGTGCCTTGTTTTATACCTGCTGTATTTTTTCCCTCATCTCCCCCTGCTACTTCTGGGAATTTTCTCTATATCTTCAAAGCATTTAAAACCTGAAGGAAAAATAAGATTTGAGTAAACATCTTTCATTTTGAAAGTTTCAGAAAGATGAAGTCATCTGTTGAATATAAACAATGTATAGCCAAGAAGGTTAACGAAGGTTAACATTTATTTTTAAAAAATTGAATTTTTTTAAATGTCATAGGATAATTTTGCCATGTAAATGAATTCTAGTGTAAAGTGAAGATTTCTTTTGTGAAAGAATCTCTTTGAAATGTAGATGTTAACACAATCCAGATTTTTATGTATTGGATTAAAGGGTTCTTCTACCTATATTTAGGTTTTGGGGGCTACAATAGAATACTTGAGCTTATCATTTTATTTTTATCATTTAAACATTGATGTGAACTTGAACATATTGCATAAACTTCCTATCGCTCAATTTCCCTGCTGGTAAAATGGTAACAGTGAGTGGCTTACTGTGATTCATATGGTTTTGGCAGCAATGACTTTCAAGACAGCCTTGGCTGCTGGAAATTGTCCTAAAACACATTGGTCTATGCTCTTGCAATACCAAATCTGACTCAAAGAAGGGATTTGAGTGACTGGTGAAGGGGTTATGTTCTCACGGCACCTCTGATCCTCACGTTAAATGCCAGTCTGTCTTAGACGTAGTAGAGACGGGGGACGAAGGCTAGGCACTTTCTCAGCTTTGTGTGGAGCCCACGGCTCATGCTCTCCATGAGATTTTCTTCAGCAGCCCCCGAGTGTTGTATTCTCCTAACCCATGTGCATGTCTTCCATGGGGAAGATCGTTTTGAAATCAGTTCTTTCCTCCTTTAAAGGTAAACATAAGTCGTGGGGATCTCAGTGAGTTGGGCAAGTTCTAATTGAGATTTATTGTGAAGCCTGCTCTATCACCGTCATGCAGAAGGGCCCAGGAGGGATGAGTGAGCCCCGTGCTGAGTGATGTGAGCAGCTCCATGGATTCCAGCCCTTATTAGAATTCACCACTCTCACGGGCTGCAAGCATCATCACAAGCATGTATTTATCCCTGACCTCCCAACGTGGATATTAGTTTAGCGTGCTGGACAAGTTGGTCCTTTGCAAAAGATGAAATTGTGGGCTCACTGATGTGAGTTACTGCTGATGTCCCTGTGTCAAATAAATACTGAAGAGACATTGGCGCTCTGAAGGCACTCAACACGTCCTTCTGGAAGATACGACCCCGGTGCTCTGAAGGCACTCAACACATCCTTCTGGAAGATATGGCCCATTGGAAATGTCCCTCTGACATCTTCCTTCAGTCCCAGTGAAAAATGGGCCTCCCTGAATCTTGCAAGCCACCTGTCCCGGGGCTTGTCATTTACAATCAGTGCATGACAAATGACGTTACTGTGCACACGTGGGCTGAAGTGACGGTCAACTGATCATCAGCCGGCAGAAATATTTCCTCAATGTCCTGACTTGGGGTTGGCTGTGGGAGGAATTCCAGACCAATTAGTTATTCTGAATCATGGAGGGTTAGAGGATAGTGGTGCTATTGACCTAAGAATAAGCTGAGGCTCTTGTTACTCAAACATAAAGAGCCCATAGAAAAGTAAACGGTGTCAAGAGAGGACATCTGAACCTTTAAACTCATCACAGTGCTGCGTGGCGCAGACCAAGCTTTGTCTTCTCGATCCCTGCAATTTGGTGGGATTCACTCCCCTGTAAGAAGGCTTGTTCCCTGCAGGACATCTGACGCCATCGTTCATTTCTTGAACACATATTCCTAGAACTCCTCCTGGCACCTGGCACCTGGATACTGGGGAACCAAGTACCTGGATACTGGGGAACCAAGTACCTGGATAATGGGGGAACGAAGTACCTGGATACTGGGGGAACCAAGTACCTGGATACTGGGGGGACGAAGTACCTGGATACTGGGGAACCAAGTACCTGGATACTGGGGAACCAAGTACCTGGATACTGGGGGAACGAAGTACCTGGATACTGGGGGAACGAAGTACCTGGATACTGGGGTAACCAAGTACCTGGATACTGGGGTAACCAAGTACCTGGATACTGGGGGAACCAAGTACCTGGATACTGGGGCAATGAAGAGGGCATTTTCCCGCTTTGTTGGGATTCAGAGTTACAGGACAGGGCTGGTGTCATTCAACATGCACATGCATGTGCTTATAGAGGTGGCACGTGCTCTGCAGGAGGAGGATGAGGACGTATGAAAGAGACCCACAGGGCTGTGATTTGAGGGTGGCCCTAGGGGAGAGGCTCTGAGGGAGAGACCCCTGTGCTGAAAGCAGGAGGAGCAGAAGCCAGCCCATTAGAGGTTGGGAGGAATCTACCCCAGGCAAGAGGGCATGCAGAATGGCTGAGGCCCAAACAGACTGTTCCCTAAACATTGTAGGGAAAGGCTGTGTGTGTGGTCGGAGCGGGGACAGGGAGGTGCGAGGTGAGGTCCCCGATTCCTAAGGAGATAAATCCACATTCCTTTCATGGTTAGATTTTAGGGTTCCTCCCACCTCATTTCTGTACGAAGAGGCTGCAGACTTCTGCAATTCTGATTGCGAACTTCCCAAATGCCTAACACCAGGCCTTAGTCTTAATCGCTGCTGGGGAAGCGCTGGTCCATCGGAGCCGTGTGGGGTTGTGGAAGCACCTCGGACAGAGGCCCTGCACCCTGGGTCTCGGACAGGCCTTACCGCCAACCTGCAGCGGGTCTCAGTTCTCCCCAGGTCTCTGGACAGCCGTGATGCTACGGTCCCCTCCAGCTCCGATACCGGGACTTTCTGTGCGATGTGGCCCTGGCCAAGAAGCCTCTTGGTGGCTCGTGCACAGTGCCACAGGCGGCGCTCCGGCTCAGCCACCTTTCCCTCCACCGCCTCCTTCCCAGGCCGTCTGTGCAGCTTCCTGTCCCTGCCACTGGGGAACGAACCTCCCCCAGCCTAACTTAGACTACTGAGTATTTATGAGACATCTTCTATGTGCTGAAGCTGGGGAATACAGAGGTGAGAAGTAGCCAATCCTTTCTCCTGGGAAGGATAAAATGTATGCAAATTACGATCATAAAGGCCCTAAGAGAAATAACAGGAGGTCTGGCGTTCAAGACACAGGGGAGAGGATTAGGGATGGCTCCGTGGGAGACATGGCATCTGAGATGGGTGTTGGAGGAAGGATGGAGTTTTGATTGAAAGGGATGGCAGTGAGATGTTTCTCACGAGTGGGACAGAATCCCAAGAGGGGAGCAGAACAGCGAGCGTCCTAATTTCAGTGGGACCTTGGGAACGCGATGGTGAGGGAGGTTGATGAGGCTGAAAGAGCTGCTGCAGGGTTTCCAGAGCATCTCAGAGCATGGAGGCAGGCCAGGCCTGGCCGTGTTGGGGTGCGATTTGTGGGGTTCACAAAATGGCATGTGAGCCGCGACGATGTGAACATTTCTGAGTCCCTAAGGACTGAAGATGCTGAATCCTTTAATCCTTTATTTATTATTATTATTTTTAGTATTCAGACATTCCTATCTGTATATTTTTAAACTCAAAATACTTTAATTCAGTTTTAAAATCACTCAGAAACTGCATCCTTCTCAGGAAAATAAATGGCTTTTATTTGCTGCCCTGCAGAGGAAAACTCACACATGGGGAGCTCACCATTTTCCTACATTTTCAAATCATGGAACTGACTTCAATAGCACCGTTAGCCCAGTAGCACCTAACAGTTTTGAGTCTCAGACCTGGGAAAGCATCAAGCCGTTTATCGGATAAATCCACAGAAGTTCCCTGATTTCCCGAGTTGCCCTGTCTTTACTGAGCACCTGCTGCATGTGAGTTTCTGTGCACACGAAGATGAGTAACAATGTCTCTGTTTTTAAGAGCCTCAGATTAAGTTCCCGACTCTCTGAGTGGGTGCCTGTTGTCTTTTGCTGCTCACGGTAATTCTCCAAAGCATCTCTTAGGGCCTCCAAGCGGTTTGCAGTTGTGCACTGTCAGTGGTGAAAGAAAGTTGGGGCAGGCACTTCCTGTATTTTTTTATTAATAAATCACATACATGTTCTTCTTTACAACTTCATCATGCATGGCATTCACACACCAAAATATACTCTTGAAGATAGATTCAAATGAGCAGAAGTAGCATTTCTCCTGTTCTCTTCTTGAACGCACTTAAGGAAACCCTAGGGAGAGAATGGGCATGCCCTTTCCGGCCTTCGGGGGCCACGTGGTTTTCTTCGTGACTCCTGCAACTGAGGCTGCTTCTCGGCTCCTGCAGGTACCAGTCCCTGGTGGCCGCCTATGGTGAGGCCAAGCGACAGCGCTTCCTCAGCGAGCTGGCCCACTTGGAGGAGGATGTCCACCTGGCACGCTCCCAGGCCCGCGACAAGCTGGACAAATACGCCATTCAGCAGATGGTAGGAGGGTCTCAGGGTGGCTGGGTGTCTGGGAAGCGTGGACTAGATCTTAGCTTGTCTGCATGGTGCTCAAGGGGCCGAGGGTGGAGCTTGGCTCGCTGCCTGGGAACCTGACCATCCTTGCTTCTCGGGGCAGATGGAGGACAAGCTGGCCTGGGAGAGACACACATTTGAAGAGCGGATAAGCAGGGCTCCTGAGATCCTGGTGCGGCTGCGATCCCACACCGTCTGGGAGAGGATGTCTGTGAAACTCTGCTTCACCGTGCAAGGATTTCCCACGCCCGTGGTGCAGTGGTGAGGGGCTCTGTTCCCAGGGGGTGAAGAAGTCCATTCTGCGTTTTCTTTCAGAAAGACCCCAGTTAAGGAGACAAACGCCATTGAACCTGTGCTGGAGGCCACTTACCTTGAAACTCTAAGCAGAAATATGTTTATAGAAGCTCTGAACGTTCACTTTAACTCATATGCAAACATTTTTATTTTCATGACATTGAGTCAACAAATTTTTCAGAGGGTTTTTTTTTTTTTTTTTTTTTTTTTTTTTTTTTTTTTTTTTGAGATGGAGTCTCGCTCTGTTGCCCAGGCTGGAGTGTGATGGTGTGATCTCAGCTCAGTGCAATCTCCACTTCCCTGGTTTAAGTGATTCTCCTGCCTCAGCCTCCTGAGTAGCTGGGACCACAGGTGTACGCCACCACGCCTGGCTAATTTTTGTATTTTTAGTAGAGATGGGGTTTCACCATGTTGGCCAGGCTGATCTCAAACTCCTGACCTGAAGTGATCCACCTGCCTCGGCCTCCCAAAGTCCTGGGGTGACAGGCATGAGCCACACGCCTGACCAGAGTGTATTGTTTAAAAGTCACTACCCTGAAATGATCATGGCTGTTGTCCTGTTTGCAAGAGCACGTGCATGATTGCTGACTGTACACAAAACTGGAAAGTCTGCTTTTCAATATGGAAAACTCATAAGTGGAAAGCATAAACTCTAAAGTTTTGGGACTGCAGATCTGCAGTTAATGAAGCTGTGGTAATTGAAGAATTACATCTTTAAGCCCTCAAGACCCTTTTTGTATCAACATATATTGCTAAAGTTATACGTATATATCTATGTGCATTTATATGTGGGGTTGGGACTCTGAGCCACAGACCAGGCATATCGTGGCTGATGGCTGGATCCTGAGGTTCTTTGGAAGACAGGCTTGGGAGGCTGAGGCTCGCCTGCTCTTGATGCGGAGGTGCTGGGGTGGATGTGGTCCTGCCTCCTGGATGGAGCCATGAAGCCAGCTTCCTTTCACCAGGGTCAGTGCGTTAGGTCCCGCAGAACTCCCTGAGACACTAGCTACACTGCAGCTTAAGTAGGCGGGTCCGGGATCCAGCACCCAGTGTTTCTTATGGAATGACAAGTCCTGAATTCCTAACAAAGGTCAGGCAGGTGTTTGATCTGCCGAATGGGGAATCCCCTGAGAGTCTGAACGAGGAAAGCGCTGCTCTCGCCTTAGAAAGCAAAACCAGTGCGAACTCTGGGCCTCACCGTCAGGGCTCTGTCCTCCTCCCGCCTGAGGCTCTAAGGGAAACCTGCAGAAATGGGCAGCAGGCGCGGGGGAGCTGGGGCAGAATTGCACACACACAAAATACAACTCTGCCTTTAAACTAAAAACATGCCTCCCTCATTTAGGTACAAAGATGGCAGTCTGATTTGCCAGGCGGCTGAACCGGGAAAGTACAGGATTGAGAGCAACTATGGCGTACACACACTGGAGATCAACAGGTATGGCTGTGGTGGGGGCTCTGGACGCTGGCGTCCAGTAATCAGCATTGCAGACCCCAAAGAAGAAGTCAGATGGGTAACTGGAGGCCAAATCACACCTGTCTGTTTGCACCCCGGGTGACTTTAAATAGCATTTATGAGTTAATGGTACTGGTGTTGGAAGCTTCCCTTTGTTTTTCTTTAGTGTCTGGCCAGAGGAATGCAAACTCTGGGAATAAAGACAGTAGATAGTTCAGGGAAAGGTAATGGCATCTGGGTGGAAAGGCTGCCATGCAGTGCAAGAAGCTTTCATTGACACCTCCTGCCAGGTTCGAGAAACACACCCTAAGTTCAGACTCTTCAAAGAATGATAACCTTTATTTTCTTTTATAACAAATCAAAAAAGTATATGAAATGTAGACAAATAAAAGAAAAACAATCATCTATACATCCAGCACCCAGGGTCAGTATGTTGCTGTATAGCTGGCATTTCTTTTTTCCTCACGCGACACACACACTTTTTTTTTTTTTTTTTGAGGCAGAGTTTCGCTCTTGTTGCCCAGGCTGGAGTGCAATGGCATGGTCTCGGCTCACCACAACCTCCACTTCCCAGGATCAAGCGATTCTCCTGCCTCAGCCTCCCCAGTAGTGGGGATTACAGACATGGGCCATCACGCCCAGCTAATTTTGTATTTTTAGTAGAGACGGGGTTTCACCATGTTGGTCAGGCTGGTCTCGAACTCCCGACCTCATGTGATCCACCTGCCTCGGTCTCCCAAAGTGCTGGGATTATAGGCATGAGCCACTGCCCCCGGCCCACACATTTCATTTTTTAAATAAAAGTGAGACACTGCTGTTCTTTTTCTGTTTCTGTGCATACACGGTTTTTACTTTTCACAAAAGACCCTGACATTACACAAGTCAGCTTTTTTCAGCAGTAGTATCTTGTGGCACCTTCCTATGGCTCTCATGTTAATTTTTCCAGTGAACCTGACTGCCTGTTTTTGAACTTAAGGAGCACACGCTTGTCCAGGAGCCAGAAGGCCACATTTACCATGTGACTTTGGATAAACCATTAACGCCTCCTGAAAACAATTATCAAGAGACAGATAGTAACAATTTTATCTTCTCTATAGGACTAAAAGAGTTACTGTGAGACTCCAATAAGAAGATGCATGTTGTGTTTACATATGTTTATATATATAACGGGAGGTGTGGGGTGTGTGTGCTTGTGTGTGTAGTCAGTTATATCAAATCCCTTCTAGGAAAACATGAGGGATGTTTGTATAAATAAGGTAAAAAATAAGTGAGACATTGGAACATACGATTTTATTGATTTTATTCTGACTAAACTGTAAAGCAGTGAGTGCATCATTGTTAGGCCTCTGTTCTTCAGAGGAAAAGGTGCCTGCTAATTCCCAGAGGGAGCTCAGAGGAGCTCAGGAGGGTGAACACAAATGTTGATTGATCATCCTGCCTCCCCTCCCCAGAAGCCTGCTTGGAAGGAAAGTCTTGCTCTGTTCGTTTGTTTGTTTTTTAAAGCTTTTATACATTGGATCCTGTTAAAAAGTTATCCTGACACTCGTTAAGGACATTAAGGAAGACTTCCTTCAAGGACCACAGGGAGGGATTCTTGCTCTGGGGGAGAGAAACCGGGCTCAGCTCTGAGTACAGCAGGAAAGTGGGAGTGAGACCAAGGAGTAGGGTAGGGCGGATGGGAAATTACTAGGGGGAGATGGGGGTGAGGGGGTTCCGGCCGAGCCTCCCCAGCAGGGTTCTGGCTGAAGGCAGGCTGGGGCCATCAGACATCCCTGGGGATGGAGGGGTGAGGAGCCCATCTGCTATCGAGGGAGGGGCTTGAGTTGGGCTGAGCTGGTGGGATTCTTACTGTTGAGGGCCCACCAAGCCTGGGGCCTGGTTGGGAAGAGGGTTGAAAGGAGCTGTCTCCGGTTTAGTGAGGGAGGGGGTCTCTGTCCCCATCCAGCCTGGTGTTTAGTGAGGGAGGGCGTCTCTGTCCCCGTCCAGCCCAGTGTTTAGTGAGGGAGGGTGTCTCTGTCCCTGTCCAGCCCAGTGTTTAGTGAGGGAGGGCGTCTTTGTCCCCTCCAGCCTGGTGGTTAGTAAGGGACTAGTCTTTGTCCCCGTCCAGCCTGGCAGAAAGTTGGGCTCTGCCTGGCTTCTCTCCCTCTGTCTGGCTCCTGCCCTGTGCCCTCCCCCAGCATCCTTACCAACTCTTCCTCTTCCTGCCTTCCCTTCCTCCTGTTCCCGACTCTACCTGGGGCGGTGGCTTCAGCCAGCTCTTCCTGATGCTCATCCTGGTGGCCTGAGCATGGCTTCTGCCCGGTGGTGCCCCTCCCCGAGTCAGGGGGTCCACCAGCTCCTCTGTGTGTGGGACTCCCTCCTGCTTCCTCCTCCCAGGAGCCTGCATGGGGCCTGGGGCCTTTGTCCTGCTGGAATGGTCCACCCTCTGCAGATTCACTAGAGTTGGGTGTTGAAAGGCAATAATTGAGATTGAAATTTGCAGGGCATCCTACCTCATTTCTCCAGATAAATCCGGGTTTCTCTAGGAAAGCTCTCCTTCTGGCGGGCTCCTTGGCCCTGCTCACAGAGAGCTTGCTGTGTGCCTGGTGCTATCCTGGATGTTCGAGAGGCTTCAGGGGCCAAGACAAGGATGCCGCCTTCCAGGTCCCACTCTCTGGCATCAGGAGGCAATTGATGAGTGAAGGACACAGCCAGCCACAGCAGCTGTGGGTGAGGGGAGGGGGCTGTGGCCCGTTGTGGTGTGAAATAGATGCCAGGTGGACCTTCATGGAGATATCACATGAGCAAGGCTTGAAGGCCAGTAGAGGACCCAGAGCTGTGGAGTGGGTGGGCCCCCTGGCACAAAGGCTCTGAGAGGTGCATTGGGGGTCCTGGGCTGGGGGGTTGGCAGGGGACAAGCTGTCACAGGCATAGCCAGTGGCCCTGCAGATCACGGGGACCCCGTGGGCCATTGTAAGGACATTGGCTTTGCTGGAGGGAGGCGGGGAGACCCCAGAGGGCTGAGGGGAGAAGGAAGGATGTAACATTGACCTCTAGAGGATCACTCTGACTGCAGACAGGCTGCAGGGCCTGGCAGGCCTGGTGGGAGCCCTTGCTAGAATCCGGGAAGGAACACAGGCCTGGGAGCGGGAGGGAGCAGGGGAGTGGGAAGAAGTGGGTGCTCTGGGCAGCTTTTGAGGGTAGAGCCAGCAGGATTTGCTGCTGGGCTCGACTGGGCATTAGTGAAAGAGAGGGGTCCAAGTATTCTCAGAGCTGTGGCCATCACAGCGGGGTAGGCCTGGGTTGGGCAGTGGAGTTAGGCACAGGCTGCAAAGGATGCCTCTCCTGGGGCCCTCTCCAAGTTTTTCAGAGAGAAACTTTCTCTCCTTGGATTTCCAAAAGTTGTGGGAGTTTTAATAGACCGTAGGCCGTCATGTCTAGAAAGAGACCACCTGCCTTCATTTTGGACAGCTCATGGGTGTGTGGGGCTGTCTGCTTTCTACCCTGTGTGTGCTGTGAATGTTTAGGGGTAAGTAGGTTGGTCTGAGTTCCAGATCAGCTTGTTCCCAAGCTGTGTTCTGATAATTGTTTTAAAAAGAAAAGAATGATATACCTTTCTCAAGAATGAAAAACGTTGCGTTGACATCGGTGTTGGCAACATTTAAACTTTACATTGGGCACCACATGGGCTTCGAACGGAATGGACTAATTTGTGAGATAAAGTCGTTGAATCCGCCCCGGAATACCACAAGTCAATGATCCCCTAATATAGGTCTCCTCTGATGGACTTGGATTTTGCTTGCATATGCAAATATTTGGGAAACTTGGGAAAAGGAAACTTCCAAGACCACCTTTTGTCTCAGTATTCTTGTTGGTCCTAGGAAGCTCCAAACAGATGAAATGTTAATATTCTTCGGGAAAAGAGCAATGAGATAAACCCACAAATTACAGCTTGTCTCAGCTGTTCATACCAAACTGCTGAGCCGCCGGTCATCCGATCTGTGGCCATTTTCAGTGGCAGAATGTGTTGGCACCCACCTCTTGATTGGCTCAGGAATGAGCTTTTCCTTCTGTGACATGAGTGACATTTATTCCTATGAATATTCCTTGGCCACGGTAGCTGGATTCTTAAAGTGCTGAAAAAGAAGCTCCCCCTTGGTACTATTTTATTTTAAATTTGTAATTGACACTGTTTTATATGCTCATAAGATTTTCCCATGGGACTCATGATGTGAGCCCTCATTCTTCAAAGAATATGATGTTCTCATATTTTTATGAAAGTATTTATAATAGAACAATCTATCTGGTTTTCTATCAGTAACATGCTCACTCCCCATTCATTCTTTGCTGAGTGATTTTAGGGTGAAACGTTTTTTGTACTTTATTTTTAGAGCTTGATGTTTAAATTTTGATTTAATTAAATTATAAATCCAGCGTCATCACCACTTATAATTTGAGGACATGAGGCCCCAGCTGCCCATGAGAATTGATATGGCACTTAACCTTATGGCTGCCCATCTTTAAGACAGGACAGAACCAGCTTCTCCCAGGAGGTTGTTTTAGGGGCCTTCAAACAGAGACTCTGGGATGCCAAAGGGCGCCATGGACGTTTGTATAAATTGAGACCAGAGAAGACTCTCTCCATCTATTCTGGGAACCTGTCAGAACAGGAAATAAAACCCTTGCCTCTCCCTCACTTGCTTGCAAGTTCTCACAGCATGAAGCAAAGGCTGGAATTAGACTGGGGGTGAGCTGAGTGCCTGTGTGGGGCCTCGGGAAGGGGAGGAAGACGGGGGTCCTTTGGAAACTGCCCATGGGCCAAAGCTGTGATTTGCCTCCAAATCCCAAGTGGACACAGGCTAAGCTGAGGAAGTCTCCGCGAGAGTGGCCGCCCTTCCTCCTGCATCTGCTCCGTCGTCTGCCCAGGCCCCCTGCTTCCCGGCCTCGGGGCAGGCAGGGGGCAAACCCTGGGAGGCAGGGCAAGGGTGCCCTTACCTCCCTCCCAGGGCAGGTCTTTGCGTTTGTTTATAACCTACACAGGGACCTGTGTTCCAACACACTTCATACAGTATGAAACAAGGTCGAAAGAGAAAAGGTGAGACAGCGGGAACCATAAACAGAAGGCCTAACTTACCCGTGCCCACCGTGGGGGTGACCGCGAGCTCCTTAGCGGGGCGCCTCCTGCATGGAGTGGGGCCACCGCCGTCGTCAGTGGGTCGGGATCTTTGCTCCGGTGACGGGTTTCTTTACAGAAGGAAGGAGAGCGCTCTCTTCGGAGAGCCCACGTGTTTTGCAGTCGCTGCGGGAGGCCAAGCGGATGGAGGGCTTCTTCCCCCAGTGGCTCCTGCCTCTGAGCACCAAGTGCTAATTGGTGACTTGATGAGCTAATCAGTGCTAATGCGCGAGGTTGCACTCCCCTGGGATCTTAATGCCTGAAGTCAATTGAAAAACAAGCTCCTTGCCCTTTGGGAGAGGCTGCTGGCTGGCGAGGGGGGCCGTGGCCTGGGGAACACATCTCCCTCCTCCTTCTCCTCCATCCCCCTCCTCCTTCTCCTCTCCTGGCACCAGTGATCTTATTTCCTACATTCTTAGACAAGGTTTATCCCCTTCCTGTACCCCTCCCAGCTATCCCCTGCCCAGGAGCTGTGAAACAGCAATTCATTGCAGTTCTCAAAAGACTTAGAAATTGTGTTGCTTTATAGGACTGTAAGGGCAAGGAGGGATTTCCGTAGAGGAGAGGCCAGAAGGAATCATCTTTGAACTTTTGGTTCAGGAATTCAGCTATTATTTCTTAGTTACTAATATATAAGATTAACATTATATGATAAAACCACAAAATGTTTTCAAGTACATTGTTTTATTTAATCATCAAAGTCACCCTAGTCAAGTGTGGGTGCTCAATACATGTATTCTAGAAGTCTAAAATACCCACAATGTGTTTATTATATAGTCAGTAGATAAGAATGATCGGGCTGGTCTCATGAAGGCACCAGTTTGGAAGGAGAATTTGAGGCTGGCAGCTGCAGGTGTGTAAAAGCCTTGGCAGGCCAGGCACGGTGGCTCATGCCTGTAATCCCAGCATGTTGGGAGGCCGAGGCAGGTGAATCACGAGGTCAGGAGTTTGAGACCAGCCTGAGCAACATGGTGAAACCCTGTCTCTACTAAAAATACAAAAAATTAGCTGGGTGTGGTGGTGCGCACCTGTAATCCCAGCTACTCAGGAGGCTGAGGCAGGAGAATTGCTTGAACCTGGGAAGCGGAGGTTTCAGTGAGCCAAGATCACGCCACTGCACTTCAGCCCGGGTGACAGTGTGAGACTCCATCTCAACAAAAAAGAGCCTCGGCAACTATTTTTGCCCTGGATTTTCTTCTTATTTCTTCTTATTGCCCAGTGTTTCTTCTTATTCTCTATTCTTCTCATTGCCCAATATTGAAAAAAATCCTGAATCCAAGACAAGTAGTTTCAAATGAAAACATTTTTACCTTGACATCTCAGAATATTATCCAATTACATAGAGGTAGTAGGAGAAGCTCTGCCTGAGGCCCCGGTACCCATGAGTTAAGTGGCTGCGTAAGGTTCATGTTGGGCTTCGTGCCTGACAGGTGTGTGATGAGCTGAGTCTACACTGACACCACAGTTTAAAAACGGCTAAAACACACGGAGGAAGAAATGTGCAGCACACGGGGGAGATTCCAGTTGAGAGCCGTGGGGCGCAGTGTGAACGCTGTTGATGTTACTTAACAGGCAGCAGCAGGGTTTTCAAGGGGTTGGCTGGAGCCCTGTCCATGTAGCCCACACTCCCGCTCCTCGAGTACAAGGGTGGGTCAAGGCGTTCACCCTTCCTCACTGAGGAACTGGTCATGACGGTGACCTGCTGGGCTTGGGGACAGCCCGTGCCCTGGTCCAGCCGGGTCACATCCCGTGAGTCCTGCCCTGGTCCAGCAGGGTCACGTGCAGCGGTTCCTGCACGGGAACTGCCCGTGCACCTGCTCTGTGCTTCTCTGGTTTATGGCTCCCTCCTTGAGAATCTGAGTCCACCTGGCTTGTGCGTTCACAGGACAGGCTCCAGGTCAGCAGATTCCGATCAAGCAGATTTTACAGACCGCCTTGCTCACTTCCATATACTCTGGCATTCGAATCCTTCCAGCGGTGCCTGTGGGAGGCTGTCGCCCTTGTTTCTCTCATCTGCTGTGTTATTGCTAGTGGGGGTGGGATCGTTGTAGAGGAAGGGTTAGGATGAATCCCAAAAGAAGAATATATTTGGGTTTGGAGAATGCATTTTTGAAAACATAATGGTTTTATTATTTAGAAGAAGTAACATGAGCACAAAGTAAACAAACAAACAAAATGCAGCAATGCCCACGGGTCCTGCAGAGAAGCACCTCCTCCTTCCACCGCGGACCCCAGTCCCAGGCATGTTCTGAGAGGCAGCAGCACAATGCGCTCCCTGTGGGGATGCGTATGTGAGTATTATGTGTGAATTATATGGGTAGATCAGCACAGGTTGTTAATGCTTAGCATTGGAGAAAGCCTCTACTTATGGGGTTTTTATGTGTTTTACACACACTGTTGCTTTGCACCTGGGGACATGGCTGTGCCTGTGGTGATCTGGAAATAGGACAGCAGCGTAGCTTCTAATGAGTTCAGGCTAGAATTGTAGCTTTGCTGATGGCTTTGTAGTTCGGCTTGTATTCCTCCACGGTGAACTAGAAGATAATGTTCTTGGTTTGAAAATCTACCCAGACTGGGCTCTGGTGTGTGATCTGTCCCTTGAGCAACGGCAGTTAGGGAGGTCAGATGGTTTTATCTGACATATTGAAACTGGATTTGAACTTCAGCAGGAGGGGAAAGAATTCTCAGTAGATAGCACAGTTCTCGGACACGTTCTTTCCCTTTTGTTGGAGAAACGGAAATTTTTGATCTAAGAAAATATTTTCAGCACGTATAGTGGAACAGAGAAGAAAATAAAATTACTAATGACTTCGCAGGAATGGATTTTGTCTCTGGAGGCACTGGCTTCTTAATGCATTTGAAAAGTGAGACTTGAGTAACTCTTGCTTTTCTCAAAAGTGGGGACTTTTTGTGTTGTTTCTTTTCCCACGTTAAGATTCTGCTCAGGTGTCCATGGCTTGGAAAGGAGCTACCAGAAAGAATGCAATTTTGGAGTCACGTGGACCTTGTTTACCTAGCTTCTTACCTTACTGTGTTGATTGCTCACCATCCTAGTGGGATAGTGATGTCTGTTTTCCAGGCTACTTGAGGATGAACGTGGAAATGCTGATGTGAAGTGACTTGAGGAGGGCTTGGTGTTGAGTAAAAGCTCAGCTGATCTTAGTGCCTCTTCCTTACCCCCTCTTGTCTCCATTTCCTGGGGAAGCTGGTGGGAAGACAGTTCACAGCCAAGAAGAGAAGTTTTAGCTTTAGTACCATGGATATGGGGAAGCAGAAGACCCACCCCCACAGGTACTTGGGTTTTGTGAGCCTGGCTATTCCTAAGTCATGTTTTTTTTGTTTTGTTTTGTTTTCCCAGGGATAAACACACATCAGTGTCTCAGGTGGAGTCCAACTCAGACATTTCAATACACCCTTGAGTGGGTGATTCATGTCTTGGGATCATATTACTTTGGGATTCTGGATGTAGCCTCTTATTAGCATGGGAATCCTACTGGGGAGCTGGGTAGGGTTGTAGAATCTGCTTTTGGAACAGGGAGTTTGTCACTTAGAAGTTAATCGGTCTCTGCACCTTGGAACCCTCTGTGTACGCCAGGTACAAGCTGTGTTGAGGGCTTCGATGGGTTTTCGGTGGTTTCATCCCAGGATTCTCATCCCAGGGGCATTAAAGGATGGAGAGCATCGTGGGCGCAGCTCTTCAATGCTCGTGTGCGCCAGGCAGAGAGCATACCGGGGGGCGGCAGCTCTTCAATGCCTGTGCACACCAGGCCGAGAGCATCCTGGGGACAGCTCTTCAATGCCTGTGTGCACCAGGTGGAGAGCATCCCGGGGGCAGCTCTTCAATGCCTGTGTGCACCAGGCAGAGAGCATCCTGGGCACAGCTCTTCAATGCCTGTGTGTACCAGGCGGAGAGCATCCCGGGGGCAGCTCTTCAATGCCCGTGTGCACCAGGCGGAGAGCATCCTGGGGACAGCTCTTCAATGCCTGTGTGCACCAGGTGGAGAGCATCCTGGGGACAGCTCTTCAATGCCCGTGTGCACCAGGCAGAGAGCATCCCGTGGGCAGCTCTTCAATGCCCGTGTGCACCAGGCAGAGAGCATCCTGGGCACAGCTCTTCAATGCCTGTGTGCACCAGGCGGAGAGCATCCCGGGGGACAGCTCTTCAATGCCCATGTGCACTAGGCAGAGAGCATCCTGGGCGCAGCTCTTCAATGCACGTGTGCACCAGGATCACCTGGAGAGTGGAGCAAAGCTCAAGCTCCCGGACCACCTTAGAACTCGCATGGGATGGACTGCCCCATGGGAACGACTCCCTGTATGGGAACGGCTCCTGCATGGAATGGACCCCCCCGCCATGGTTCAGGGCCTCCCTGAAGCAGCACTCTGCCTTCTCCTCTGGCAGCATCCTGGCTCCTACA
Organism: Homo sapiens; assembly: GCF_000001405.40. Taxonomy (NCBI): domain Eukaryota; kingdom Metazoa; phylum Chordata; class Mammalia; order Primates; family Hominidae; genus Homo; species Homo sapiens. Next base: position 252,165 of record NT_187576.1, read on the forward strand.
CGGAGCAGGTCCACGGCTCTCCCAGGCAGGCTCTGTATCATCCCATCACGACTGGTTCTTCTGGAGCTTGAGGTCACGGGAGGCTGTCCATTGACAAGATGAAACCGCGCATTCCATAGAGGTAGAAAAAATAGGACCAGAATGGAATAGAGACTTCTCCTTGAGAATGAACAAAGGATTTTCAGGAGTGCCAGTACCTTTTTATTCTTAAGGCCGAAACTGCACCATCTTCTGGGATCAGGCCTTCATCTGTGTCTATAATTAATACCGAGTGCTGCCTCACCTTTCCAAGGACAGAGCTGGCATTGTTCTTGCACAAATCACTCATGAACAAATAAACCACGCCATGTGATTTGCTTTCGAGGAATGCTTTTGTGCAATTCGGGTCACTGACTTTTACACAACAGTCCCGCAGACTTTCTCTTGTTTTTTTCTCTCCAAGGGCAGACTTTGACGACACTGCGACATACTCAGCAGTGGCCACCAATGCCCACGGACAAGTGTCCACCAACGCGGCGGTGGTGGTGAGAAGTGAGTGCCGGGTGGGCTTTCACGGGGCACCTCCCGCCTCCTTTTCTCTTTTCTGCTGCACTCACTTTGCTGTCTTGCAGGGTTCCGGGGAGACGAGGAACCATTCCGTTCGGTGGGACTCCCGATTGGATGTAAGTGGGTTTTTGTTTCTTTTCTGTGTGGTGAAATGTTTAGTGACATAGCAGACAATTTGAAAACATGGTTTCCTAAGGGCCAAATCTTTTTTTTTTTTTGAGACGGAGTCTCACTCTGTCACCCAGGCTGGAGTGCAGTGGTGCCATCTCGGCTCACCATAAGCTCTGCCTCCCGGGTTCACACCTAAGGGTCAAATCTTTTTTACAAAAATCATTTCAGAGAGCTCCTCCAAGTTTCTCCTGGCCAGTGTTAGCATGCTGACAATTTGTTCCCATGTAATTCTATGGCTAGGTGGTATTTTTAGACTGGTGAAAACATCACTTGGAGAGACTTTACGTTTTTGAACTGGAAAAAAAGAGACACATCCAAATTCTTGACCTGAATGCATCATGTTGCTGTTTCGTGTTTAAGGAGATGTTTTTTTTTTCTCCAAAAGTCTCTTGGTCCTTGTAACAAATGACTTCAGGTCAAAACAAGGGCAGTGCAGCAGGCTTTGGTCCAGAGACCCGCCCCAGGCCTAGGACCTGCCCTGGCCCTGTAATGAGGCGAAGCCCTCTCTGGCCCTGAGCTGGCTTCACCCTAGCAGTCCCATGGTGCTGGGTGACCCATGCTGGGTGAGGTGAGGCGGTCCCCATGAGGGCATCTGGAGGACGGGGACATGATGGATGCCCTTTCGAGGCAGCTTGTTTATGGCTTGGGAGTGAGTTTTAGAATTGGCCTGAACTTCCCAGGAAGGAACCGTACATTCCGATGGAAGCACTGATTTTACTGTAATGCGAGGCTTAGTTGCTCTGGGCCACGTGCTGGGAGTGGAGAGTTGACCGAAGCAACGATGGAGGGTGGAGCCTCCTGGCAGCTGCTGGCCGCTGTGGGCGTGGCCTCTGCTCGCGATTTCTGTGTGACTTTTTTTGCTGGGCTACATCCAACACTCGGTGAGCCCCCAAGACCACCAAAGGGCAGGCAGGGATCAGTCCAAAGTGAGCCTGGGGAGCCCGGGAGATCTGGGTGTCTGTGTGTAGCTCTGGCCCTCAGGACAGCACAGAGTCTGTGTGGAGAGTTGCCCCAGGCACTGATGAGCTGGGCAGGTCCTGGCAGTCACCTGGTCCCATCCCGGGGTTTCTCCTATCTATTAACATTTTATCTTCCTCATTAAGAACTGTGGCGCAGTTACAGCATAGATCACCATGGAAGAATGCTCATGTGTTCACCACCCGTGTTTGACAGAGGGAAATATCTTGCTATTTTTGCTTCAGTTGTTTTTCGTCGAAGTCAAATTTATATAACACGACATTAACCATTGTACATAACACAATGTTAACCATTGTACAGCGTACAGCTCAGGGTAGCTTCAATTATTTTCCAAGAACTGAAACAATGACAGAGATGATGGAAGCAGCCAGTGCTGCTCCTGCCCGTCTCCCACACCGTCCTGGCATTGGCAGTGGCTTTTTAAATTTTTTATTTTTATTTATTTATTTATTTTTGAGACAGGGTCTCACTCGGTCGCCCAGGCTGGAGTGCAGTGGTGCGATCTTGGCTCACTGCAGCCTTGATCTCCCTGGCTCAAGGAATCCTTTTGCTTCAACCTCCCAAATAGCTGGGACTACAGGCGTGTGTCACCAAACCCGGCTCGTTTTTTCTTTATTTTTTTATTTTTATTTTTTTTTGCATTTTGTAGAGATGCGGTTTCACCATGTTGCCCAGGTTGTTCTCGAACTCCTGGGCTCAAGTGATTCTCCCACCTTGGCCTCCCAAAGTGCTGGGATTACAGGCATGAGCCACTGTACCCGGCCTGCAGCTGTTGTTTAAACTTCCCTACATGCATGTGTCTGTAAACCATACAGTTTTTTTTTGGTTTTAAAAATTCAGTATAGATTTTTTTCCTGACATGTATGTACTTCTCCCCCTACCACACATATTTTTGAAATTTAACCAGGCTGACGCTTCTGGATCTAGTTACTTCATTTGGGTGAACTCTAAACTCTACGGATGCAAATACCACCGTTTGTTTTGAGGAGGAGGCAGCCGTGGCTTCCAAGTCCATGTGACTTGCCAGAAGCCACAGTCTGGGGCTGAGGTTGGACTTAAACCTTTGGTCTTCACACACGATCAGGTTCTCAGCCCTGCCTCTGACGACACCGCAAAGTCGACTTTGTGACATTTAATTCTTCCGCAGTGGCTTGTCTCCGCTCCGGCTGCTGGAACAACACGCCATGGCCGGGGCAGTTTACGAACAGCAAACACTTATCCTCTCTGTTCTGGAGGCAGAAGCCTGACACTCAGCAGGCATGGCTTCTGGTGAGGAGCCTCCTCCCGGGTTGCTGACGGCACCTGCTCACGGTGTCCTCACGTGGAAGGAAGGAAGGTCTGGCCTCTTCCTCCGCTTCCAAGGGCGCTCATTCTCCCCTGGGGTCCCACTCTCACGATCTCATCCCACCCTCATCACCTCCCAAAGGCCCCACCTCCTTACACCGTCCCATTGAGGGTCAGGGATTCAACACTGGAATTCTGGGGGGGACACAGACATTCCGTGTGGAGCACGGACCTGGCTACGGGTGTTCCATGCTGTGGGGCGGTGACAAAGACGTGCTTTTGCGGTGACGATCTGAGTGTGTCTGCTGTCAAAGATGCTCTCTGCCCTAATGGCGTGAACCCGGGAGGCGAAGCCTGCAGTGAGCCGAGGTCGCACCACTGCACTCCAACCTGGACAACAGAGCGAGACTCCGTCCCCCCGCCCCCCGCCCCAAAAAAAGAAAGATGCTCTCTGCCCTTCGGCCCTGAAAGCCTCCATCGTTTCTGTGCAGTGCCCCTGTCATCGATGATTCCGTACACGCACTTCGACGTCCAGTTTTTGGAGAAGTTTGGGGTCACCTTCAGGAGGGAAGGCGAGACGGTCACTCTCAAGTGCACCATGCTGGTGACGCCGGACCTGAAGCGGGTGCAGCCGCGCGCCGAGTGGTACCGCGATGGTGAGTAGGACACGGCCCAGACCCGGGCACACACCAGGAGGCTTTTGGACGGAAATGTCCTTTAAATGTGGGTGTCAATGTGGCTTTTGTCTCTACCACTGGGTCAGCTCCAGACAGCGAAACAAACTGAGGGACTGTAGAGGACTTGGTGGCCCACCGTTCGCCTTGAACTTCATCCAGGAGAATCCTGGAGAGGGAGACCCCGAACCTAGAGCAGCCACTTAGAGACTGATCGCTGGTACAGTGACAGAAAGAATGATCTCGTGCCATTTAGATTCAGTTTAATGCACATTACTGCATGGAAGGGGCTGGTTAGCAGCTTGTGTACTATTTCTAGACAGAAATGCTACCTTAGTCGTATTGAGATTCTTTTCTTCCTTCCATCCAGTCATTTTGTTTTTAGAGTTTGATGATATGGAGGGTCTATGCTGGGTTCTTTGGAGATGTGACAGTAGCCCCTTCAGCTGCACACCCCTGTAATCCCCCACGGGCGGGAGGAAGCCGGTTGGGGCAGTGGCCGTCCAGCAGAGAAGCAGCGGGCCCCCAGGTGAACCCAGTTTACCTGAGGACAAAGCTGGCGGCCGCTCGCAGCACGTCCCACTTTGACCCACTCAAGTGGCAGCCTGTGTTCTGGGCTGTGGGTGCTCAGTTCACGCGTGTGCTTCCACGAAGTGCAGCTGTTGGGATTTTACCAGGCTGAGGCTCTGCCTTCCGTGGTGTCCAGCTCGACTGTCCTGTCCCGCTCTGAGACGACGCTGGTGTCCCCGAGGCTTTCTTTGCCTGCTGGGGTGATTTTGGATGCAAACCTTCCGTGTTAACGCTCTTTCAGACGTGCTGTTGAAAGAGTCCAAGTGGACGAAGATGTTCTTTGGAGAAGGCCAGGCCTCCCTGTCCTTCAGCCACCTGCACAAGGACGACGAGGGCCTGTACACCCTGCGCATCGTGTCTCGGGGCGGCGTCAGCGACCACAGCGCCTTCCTGTTTGTCAGAGGTGCGGGCAGCAGGGTTCTCAGGGTGCAGACCTTGTGTGTGCCCGGGGAGGGGAGGCAGCCCTGGGAGGAGGGAGGCGCTGGGAAAAGGAGTCCAGAGGGTGTGAGACCACTTTGCTCCTTGGAGACCCCATGCGGCCCCGATTTTCCCTCAGTGCATGGGCACGCCAGGTGCTTCCTGCCGATGAGCAGACGGAAGAATCGGGACACAATCCGGAATAGACCAGAATCATCATTTTTTTGTCTCTTGAATCGTTCATATAGTCATTAGCATTTGAAAAACGATTCCCAAGAGTGAGTGCCCCAGATTTACTCATTCTCAGGGAACGTAGCCCGAGGATGAAGAGGGGCACAGTGTTGGAGTCCCAGGGAAGAGCTTCCTTACTCTCCTGCCAGCGACTCATTCCCTCTGGACTTTGGCTTAAGAGAGGCAGATGTGATGATGATGACAGCCAGTGCTGTGACCTCCACCACCCACTTCAGTGAAACTCGTGCTTAAGACACTTGTGGCCATGACAGCTGTCATCACCAGACGCTTTATGTCAGGCAGTGTGCTGGGGTCCTACACGGATTTCGTCTTCACAACAGACTCACTAGGGAAGCTTCACTCATTCCATTTATGAAAAGAAAGACAATATTTGTGATATACAGATATATATATTTATAAAATGCCTATTGTATACAGCCTATAGGTGTGCATGTATGTGCCTATACTTACATAAACATCCATGTATATATAAGCTGGAATTCTTACAGTGATAGCAAAAGGAAATACTGTTCTCAGTTTTCCAGATGAATCCATGGAGGCTCAGAGGCAGGAGAAATGTCTCTAGGGTAGAGAAGCTCAGATTTAAATTTTGCTGGAGCCTGGAACCTGAGTTCCTGCTATAACTTTGTAGTGTTTTTGGCATCATGTGACTGAGCAGAAGGGGCCCACCTACTCCTACTCCTCCTTTTTTTTTAGTTTTGTTTTTGAGATGGATTAACACTCTGTCGCCCAGGCTGGAGTGCAGTGGCGCGACCTCGGCTCACTGCAACCTCCGCCTCCTGGGTTCAAGCGATTCTCCTGCCTCAGCCTCCCCGGTAGCTGGGACTACAGGCATGTACCACCACGCCCGGCTAATTTTTATATTTTTAGTAGAGATGGGATTTCACCATGTTGGCCAGGCTGGTCTCGAACTCTTGATCATAAGTGATTGGCCCCCCCACTCGGCCTCCCAAGTGTTGGGATTACAGGTGTGAGCCACCGCGCCCGGCCCCACCTACGCTTTTATCAGTGTCTGTTTCACTCCCCTCCTGCTTCTGCCCTGGGCTGCACCTCAGCAGCCTCTGGGTTTAGGGGCAGCCTCCTTGCTGAGGCACAGCTGACCTACAAAGAAGGCGTCAGAGCGCTCCTGCGCCATGTAGCTGCTGCTGCTCTCCGGGTCCCCGGGCTCCCGGCTCCATCCCGATCAGCCGGGCATCCTTACCTGCTGCCCAAGTTCTCACCTTCCCACCTGCCTCCAGCTCCAGTGGGGTGCAGGACGCATCCATACATCTTCATGATTACTTTTTCCATTGCATCCATTAGATCAGAGCTTAAAGGAAGGACTGTATCATTAAAGAATATTTCATCTGAAAAGAAAGAGAAGAAATGTCAACCAAACGTATCTCACCCTCCTCACTTCCCACACGATAGCCTGAGCTTGCGAGTCTGTGAGGTTAGACACTCCCGCCAAGTTTCACTGCTGTTGTTAGGCGGGCGTTAAATGTCCCTTCCGTCTTCTGCATGTGCCTGCTGGTATGATGCTCAGCCCCATAAAAAGGCAATAAATGCAACACGGCTCAAATCGCCTTGCTCACTCAGCACCAGCAACAGGAGGAAAATAAGGCAAAGGTGGGGAGTTTAACCATTTTCATCGCTTTCTGAGGCTTTTGAATGTGAGAGGAAACCATTTGGCTCAATGTCAGGAAATCCTCAGCTTTTAATACCCTGAAGATATGTGAGCAGGAAACTGGATAGTGCTCACCCTGCTAAGCATGCGTCACAGGGCAGCCAGGGCTGCTGAATAAATACATAGTTTAGATAAGAAGGTTCACATTCAGTGTATTAACTTTCTATGTTGCTCTGTTGGTTTTCATGCAGCTGTAATTAAACCTAATTGCATTAGGGTCATCAATAGACTGAGAAACGAATGATGCAATATTGTCCCAAATATTTGCTCAAAGTTGGCGAAAAGAGTAAATCGCCCAATTTCCTAAGGATTTTGAAATAGAAGAGTATCTCAGGTGATATTTCTCAGGTGTTAGAAATGCCAGATTATTGTCACTGTTTCATCCGCACATTTTTGCCAACGTGCCGTTATGCACCATAGCAGGACCAAGAGAAGATGACCTGTAATTCAGGATCTAATGACGAAAAATTGTAGACTCAGTGTTTTATCAAGGATTCTATGTTTTGAAGCTTTTTAATTCATACATAATTTTATATTTCTTGTCACCAACCCGCCAGAGTAAGAAATATTCTAGTACTTTGAACATGAGAATTAAACAGTGGTCAAATCAAGGGGATAGAATTGGAGCTTGGAGGAGCTGTAAACAGGCTTTGCAGTGACCCCAGCCTTTAAATGACAGGCGTGTGCCTTTTCTATCCCTGCCCCAAGATGCTGACCCGCTGGTCACAGGGGCCCCCGGTGCACCCATGGACTTGCAGTGCCACGACGCCAACCGGGACTACGTCATCGTGACCTGGAAGCCGCCCAACACCACCACTGAGAGCCCCGTCATGGGCTATTTTGTGGACCGGTGAGCGTCTTGCATTCTCCCGGGGATGGGAACGTTCCGCATGGAATCTTACCATGGACAATATATTGAGAAATCTTTCTCAACGCAGGTTGACGTTCCCATTTTTTGATTGGCTCTAGGTACATGGCTAATTGGTTGTATAAGTTCCTATTTAGGTAATTGGTAAATACGGCCAAGTAGGCTGAGCCCAGCATAACCACACTGGGTTTCTTTTTGTTGAAAGTGGAGGCTCGTTTGCCTGTTGCACACCCAGTAACCAATCCCACCAACGTCTTCAGGCTCACTCTGAGCCCCGCGCTGTGGTTCTGCTGAGGTCCGGGCTGTGCCCCGTACCGGACAGGGCCCTGGCTTTAGCAGAATTAAAGCTTGGAACTGTCCTTCCCTCCTGAGAGACAAAGTGCTGCGAAGAATGCCAGCTCATTTCTAACAAAGTTCTTTCCTTTTCTCTACTGAGGAATAAGGTGTTCTTCTTGTTTCCAAGTGAAAAATCTTGAGCTTCGAAATACTGGAGTTTGTGTTTGAGTTGATAACTTACATTTAGGTCATCGTTGGAGCCAGTGGAGTTTGAATTCTTTGACTTCCCGTACTGGGGACAGCGCTTGGAGCCTGGGAAGTGTACTGCACAGAGCCAGTGGGTTTACTGGATATGTAATTTATGCCCTAAATACAAATTCCAGTTCTTGGAGTAAATTATAGTTGAAGAAAATGAATTTAGAAATTAGACAGAGAGTATAAGAGGATGGTTCTGGCTGGGCACGGTGGCTCACGCCTGTAATCCCAGCACTTTGGGAGGCCAACGCGGGCGGATTACAAGTTCAGGAGATCAAGAGCATGCTGGCCAGCATGGTGAAACCCTGTCTCTACTAAAAATACAAAAATTAGCTGGGTGTGCTGGCATGTGCTTATAATCCCAGCTTCTTGGGAGGCTGAGGCAGGAGCATCTCTTGAACCAGGGAGGCGGTGGTTGCAGTGAGCCAAGATTGCGCCACTGGACTCCAGCCTGGCAACACAGTGAGACTCCACCATCAAAAAAAAACAAAACAAAACAAAAAACAAAAAAACAAAACAAAAAAACCACAAAGGATGGTTCCTGGTAGAAATGCAAAATTTTATATGTATATTAAACAGAAAAATAAGGTGATTATCTTAGGAAAAAATGAGGGAATTGGCTTTTGTTTGTTTGTTTGTTTATGCTGATTAAATTCTCTTTTCTCTTCCAACAAAACTACTTGTTTGGCTGAGACCTGTGCCATCAAACTAATATTTTGATATGCTAGAGACAGTTCTGCAGGGAGTGCTGTTCCGGGCTTACCTTGAATTAAGCAACTACAGCAAGAAAAACAAACCCTCAAAACGATCTTCTTTTCTCCTGGGACAGCTGATAAGTTTTCCCGCCATGTTGACAAAAACCATTTCCTGCACTGTCTCAGCTAACAATCCACGCTCCTCCCCTCATTACAAAAAGCGCAAACATGAAATTCAAAGCAACGGAACACTTTGGGAATGAGGGTGCATTTGGAAGTGGGGGGTGCAGCTCCTCCTCTGCCCTTCCTTTGGGCTTACGACTTGCCAGCTGTTGCCTGAAGTTGCAGGTTTTCCCATCAGACTTTTGGTTTTGACCTGTTGTTCTCTTCGGCTAAAACAGCCCATGACATGTGGATCAGACAGCTTTCATTAAAAGTGCTGGATACTTAGGAGGAGAGCTGGTTCTTTCCCAGATGAAGGCACCACTCTGGGGTTGAAGTGCTCCCTCCCAACACTGATTTTCTGAACTAGCTCTTTTCTCCTGGGAATTTCATGTGAAGGTTTTTTTCTTACATTTTTCAACCTGTGAAAAACAGAGGTTAATCTTTCCTATATTTCCAGGTTTCTGGTCAGGAATTAATATTTTCAAAAGACTTCTAAATTCCACATGAGAGGCATTCTAGAAAGAAATGTCCTAACATTATTCTAGGAGACTGTAAGCCAGCTTTCCCAGGGACCTGGGCCCTTGGTCTCACAGAGTGGGACGGGAGCTGGAGGCAGAGGGGGCTGAGCCTGTTTCCCCAGCCTGGGCCTCAGACGGGCCAAGCCGCAGCTTAGGGGTGCCGTGACTATGTCACGTAAGTCGGAACAAGAACTGTTCAGGATGCGTCTAAAATAATTTTTTGAGGAGATTTTTGCCTAAATGTGTTTGATGACAGAAATTGATCTTCAGCTATAAATTATTAAGATTCATGGGCATATATTACATATATAATAGATATTACATATAATATATATATTGCATTTTCTAAATAGCTCTGTCTTCTAATGTTTATCTATACAAGTCAATATCTTAGCAGCAAAGATTTTACTGGCGTGAGATATTGTCCTGTTATAATCAGTGTGTGCATATATGCATATACCTATGTATATTTAGTAGGTTGCCACATTTGCTATTCTCTGTTGTTTTTCTTTTTTTAACTTGAAGATGTGAAGTAGGAACGAATAATTGGGTGCAGTGCAATGATGCACCGGTGAAAATCTGCAAATACCCGGTCACAGGGCTTTTTGAAGGAAGGTCTTACATATTCCGAGTGAGGGCAGTGAACAGTGCGGGCATCAGCCGACCCTCCAGGGTCTCTGATGCGGTGGCTGCACTTGACCCCTTGGACCTCAGAAGGTTACAAGGTAAGCTGCTCACGCCTAAGTATCCACTGTGCCCAGGAAGCTTTGGCTGTTTTGTGTGTGATTTGTTGTCTCTTTCCCTCCCAACTCGATGTGAGCCCTGAGAATGCCCTGTGTGCAGAGCATAGCACAGGCTGTTACAACGTTCTCTGACATCTCCACCAACATCACTACAGGAATGAAAACGGGCTGACGTACACTCTAAAATGAATGTGCCTCTCCTCCAGAAAGCTCTTTGCTGGCATCCAGTTAAATTGGCTCAGAATTAGACCTTTTTTTTATTCCATTGGTGATATAATTTCAACACATAATGACACTTAGAAGGCCATCCTATTCTGAGTTTTAATTTTGCATGACACAGATTCCTTAATGGGACTGGGCCCTTCGTTATGGTTGTAAGCGAGCCACTATATTTTCCTTACGCACATGGTCCTTTGCATCCACCACCAAGAGCTGAGAAGTGCTAACTGTTACCAGGACACTTCCAGAATCAGCTCTGATGCCCCCAGAGGACTCACAGGTTGTAGTCCTAATGCAGAGGAGATGCAGAGCTGGCACAGAATGAGGGAAAACGGGCTTTTGGGGAAAACTTCGCATGTCAAATCGAGTGTCAACCTTTCTCTCCGCAGCCGTTCATTTGGAGGGAGAGAAGGAGATTGCCATTTATCAGGATGACCTTGAAGGTAAGTAGCACCTCATCACCCCAGCTGCTCAGCCCCTGGGGATTTGGAGTTGTAATTAGAGATGGGAGAGATGGACAGAGAACGCCCCCTACTGGGCACGGCCTCTGCATGGAAAAATGAAAACCGCAGGTCAGGCCTGCAAGCCCAGTGTCCATAGAAGTTAAAAAAAAGAAAAAATCAAGCAAGACAGAGTGAGAGGGTGGGAGAAAGGGTGAAGGATTGGTGACTCTTAGACTCACCTTTCATTTGGGGTTTACAAAGGCGTTCTTTCAGGGACTTGTAGAGAAGAAACCAAACTAAAGCTCAGACTTGGTTCCTGGGTGATGTAAGATCCTTTCTCACAGATTGCATTGTGAAATCGATTTCATTTTACATTTTCTAAGCAAAAATTTTATTCCTGACATTTTAACTGAAACGGATTGAGTCTTTCCTGCCAAATGATGTTCTTGGTCCTTATGTATATTTGATTTTGTGGATATTTCTTCTTCCTGATATTCCTTTTAGAGACCTTTAGAAAGAATGACGTGTTAAGGAGAATCCAACATTATTAACTAGAAATCAAAAGGTTTTAACTGGACTTAGAGTTCATAGAGTGCCATGGGTGAAAACATAAAAAGAAAGATTTCAAATCAGTGTGGAGCCACTGGCTAGAGAGAGGTGATTTTGAGCTGCTCGCTAAAATCACAGCCGTGTTCTCTCTCCTAGAGCTGCAGACTCAAAAGCGTTTTCTGGATTGGTTTTCTACATCTGAAGCAGATGGATCCCCAACTAGTATCCACACATTGCATGTTCTGCCACATGAAGATTTTTCTCTAGGATCTCAAAACAAACGTATGTCCCAATGTTTCCCATGAGGGACATAAACTCCCAAAAGAAGAGCGTTGAGAGTTCTGGTCAAGCCAAGGGAACCTTTAAGCCTTAGTCAAATCCTCTGGCTGCAGAAGGACCTAGAACTCAGGAAGGACACTCAATACATAAGGAATGAAAGTGAGGGATTTGAGGAGGACAACTTCTTGCAGTCTCCTGGGCATCTGGCTTTTTGAGTCAGCCTGGTATTCTGTCTCATGCATGATAAACCCTCCCCATTTTTCGGATGATTAAAACATGGATATTTGAATGACTGAAAAATGGCTCCAAATACTGTTAGAAAAGAAGGCCTGCTTGAGGCCGACGAGCCCGTGTAGAATGAGGTTGGTTCTGGCCTCCGGGAGGAACAGGCAGCCCAGCCCGTGTAGAATGAGGTTTGGTTCTGATCTGCGGGAGGAACAGGCAGCCCAGCCCGTGCAGAATGAGGTTGGTTCTGGCCTGCGGGAGGAACAGGCAGCCCAGCCCGTGCAGAATGAGGTTTGGTTCTGGCCTGCGGGAGGAACAGGCAGCCCAGCCCTTGCAGAATGTGGTTTGGTTCTGGCCTGCGGGAGGAACAGGCAGCCCAGCCCGTGCAGAATGAGGTTTGGTTCTGGCCTGCGGGAGGAACAGGCAGCCCAGCCCGTGCAGAATGAGGTTTGGTTCTGATCTGCGGGAGGAACAGGCAGCCCAGCCCGTGTAGAATGAGGTTGGTTCTGGCCTGCGGGAGGAACAGGCAGCCCAGCCCGTGTAGAATGAGGTTTGGTTCTGGCCTGCGGGAGGAACAGGCAGCCCAGCCCGTGTAGAATGAGGTGGGTTCTGGCCTGCGGGAGGAACAGGCAGCCCAGCCCGTGTAGAATGAGGTTTGGTTCTGGCCTGCGGGAGGAACAGGCAGCCCAGCCCGTGCAGAATGAGATTTGATTCTGGCCTGCGGGAGGAACAGGCAGCCCAGCCCGTGTAGAATGAGGTTTGGTTCTGGCCTGCGGGAGGAACAGGCAGCCCAGCCCGTGCAGAATGAGGTTTGGTTCTGCCACGTGGGAAGAACAGGCAGTCCCCCTTCTCACTCCTCACGAGCAGACAGATCAGGGAGGAGGTGGGCAGCCCGGATCACGCTGAGTGGATGTGTAGGAATCCAGCCTGGCAAAAATGACCCACGGTGAGAAGGTGTAACTTGCTTTATAAATGTCACTTATCTGTGATGAAATTTGCCTTCTGTAAAGGCCATTGAGAAGAGCACTGGGGAAGGGAAATCATGTAATGGAATGAACCTTCCCCAGGGCAGAAGCCCTGCCTTTTTGGAGAGAGTCTATCTTTCTAGTGAGACATGATTGTGGTGGGGTACACGAAGCCCGCTGTTCATGAGGTGTCAAATGAAGAAAGAGCGCGTGTCCTGAGGCTTGGTTTGCCAGTTGATAAAGTGGAAGTTTGGCATCCAGACACTGTAGCTCTCATTTCCCGTTGGAGTAAAGACACAGATGCTCTTTTCCATGGTCTCGTGTTTTCCTTGCTTTCAGCAAGGCAGGTTTCTGGCTGACTGGGCCTGTGTCCTCCTCCGTTGGAGGCGGTTGTGAATGTGGCAGGATTTATTCATCCTCAGGGGACTTTTCCAAGTCTGTGTTTATGCGGTGGGTTATGGGAGGCTGAGGGTGAGACTTAGATGGAAAATTGCTTGACGAGACGTGGACACTGCCTGAGGCTCAGCCTCCCCGGCTTCAGTTCTCTGACGTGACGCTTTGTGTGCATTGAACAGGCAATTTCCATGGTCAGAAACAAACTGGGTATGAAATTGAAATTCTGCTGTGTTGATATGGGGTTTTGGAAAGTTTATCTGTTCACCTCAGCCATTTTAAACAAGGAATATGTCCTCTAACTTAAAAAAATCTTTAGCCAAAGAAAGAGATCTATAATGTTTCGAAGCGAACCATTTCGGGATTCAAGAATTTGCTATTAGGAAGTTCCCTTTTCTACCTGTGTCTTTTTTCTTCAGCTGATTTTTTTTCTTTTACCATTGCTTTAGCTAGAAAATACTTGGTAAATGCCCCTTGTTTTAATGAAACAGAAACTCATTACTGTTGCTGGCTAAAAATGGCTCCTCTGCTATTTTTGACTTTTTGCCGAGTTTTTCTCACCATTTTAATCTTGGGCAATGTCTTCCTTCACACATTTGAATGGCTATCCATGCGCTTGCCTTACCATCAACCCAACTTGCCCAGTATTTGTTGAATTGCTCCGTTGAAAAATGGACACTGTATTTTTGGAAAGGCCAGAATAGACCCTCACAGAATATAATAAGAGCGTTTTTACTCTACTGTTCTACTGTGTTATTCTCTCCTAATTATGTATGCAAGCATTGGCTGTGCTTTCCTGGGCCGGGGCATTTGCAGCCCACTTGCTCAGTCATTTGCTCTGTGCTCTGCAGGACCCTTCAATTCTGTCAAACCTAAAATAAACTCGGTGTTTCATTTACTTAGAGAAAAATCTCCTGGGGAGGTTGTAGTTTCCTTAGGTGGATGAGGGAACAAAATACAGAAGTTGGAACCAGAAGACCTAAGCCTCGACCCCAGTTCAGCCACCCAGTAGCTGTGCGATCTTAGGAAAGTGGTATGTTTTTATGAGATCAATTTCTGGATTTTTAAGTGGAGGAAACCAATAGTATCTTCCTCCACACATGAACAGAACCCAAAATAAGATATTGAATGTGAAAGCATTTTAAAACAATCATATATATTATATATTAATAATGCATATAACATATAATAATACAAAAAGCATGTGTGTTTATATATCTCTCACTGGTTCATTTAGTATTGACTTGGCCCAATACTCAATTGGGTGAGGGCAGCGTCAGTGCCCTGGGGGTAGAACCGTTGGCCAGTGTCTAGCCTTTGCTTAGCAGTGTCTCATGTGTGTTTAGCAGTGTCTCACGTGTGCTTAGCGGTATCTTATGTGTACTTAGTGGCATCTAGCATGTGCTTAGCGGCATCTCACATGTGCCTAGCGGTATCTTATGTGTGCTTAGTGGCATCTAGCATGTGCTTAGCGGCATCTCGCATGTGCCTAGCGGCATCTCGCATATGTCTAATGGCATCTCATGTGTGACTAGCAGCATCTCACGTGTGCTTAGCGGCATCTTGCGTGTGCTTAGCGGTGTCTCTCGTGTGCTTAGCAGTATCTTACATGTGCCTAGTGGTGTCTCATGTGTGCTTAACGTTCATTTGTTTTCCCTCGGCTCCCCTCTCAGGGCAGGGTCATCACTCATGCCCACCCCTGTGCTTCCCTCTCCCTGGCTCGAGGGACCCTTTTGAACCCTTTTCTCCTCTCTCCATGGTTGGAGAATCTGCAAATCCGCAAGGCTTGTGTGATCACATTGCCCAGGCTGATGAAGATGTGAAGAATAAGTCAGATGTCTTGCCCCAGCCGGGGATCCCCTGCTGACAAAGCTGTGTTCTTCCTTCTCACCTTGTCATCAAAGGAACTGTCTCTCACTCCACTTTCTCGGGGCCTTTTGCTACATGCAGGGGCAAAGGCAGCAAGACAGTTCCGAAAGTGTGAACGAGATGCTGCTGTCAGCGGCTCACACCTGCTTGCTGCTTCTGTTCATTGCCTTGTTCCTTCTGTCCCCTTGGTTTGCTTCCCTCATCAGCACCTCTGAAATAAACCAGGATTCAGTTTTGGAATTTCGGCAAGTGTTACAGAAAGATGAGTTTTCTGCATCTTCTCTCTGGAATGCTTTTTTCTGTGGGTATCTAGGTGTGGACACGGTGCACGGGTGGAGAGCAGGCCTGTGGGGTGTCCCCCGCCCCAGTTACCCTCTGCATTTTCCGGAGACACACTGACTCCTTGTGTGAAATTCAGCACCTTACCAGAATGAGCCCAGCTCAGCCTGCGTTGCCTCTGACCTGTAATGCGCTGTGCAACAGGGCTCAGGAAACGAAACCCAGTCTTGCTTTGTACTATTTCCATGTTCAGTTCCTGGCCTGCTACAGAGTCCTGAGGGAGCAACTGGGTTTTGAGAATGGCTCAGAGATGTCCCGGGGAGGTTTCAGACCGTTTTAATCATGTGCTAATCTAATTGAAGGTTCATAATATTTTTTATCACAATTTCAAGAACTGTGGGTCTGGAAAAACCTCCACCTCCACTCCTTATGAAAATCTCCTATAAATTCAAACAGAAATCCCCACACCTCATAGTATATTTAAAAAAGATGTATGTCAGAAGAGAGGCATATGGAGCATCTCTGACTGCAAATATTCTAGCATAAGTTATTTGCAAAAGGCTTATCAACATCACTCCAGAATTCAAACATGCAGACATAGAATACAGTGCCTGTGAATATGGTACTGAGCTTTTGAGGGAGGAGCAGGCAAGGTGTTTTAGAAGTAGATGTGTCATTTAAGTGCTCTGAGGGCACATGGTATAAAGAAAGAACCCAGAGGGGATCCTTAGAGGTGGGGCCGCCTCCATCCGCGGTGCTTCTGTATTTCAGAAGACAGACTGTGAATATGTTCTCTGCACAGATTCCCAACACAGTCAGAGCCCCATTTCGGGTGCAATGCCTGGTTTCTTCTGGTAAATCCTTCCCCCTCTTCCAACAGAATCTCTGGAAGACTTTCGGGTGAGATTCCTTTCCTATGAACAGGCTTATATCTGTATTGGAAGCAAAACTAACTGGCTGATCTTTATTGGTGCCTTATCCTCTGGTTCCAAGGAAGCATCTTTGGGGTTTGTTTGACTTCCCCAAATAGAAACAAAACAAGTTCAACACCCACGTGGCAGAGTCCTCCAGTGCCCCGAGGTGGGCTGCAGCGAGGCTGATGGGGGTCCTTCAGCACTCACCGAATTTATTATTCCTCCAGGTGACGCCCAGGTTCCAGGGCCTCCCACCGGTGTGCACGCTTCCGAGATCAGCAGAAACTATGTCGTCCTCAGCTGGGAGCCACCCACTCCCCGTGGCAAGGACCCGCTCATGTACTTCATTGAGAAGGTAAACTCCGGGCCCGTGTCCTGGAAAAGTAGATCTCTGCATGGCCCCCCACTGTCATGATCTCTGTGTGGCCCACCGCTGTCGTGATCTCCGCGTGGCCCCTCACTGTCGTGATCTCTGCGTGGCCCCCCACTGTTGTGATCTCTGCGTGGCCCCCTACTGTCATGATCTCCACGTGGCCACACACTGTCATGATCTCTGGCCCCCCACTGTTGTGATCTCTGCGTGGCCCCCCACAGTCGTGATCTCTGCGTGGCCTCCCACTGTTGTGATCTTTGCGTGGCCCCACTGTCATGATCTCTGGCACCCCACTGTCGTGATCTCCGCGTGGCCCCCCACAGTCGTGATCTCTGCGTGGCCTCCCACTGTTGTGATCTCTGCGTGGCCCCACTGTCGTGATCTCTGCGTGGCCTCCCACTGTTGTGATCTTTGCGTGGCCCCACTGTCATGATCTCTGGCACCCCACTGTCGTGATCTCTGCGTGGCCCCCCACAGTCGTGATCTCTGCGTGGCCTCCCACTGTTGTGATCTCTGCGTGGCCCCACTGTCGTGATCTCTGCGTGGCCTCCCACTGTTGTGATCTTTGCGTGGCCCCACTGTCATGATCTCTGGCACCCCACTGTCGTGATCTCTGCGTGGCCCCCCACTGTCGTGATCTCTGCGTGGCCTCCCACTGTTGTGATCTCTGCGTGGCCCCCTACTGTCGTGATCTCCACGTGGCCACACACTGTCATGATCTCTGTGTGGCCCCCCACTGTCGTGATCTCTGCGTGGCCCCACACTGTCGTGTTTGCTGTGTTTTAAAGATGACCTACTAGTTCATCAGTGGGTCCAGACCCTGCACCGTTGCTGGGGAAAATGAGGTTAGGGCTGTGGTCACACGGCAGCAGGGGCGGAAATTGGCACCAGGGGGCTGGGTTGCGTCCTAGCTGGGCGTTGCCCCTCGGTGTGAGCAGGGAGTCGCTTCCCTCTCTGGGCGCCCGCGTTCTTCACTGCCGTGTGGAGGACTGAGCTTGAGGGTTCTAGCGTCTCCTTCCTGCTGCAACATTCCAGGCGCCTACATGCTGGGGATTCCAGATTCCTCGATGGCCATGCTTGTGCACAAGCCGTATGGCCACTGGGTGGCAATCGTGTAGAGGAAATGCACACAAGACGCAGAAGGGTTAGACTCGCCAGATATCCAATAGAAAGCTTTTTTTTTTTCCTGAATGCATACAAAGAAATACAAAAGACATTGTATATTGCAGTTCTGCAATCACGTATATGTATGTAACCTACAGAATTTCACAAATGATAATCTCACCCAGCACACATTCTCTTTTTACCCTGTCCGGTGACATTAAAGGCACAGGTTGTGACCCACTAATCTGACTTGGTGACGACCCCCTGTTGGGTTGTAGGCCATAGTTGGATAAGACTCCAATGTCCTACAAAGGCTGTAACTAGGGTTTTGCGATACAAAATTTATATGTAATATGTAATACAATATGTAGTATGCAAGTAACAGAGAATATAACATATAGAAGCTTATGCCACCTAATACAATAATCGCATCTAGCACCACTCAATGCAGCATGGCGGAAACAGGAATGGAAACGAACCATATTTCAGACTCCAGCATGGAGGAGGACCCTCTGGCCTTCTCTGGTTATTTGCAATGTATGCTATCTGGGGGGTAGAAACTAGAAATATTTCAGGGTAAAGCATTACATCATTAATTCTGGGTGACAAAATATAGTTATTTGTGTTACGAAAATACAAGTGGTCAGTCCCTCTGTGGGGTCTCCTAGGGTGGAAGGTATTTTCTCAGGCCCCTCATTCCCCTCATCTTCCACCAATACCAGAAACACCAAGTTTGCAAACACTTTTTTGTTTTTATTTTTGAGACCAGGTCTCATTTTGTCACTCAGGCTAGAGTGCAGTGGCACAGTCATGGCTCACTGCAGTCTCCACCTCCTGGGCTCCAGCAGTCCTTCTGCCCCAGGCCCCTAACACCCAGAGTAGCTGGGACCACAGGTGTGTGCCACCACGCCCAGCTGATTTTTAAATTTTTTTTATAGAGACGAGGTCTCGCCATGTTGCCCAGGCTGGTCTCAAATTCCTGGCACAAGCAATCTTCCTGCCTCAGCCTCCCAAAGTGCTGGGATTACAGACACTTTAGTGTGTTTACAGGCCAGGCAAGCCACAACACCTGTCCTGCAAACACATTTTTAGAGAGAGGACTCCACCGTGGAGCCAGTGTGTGGGCAGAACTACCTGCTGTCAGTATTGATGACATGGCAGGCACACTTTTTTTTTTGTAATTTTTATTATTTTATTTTTCCATTAGTTATTGGGTACAGGGGGTATTTGGTTACATGAGTAAGCTCTTCAGCGGTGATTTGAGAGATTTTGGTGCATCCATCACCCAAGCAGTATACGCTGCACCATATTTGTTGTCTTTTATCCCTCGCCTCCCTCCCACTCTTTCCCCCAAGTCCCCAGAGTCTATTGTGTCATTCTTATGCCTTTGCAGCAAACACACATTTTTAAGAAAATATAATTTCAACTTTTATTTTAGCTTCAGGGGGTACCTGTGCAAGTTCTGACAGGGGTATGTTGTGTGATACTGATTTCGAGGTGCAGTTGATCTCGTCACCCAGGTAGTGAGCACAGCACCCCATAGGTGGTTTTTCAGCCCTTGCTCTGTCTGGTAGGCCTCAGTGTCTATCGTTGCCATCTTCGTGTGCGTGTGTACCCAGTGTTTAGCTCCCACTTATAAGTGAGAACATGCAGTATTTGGTTTTCTGTTCCTGTGTCAATTCACTTAGGATAACAGCCTCCAGCTGCACCCATGTGGCTGCACAGGACATGATTTCTTTCCTCTTTATGGCTGTGTAGTATTCCATGGTGTGGGGGCACCACATTTTCTCTCTGCGGTCCACCATTGCAGGGTTGAGTCCATGTCTTTACTCTTGAGAACAGTGCTGTGATGGTAATACAAGTGCATGCATCTTCTGGTAGAATGGTTTATTTTCCTTTGGGCATATACCCAGTAATGGGATTGCTGGATGGAATGGTAGTTCTGCTTTAAGTTCTTTGAGAAGTCTCTAAACTGCTTTCCACAGTGACTGAGCTAATGACATTCCCCCAGCAGTGGATAAGCCTTCCCTTTGTGGACCCATATTCTGATGTAGGAGAGGAAGCTCTCCTATAGACACCTGGACTGCGGTCGCTTGGGGTCGCAAGGACCTCAGGCCCATGACGCCCTGGGGGCTCCCACCACAAACGCCCGGGGCAGATACAAAATAGCGGCTTTTCACTTTCACCAAAATGAGAGAAAACTCCTTCAAATATGAGTCTGATTTCTAGAAGTCTGGGTTGCTATCTGAAATTTTCAGCAGGCTTACCAGGGTCAGTGTATATCCAACTTTTACTACCACAAAACTACTTTCGAAAAAGGCGTTTTATCTCTATGTGAAAAAATAAAATAAAACATGTAATCAAGGTTTTTTTTTTTTTTTTTGAGACGGAGTCTCGCTCTGTCGCCAAGGTTTTTAAAGTAATTACAAAAGATAAAAATTAAACAAGCAGTATATAAAATTTGGGAAAGACAGAGAAGTTACATGGAATGCAATTAAAATGAGCAATAATTCCACCATATAAAATAGCCACATTAACGTGTGGTACATATATTTATAGTCTTTTTCTCCATAGACTTTAATGCTCTTGTTGTATCATACAATTTGCATTCTGTATTAGATTTCACAAAATAACATCATTCCTCTTATTAGACTAAAGATCTTTATACAATAATTTAAATGGCCATGAGGTTTTTAATCTATGAACATATCATCATGTGTCTGACCGTATTGACAGCCATTTAGATTGCTGTCATTTAATCACTACTGCAAGTAGCTGCAATATGGTAATAACTTTAAATTGAAATGCGAACCACTGAGTTATGACAGAATTTTATGAATATACTTCTAAATTATCTTTCGTTATTTGCAGGTTAGTTCTATTTTGCTAAAACTACTACCTATGTATTGATTCCCTTATGTTTTCTATGGTTTAATTATTTACTTTAATGGAAAAAAATTTATTAGTAAACATGATCAACTTTGGGTATTTGTGACTTCCTTCTCCAAATTGGCATCATGTTTCATAAAACTCAAAAAAGATGCATGACCATCCTTTGTGTGCGAGACGCAGCGGGCGCGCCTGGTGGTCCTGGGATAGCGACAACAGAGCATTTCTTCCTCCTCCACACGCCTCTGGGGACCTCGCGGTTTTCACTGCCAGTCTCGTTTCTGTTTCTCTTTGTAGTCGGTGGTGGGGAGCGGCAGCTGGCAGAGAGTCAACGCCCAGACGGCTGTGAGATCCCCGAGATATGCCGTGTTTGACCTCATGGAAGGGAAGTCTTATGTGTTCCGAGTGCTGTCAGCAAACCGGCATGGCCTGAGCGAACCTTCGGAGATAACGTCCCCCATTCAGGCCCAGGATGTGACCGGTGAGCTGTCACACTGGGTGGCCCCAAGTCAGGATGGGCTAAGAGTGGGGTGACACCAAATAGCCTTAAATTGTGTGAATAAAGACATTAATGTTATAAACGAGTTGAAGTTCAAGTGGACTTAAAACTTCACTTTACGAGAGATTAAGAGCTCTCTGCCATGTTTTGTTTGGTTCTTGACATTTCTCCAAAGCTCCATCTTCTTTTCATGAAACCAGTAAGTGAGTTGAAAAATA
Source organism: Homo sapiens (assembly GCF_000001405.40). Lineage (NCBI taxonomy): Eukaryota > Metazoa > Chordata > Mammalia > Primates > Hominidae > Homo > Homo sapiens. The sequence continues at coordinate 273,461 of NT_187576.1, forward strand.
TGTTTAGGAAACGGTCACTTTTATTGTTTTATTTAAACTTTTAAAAAAACTTTTATTTTAGGTTCAGGGGTCCATGTGTAGGCTTCTGACATAGGTAAACTTGTGTCATGGGGGTTTGTTGTAAAGATTATTTCGTCACCCAGGTACCAAGCCTAGTAGCCATTAGTGACTTTGCCTGCTCCTCTCCCTCCTCCCACCCTAGACCCTCTGATAGTCCCCCGTGTGTATTTCCATCTATGTGTCCATGTGTTCTCATCATTTAGCTCCCACTTATGAGTGAGAACATTTGGTATTTGGTTTTCTGTTCCTGCATTAGTTTGCTAAGGATAATGGCCTCCAGCTTCACTCATATTCCTGCAAAGGACGTGGTCTTGTTCTTTTTTATGGCTGCATAGTATTCCATGGTATATATGTACTGCATTTTCTCTATCCAATGTCATTGACAGGCATTTGGGTTGATTCCATGTCTTGGCTATTGTGTGAATAGTGCTGCAATGAACATTCGCATCCATATGTCTTTATGGTAGAATGATTTATATTCCTCTGGGTATATATGCAGTACTGGGATTGCTAGGTTGAATGATAGTTCTTTTTTTTTTTTTTTTTTTTTTTTGGCTCTTTGAGGAATCATGACACTACTTTCCACAATAGTTGAACTAATTTACATTCCCACCAACAGTGTTTAAGTGTTCCCTTTTCTCTGCAATGGTCACTTTTAAAGTAATTCAAATTTTAAGTGCACTAGACTTTTTTGTTGTTGTCTTTTTTTAATTAATGCTTTTTAAAAAAAATTTTTGTTTTGTAGAGATAGAGTTTCACCATATTGCCCAGGCCAGTCTCGAACTCCTGAACTCAAGGGATCCTCCCACCTTGGCCTCTCAAAATGTTGGGATTCCAGGTGTGAGCCAGGGTGCCCAGCCAGGCACTAGAGTTTCTTGCCCATCTGGCTTGAAGGTCCCTCTTGGAAGGTTTCAAATACAAATTACAGAAATTTTGAATTGCAATCCCTGGAGTCATAACTCCTTCATGGATGGCAGTTAACTAGCATGTAAGCGGAGGCACCCTGGAAATCCCCAGAAGCCTTCACGGGAGGCACATTGGTGTCAGGAACGCGGTTCTGAGTGCCTGGGTGCCCTCCACCCTCTCTCTGTCGTGTTTCCTGAGAAAGCCAGATACGGAAATGAACGAGGTCACGAGGCCGGCTGCCTCCAGGGCATCCTCAAGTTTCTATCTGGCTCTGGTTTTAACTGAAGCTCTTAGAACTCATACCCAGAACCACAGGCTTGACAAGACCAGCTGTCTTTGAGCAAGGCCCTGCCTTCTTGTGCTTTATGACACATATGAGAAATGACAGTGTCCATCACTGAGACACACTGTGGGGTGTGTGGCCCAGGTGGCCGGCACAGAGGACACAGGTGGCCCCAAGGCCTTACCTGACCTCAGTCCGCAGTCCACTAGTGGGGCCTGGCACCACATGACAGGATCTGATGGTTAGGTCATGATGGAATTTTGAGTGCCCCTGGGAGATTTCAACAGATCTGATAAAATTGAGTCTTACTTTCTTAAAATTGGTTAATTTCCAGTCCAAAAAATAGTTGTTACCCGGGTAGCCTCATCCCTGCTGCCAACAGAGAGTCTTTTAAACAGCTCTGATGGGTAGACAGGAGGATTCAGGATGGATGTCATCCTGTGTCTCTAGGAGTTGTGTGGAGCTTGGGAAGAGATCAGAGAGACCAGCACCTCCCAATGGCCCTCGGGTGGTCGGCCCGGGGCTCCTCTCCTACTCCTGGACCCCTTGTCTGAATTTCTTCCAAAGCCCCCAGTCTGGCTGTCCAGTTCCCTGTGAAAAGGGCCGGAAGATCTCTGCTGTAGCTTCCAAAGCTCTGATGCCATTTCACCACTCCTTTTGTCTCCTACGAAAAGTTGTCCCTTCTGCTCCGGGTCGGGTTCTTGCTTCCCGAAACACCAAGACGTCGGTGGTGGTGCAGTGGGACCGACCTAAGCATGAGGAGGACCTGCTGGGCTACTACGTGGACTGCTGTGTGGCCGGAACCAACCTCTGGGAGCCCTGCAACCACAAGCCCATTGGATACAACAGGTGCGGCCTCCCTCCCCAGCCCTGGAGTCAGCCTTGCAGGAGTAGCAAGACCGTTGAGGTCCCTGTGGCCCTGGCACAGGGAGTACCATGGCCGCAAGGCTTCTGCGTAAATGAGTCTGTCTTAGCCACACACAAGGGCTGTATAATTTTAAAGTTTGACCACTTGGATGAGCTAGTTACTGCACTTGCTCATGTCGACCGAAACGATTTATTTATGGATGAAAGGAGAGTTCCAGAACCTGTTTTTTTTCCCCTGACATAATTAGCACTTAGGCCTTTTCTTTGAATAGCAGAGTTAAAAATAGTGACTACGATGTGAAAGTCGTTTTATTTTTTTCGTATTGATTTTTTTGAACTTGAAAGTTGCTTTGTTCATGTGCCTGGTAGTTCTATTCCCCAGCACCTGATGGAGACCCCACCGGGCGCCGACTCTTCGCTTGTGGTGGGGGCAGCCTCGGGGGATGCTGGTTGCTTTGCAGGAGAAAGCCAGTGACCCTGCCTTTGGAGAGACTTGCTCCTGCTGCCTGCTGAGTGTGCAGGGATGTCTGAGGTTATTAGGCTTCTCTGCGATACGCGTCTTAGGAAAATGTCAGCAGCTGTCAGAACCACCCTTGTGGATAGATGATCAATTATGGCTCAGCCATTTCTCCTTTTAAAATCTGAAAAAAATACACTGTAAAAAGTGGTGGCTAACAAGAAGAGATGTCATTGAAAAGAATAACAATTAGATGTTCTTCACAGCCCACAGCAAATGCAGAAAGATCGATCAGAATAAGAAACTTAAAACATGATTCCAGTACAGGGAAATGGTTAGTGAATATTTATTGACTATATATGATAAATAATAATTGCTTACACGGACTGAATATCTATCATACACAAAGCATCTGTGCTAAGTTGTCCACCTAGAGTTTTCCATGTAGTGCCTGCAATAGTGCTGTGGGGTGGGAATTATCATCCCCATCTTACAAATAGAAAAACAAAGTCTTACAGGGGTTAAGGAGGTTGATTAAGACCATAAAATCTGTGAGGTTTCAAAGTCCCAGTATTCGAGCCTAGTCCATCTGACTTCCAAGTCTTGGCCTGTAACCACTGCAGTGTAATTACTGCTAATTAAGTTTTACATACACGGGTTCTTTTAGATAAGAAATGGCATACTGTTGGATAATAGACCTCTGATCCAGAGGAGGCCCAGAAAGTACAAAAGCAAAGGTGAACTCACAGAACAAGTGGCTTTGGCACCACGTGTAGTCAGCTCCTGCTATAATTAGGTGCTGTGACCTTACTGTCGGACTCTACATGTTGAGCTAATTAACTAGAATTGAAAATGAAGGATGTATGTTATCCATAAAAATTTTTTATGGCGCGTTCAGGGTGATTTTTGCTTCTGCTGCAGGAGAGAAAAAGTGGAGCCTGGCAGTTCTGACCCTGATCCCTGTGTTTCTCAGGTTCGTGGTGCACGGCTTAACCACGGGAGAGCAGTACATCTTCCGAGTCAAGGCGGTCAATGCTGTGGGGATGAGTGAAAATTCCCAGGAATCAGACGTCATAAAAGTGCAGGCCGCACTCAGTAAGTCACTCACAGGCTGTTGTGTGCCGATTGCTCCCATACACTGTCATTTCTGCATGAATAAACATTTGTGATGCCATTTGGAATGTCATTGAAGGGGAAAAGGGGACTAAATTCCTGAACAGAGAACTTGAGTTTCTTTGAAGCCTCTTGGTTGGCTGCTTGTCTTGGAAATGACAGTGTGAGAGGGAGAAATGATAATACACTAATAAAACGCAAATTAAAAATAGAAAACATTGTTAGAGGTTACATGTGTTGCCAAATACCTGTACTCATGTTAAAATATATGCTGTAGGCTGGCGCAATGGCTCATGCCTGTAATCGCAGCACTTTTGGAGGCCAAGGTGGCTGGATCATGAGGTCAAGAGATTGAGACCATCCTGGCCAACAAGGTGAAACCCCGTCTCTACTGAAAATACAAAAATCAGCCTGGCATGGTGGCGGGCGCCTGTAGTCCCAGCTACTCGATAGGCTGAGGCAGGAGAGTCACCTAATCTGGGAGGCGGAGTTTGCAGTGAGCCAAGATCGTGCCACTGTACTCCAGCCTGGGGGGACAGAGCAAGACTCCGTCTCAAAAATATATATATGCTGTAGGGGATACATTTCTCTTTTCAAAATATGTGCTAAAATACAGCAACATCCATGACCTTTTTAGCTGTTCTCAGTTCTAGGAACTTTAGTCACTTCAGAGAATGTCATATTTATGTAACTTTGAGACTTTGTTGGTAAATAGTGGTGTTTAACAGTTTTTATTATTTTGATCAAACGAGACAATTGGGATCCTAAATCTCAGGGACCGTCCCTAGAACAGTTGCTGTATCAAGCTGTGCTGCAGCCTCGTGGCTTTCTGTTTTCTCATGAAATGCACCTCAGGAAGTCAGTGCGCATACTCAGAAACATTTTGAAACACAAATGCCACATGGGACACCCTTGGATTCACAGGGTTATCTTCCCACTTCAGAGGGAACTATGTGGCTCGTTGATGATTTTTCATCTTTGACTAAATTTGCAACATTTTCAGAAATTAAAATTTATCTTCTAATGATATTGCTGTTGGATTTCCAAGGAATGTCAAATCTGATAACATCTAGCTAGGTACAATAGCGCTGACTCTTTTGTTTTAAGATTAATCTCCTCTCAATTTTTTCCAGGAGGGACTTTCAAACATTCCCATTTTCTTTTTAATGTCATTCCTACTAAAGGAAAACCACTTTCTTTTTTTTTTTTTTTCGACGTAGAGTCTCGCTCTGTTGCTCAGGCTGGGGTGCCGTCGTGTGATCACAGCTCCCTGCAGCCTTGAGCTTTTGGGCTCAAGTGATCCTCATGCCTCAGCCTCCTGATTAGCTAGGACCACAGGCACCACCACCACGCCCAGCTAATTTTTTGATTTTTTTGTAGAGATGGGGTTTTACTATGTTGCCCAGGCTGATCTCAAACTCAGGAGCTTAAGCAATCCTCCTGCCTCGGTCTCCCAAAGTGCTGGGACTACAGGCATGAGCCACCGCACCTGGCCTGTTTTTATTCTATGATAAGAATCACTTAATTCCAGTCACCTGTGTCTCAGGTAACAGAGGATGGCCACATTGAGGTGACTCAGAGCTGGGGCAAGCAGACTCAGGCCCATCCGTTCTCGACCTGTTAGGAGAAGGCGGTCCGTTTCAAGTGCCCTGCTCAAACAGGGAAACACGGATTCACACTCATTTGAAGGAACCTGAAGTTCCTCTAACTGTGCAGGAAATTAAAACAAACTGGAATCGTATCTGTCATCTCTGGCCACAGATGCAGAATAGTTATTCCTTATGGTTGTAAAAGTGAAAGCTCCTTCGCCAAGCTTCTTTCAAGGGGCCGAGAAGACAGAACATCTTCTGCTGTGTCAAATGTTCATACCAGATTTAAACCGTTCATCCTATGGAAGCCTTAGTAGATACACTTAGAAATAGCAATACATATATATGAGATAAATTTTTATTTATTTTTGTACTCATCCCCTTTAAAAAGGTGTAAAGACCAAGGTGGTTAAGTGTGGGTTGAGAGGGATCAGAGGGCACAGTGTTCAGGCCCGTCTCCACGTTGCTTCCTCCTCCCTCTGCCACACTGGAGCTGGCTGCCCCGGGGACAAAGCCCCCAACTGAGGCCCTCGGTAACTCCCTGGTTGTGCTTCCTTGCAGCCGTCCCGTCCCATCCTTATGGGATTACGCTCCTCAACTGTGACGGCCACTCCATGACCCTCGGCTGGAAGGTCCCGAAATTCAGTGGTGGCTCGCCCATCCTGGGCTACTACCTGGACAAGCGTGAAGTTCACCATAAAAACTGGCACGAGGTCAATTCCTCACCCAGCAAACCGACAATCCTAACGGTCAGTTGGTTTTTATTCCTTCGTCTATTTTTGCCTGGGTGGTTCTTTACATTTTTGGCAATGTTTCTGCGTTTGATGACATTAGATAATTTGATACAGACGGAAAAATGGATTAAAAAATAGCATCATGAGATCATGAAGTTTTGGAGCTCAAAAGATCCTAGGAATCATATTCTTTTTCTTTCTGAGAAGCAGTGAAGAAGGGAGCTCAGTGATGGAGTGGGCCTGACAGTGAGTCCATGACCTCTGGTGTGACCAGCATCTGGTCCCAGTACCTGTGGTAATGTCCCTTGTTCTAGGCTCTGAGGCCTTGAGGGCAGGGACGGAGTCTCACGTGTGTGCCTGAGGGGAGGGTCACGCTGAGTGTCTGTTTAGGAAGAGAGTAATGTTGGCTCTCTGCTTGTCACCCACCATTTCCCTGAGACATTCTTGTATTTCAGGCCTCCCAGAGAGTCCCTTGCCTCAGTGCCCCTGGTGCTCAGGTGCAGAGTGTGGCAAGGACATCGACTTGGAGCTCAGAGATCTGGGGTCAGATCCAGACACCCCCTTGGCAGCCATTGCTCTGTTTCCCTGTCCGGCCCTTGACCCCTCATCTGAGCATAGATGAATGACCCTCATCTCACACTACAGCTACCGTCCGGACCGTGGGGAGCCACAGACCTCAGGGGAGTCACTTACACTCCAACAGGAGGGCTTTCTTTTTTGGAGAGTGTAAGGCCTTAGAAGATCTAATCTTTGTCTACTAGAAAATTCTGCCTTATAAATCTATCTCTTTATAATATATGTTAATATTTTATACACATATGATGATATATAGGCAACTTTCTAGTTTGCTGTGACATTATTGATATTTTGCCCACGTTCAACCTCTGTTCTGATCCCTTACAATGTCTAAATGTTCTCAACTTAAAAATTATTTTATTTTTAATTGACAAATAATAATTGTACGTATGGGGTACAATGTGATATTTTAATATATGTTTGCATTATGGAATGATTAAATCAAGCCAATTAACATCTCCATTGCCTCCCAGTACTTACAATTTTTTGCAGTGAGAACATTTAAAATCTATTTATTTATATATTTATTTAGTTTTCGAGACAGAGTCTCACTCTGTGACCCAGGCTGGAGTGCAGTGGCACGATCTCGGCTCACTGCAAGCTCCGCCTCCTGGGTTCAAGCAATTCTCCTGCCTTAGCCTCCTGAGTAGCTGGGATTACAGGCGCCCACCACCACGCCCGGCTAATTTTTGTATTATTTCAGTAGAGACAGGGTTTCACCATGTTGCCCAGGTTGGTCTGGAACTCCTGACCTCAGGTGATCTGCCCGCCTCAGCCTCCCAAAGTGTGGGGATTACAGGCGTGAGTCACTGTGCCCAGCCTAAAATCTATTTAAAAAATGTTTTTCAAATATGTCTACAACACATTATTATGGGCTAAATCATCACCATGCTGTGCAGGAAGCACGAGAACTCGCCCCTCCTGTTGCTGCTGGAACTTTGTCCCTCTGTCCAGCGCCTCCCCGACCCGGCACCCGCCGGGTCTTTGTGAGTGCTACTGTTTCAGATTCCACATCTGAGCGAGATCACACAGTGTCTGTCCTTTTGTCCCTGGGTCATCTCACTCAGCACAACAGTTCTTTACTCGGTCCGAGATTCCTGAGAAAAGTACCTGCTTACTTTCTGAGTGCTTCACAGCTAGTCCAGTGAGGAGGATAAACTGAAGCCGTTTATCCTCAGATATCTTACTTCGGAAGCTATTTTTTGAGACAGTGTTTACCCAGATAGCGTTTTTGTGCCACAAGCCCGGGGGAGTCGAGGCTCGTAGTGTTGGTCAAAGGCCTCCCTGGTGCTTTGTCCCCCAGCCAGGCAGCGTCCCTGAGGGCCCGGTGGGTGGCCGCAGACTGCAGCACCCCAGGGACCTGGGCAGCCCGGGGGCTCTTGTCATGCAGAGTCCAAGTATGGGGGACGTGGTGGGCTCCGTCTCCAGGGTGACCCCCCTTGGGTGCAGGGCAGGGCCCGCTCAGGGGACAGTGTGTGGCCTGAGTGCCTGTTTCCTCGAAGCCTCCGCCCTTGAGTTGGCCCTGGGCAACCGTCGCCTCTCTGGGCCTCAGTTTCCTTACCTGCCGCTGGGGTATCACCTGTCCCCTACCCCCGCAGGAGTGGGATTGAGTGAAGGACTCAATCACTTTGGGAAATCACTTTGGGGATTGAGTGAAGGACACGTAAGGTTTCATGCGGCTGCAGCTCGTTGGCCACATCGAGGTCCTTCCTGAAATATTTGGTCCAATTTCCCGACAAGGTTCCTTCCTCTCATATTTTATTTCACAAGCCAGTTATAACAACTCCTCCCCCTCAGTGGGCTGTAAGGCATCCTTTATCTCATGTATTAATTTAAACAAAATCTGAATAGGTGGACGGCTTGACGGAAGGCTCACTCTACGAGTTCAAAATCGCCGCCGTCAACCTGGCCGGCATCGGGGAGCCCTCAGATCCCAGTGAGCACTTCAAGTGTGAGGCCTGGACCATGCCGGAGCCCGGTGAGTCGCTGCCCCCAGGACACCCGCGTTCCAGCGCACAGGCTGGCTGGGAAGGGGCCTCTGTGGGTGCGACTCTGGACTCGCCAGCCTTCACAGCGTGTCTGTTCCTCCGACACCCGCAGCTGCAGAGCCACCGTGTGCCAGGCGCCGTGCAGGGCTGTGAATCAGGCAGACCCAGCATCTAGTTTGGGCTGTGCGTGGTCCAGAGGCCAGTGATGAGGGCAGAGTAGGAGGCCCTGAGGGTGAGGTGGGAGGGAGCACAGGAGGACCCAGACTGTGGGGAGAGGGACAGCTTCCCATGCATCCCCTGACCTATGACACGGATTTGGCCCAGGTCACCTACCCCAAAGGAGCAGGCAGAGAGGGTCACAGGTGGAGGAGAAGGTGCGAGCCCCGGACCCAGCTGGGAGGCGCGACAGGGTTCTCATTCGTGGGTTAGCTCCTGCAGTCCTCTCAGGCCATCTGGGGATCTCAGGGGAGGCACGACAGGGTTCTCATTCGTGGGTTAGCTCCTGCTGTCCTCTCAGGCCATCTGGGGATCTTGGGGCTTCTGCTTCTAAAAGGCATCATTGTTGCAGACCTGCATTTATTTAGCTCGCACTCTACTGGTTTTTTGTTTTGAGATGAGGTCTCTCTATGTTGCCCAGGCTGGTCTTGAACTCCTGGGCTCAAGCCATCTTCCTGCCTCAGCCTTATGAGTAGCTGGGGCCACAGGTTCATGTCACCATGCCCTGCTAACATTTTCTCTCTGTTTTCAAAAGTTCTCAAGTACCAGACCTTGATTTCTTTGTCTCTAACCTATCAGGAATTAAGTGCAATGGATAATATGCTCATACTTTGAGAAAGTAAATCCTGAAAGTTGAAGCTGAAAAAGTTCAAAGTTCAGAGTGTTTTCCAATGTTATGGCCAGAGTATACTGCCTTTTTCCTTTTAGTCAGCGTCTTTTGACTTAGCAAATCAGCTGCTAAGAAGCCAGATGAATAAGCCAATTAGAAAATTCCTTCCTTCCTTCTTTCCTTCCTTCCTTCCTTCTTTCTTTCCTTCCTTCCTTCTTTCCTTCCTTCCTTCCTTCTTTCCTTCCTTCCTTCTTTCCTTCCTTCCTTTCCTTCCTTCCTTCCTTCTTTCCTTCCTTCCTTCCTTCCTTCCTTCCTTCCTTCCTTCCTTCCCTCCCTGCCTCCCGCCTTCTTTCCTGCCTTCCTACCTTTCTTCTTTTAATGAAATTAAATTTTGGACCTTAGAAAACCAACAGAAGAAAAAAGTCATTCTAGTTTCCCGAGCCTCTTTTGAGGGTTGATAGGAGATGGCCTCTCAAGGCTCAAGGCCACAGTGAGACTAGCTGAAGATGGGGCGGGGCTGCCTCTCTGTTTCCCTGCACCGCTTGGTGCTTGCCTGGACCTGGGCCTCCGCACCACATGCCCTCAGAGTTGCCGCGGGTGTTCGTAGAGGACAGGGCTGCAGTGATGTGCTTCCGGCCAGGTAGGCAGGCTCCCTGAGTGACTGTGACTGCCAGGTGTCCAGCCCCGTGGAGGGTAACTTGAGAACCTGTCCTTTCCTGCACACCGTTCCTCTCTGTGATCGCATCTGCTGGTCCCGAGAATGCAGTGTGGACTTCTGAATGATTCTACGTAGATCCACGTAGGCTGGGCCCTCCTCCCTGACCCCCAACGTCATGCTGAGCACCCTCCTTACCCTGCTCTGCAAGAGAGGCTGATAAACATCAGATGGGGAACAGATACGGATGGTCCTGGTGGGGGGCTTCCCAGAGGAGCAGTGGGTCCCCGGGGCTGGGTTGGGCGGTGGGTGTGCTGGACTGGCTATGCGCGCAGCAACAAGGTGGCATCTGACTTCACAGGTCCTGCCTACGACTTGACGTTCTGTGAGGTCAGGGACACGTCCTTGGTCATGCTGTGGAAGGCCCCTGTGTACTCCGGCAGCAGCCCTGTTTCTGGATATTTCGTGGACTTCAGGGAGGAGGATGCTGGAGAGTGGATCACTGTAAATCAGACGACAACAGCCAACCGTTATTTAAAGGTAAGTCTTGGCCGGCTGTGGTGGCTCATGCCTGTAATCCCAGCACTTTGGGAGGTAAAGGCGGGCCAATCACTTGAGGTCAGGAGTTCGAAACCAGCCTGGCCAACATGGAGAAGCCCCGTCTCTACTAAAAATACAAAAAAATTAGCCGGGCATGGCACCGTGGCAGGCACCTGTAATCCCAGCTACTCGGGAAGCTGAGTCAGGAGAATCGCTTGAACCCGGGAGGCGGAGGTTGCGGTGAGCTGAGACTGAGTCACCGCACTCCAGCCTGGTTGACAGAGCGAGACTCTGTCTCAAAAACAAAACACACACACAAAAATAAAACAAACTAACAACAAAAAATAAAGGTAAGTCTTTCGTCTTGGCGTTTCCCTCTGTGTGAAAGTGCTGTTGCTCTCTGCGCAAGCCAGCACCGAGCCCCGAGGTGAACCTGTTCAGATGACCGGGGCGTGGCTGCTGAGGATGCAGCCACCATGCGTGTTGTGGGGCCCAGCAGATGACAGAACAGTGCCTTGAGGACGCAGAGCCCTCCTTCCATTCACACCAACATGCTGTTTGCTCCTGGGGAACTGCGCAGACACGCCTGTTTTCTTCCACATTGCAGTCTAATAGCTGTTAATTGTCTGTTCATGGGCTATGTCTGTGTGCTTTCCAAAGGGATGGTGCCTATTGTATTATGTCCTTCCACTTCACGCCGGGCATTTAATTTACTTAATTCATGTGATCGCTAAAGTCCATTTGATAAGCACCACACACAGATATACACACAGTTTTCATACATGGAGCAAAACTATCATGTGTGACTTCCTCCAGCCTCTCTTTCTCCAAATGTTTCTGTTTTTAGCACTTGCGGTTCCTCAGTGACTGGGTCAGGTGTAAGGACTGAGCCCCAGGAGGCCTACATGCTCCAGCTGAGTTGCCAACTGCCTTAACCCAGAGGTTTTCTTCTCTGGGTGCTGGGCCCTGTGGTGGGGTGGGCCTGCTTCCTTCCCTAAAGCACAGCCACGTCTGGGTCCGGCACCTGAGCACAGGCTGAGAGGGCCTTCCACGGGTGACACCTTCCGGAAACCCTTTGATGACAGGAAACAGCCAGTGTCTTTAGAATGAATGAGTCAGCTTCTAAGAATCAGCTACATAAATCAACTAGAAGCTTAGTAAATATATATAGATGTTTATCCAAGCAGGTTTTAATAAGAATAACCCATGTATGTACAAGTAGAGATGGATTTAATTCTGATGCCCCAATGATGACTTTACACAGTTAAATATCACACTTAAAATAGTATTTGGTTCCACAGAATTATGTTAAATATAAACACCAGATTATAAACTAGTCAGTATGATTTTACTTCTGCTTTAAAATATGCAGAGATAAAAAAATGAAAGAGGTTCCATCAGATTGGGAGCGAATGCGTTTATTCCTCCAAAGTCACATTCTGCACCACTGTGAATCTCCTCTTCCCTCCTTTTCTAACTCATTAAGTATCATTTTCCTAACTGGAAAAATAAGCTATTTTTGAAAAGGCCCTATTCACAATAAAATGTGAAAAACTCCACAGTCATCTTTATTTTACCTCCACACATCTGGTGTTTCCTCTGTTGTTTCAAGGTCTCTGACCTGCAGCAAGGTAAGACCTATGTCTTCAGGGTCCGGGCAGTCAATGCAAATGGCGTGGGGAAGCCCTCAGACACGTCGGAGCCTGTGCTGGTAGAGGCGAGACCAGGTAAGGCTTACAACAAAAACTACAAAACAGCAATGATTTGTGGGGAGAGTGTGCATGTATTATGGATGTATGGATGAGGGTGTGTGGATAAATGAGTGGGAGAGTGAACACGTGTTATGTGTGTATGTGTGGATGGGTCTGTAGATAAATGAATGGGAGAGTGTGCATGTGTTACGTGTACATGTATGTATGGGTATGTGGATAAATGTATGGGAGAGTGTGCATGGATTATGTGTTTATGCATGGGTGTCTGAATAAATGAGTGGGAGAGTGTGCATGTATTATGTGTGGATGTGTGGATGGGTGTATGGATAAATGCATGTATTATGTGTTCATGTATGGGTGGGTGGGTGTGTGTGTAAATGAATGGGAGATTGCGCATGTATTGTGTGTATGGATGGACGGGTGTGTGGATAAATGAGTGGGAGAGTGTGCATGTTTTATGTGTATATGTGTATATGGATAAATGAGTGAGAGAGTGTGCATGTATTATGTGTATATGTGTATGTATGTATGGGTAAATGGATAAATGAGTGGGAGAGTGTACATATATTATGTGCATATGTGTATGTATGGATGGGTGCATGGATAAATGAGTGGGAGAGCGTGCATGTGTTATGTGTTTATGTGTATGTATGTATAGGTATATGGATAAATGAGTGGGAGAGTGTGCATGTGTTATGTGTATATGTGTATGTATGGATGGGTATATGAATAAATGAGTGGGAGAGTGTGCATGTATTCTGTGTATATGTGTATGCATGGATGGGTGTATGGATAAATGAGTGGGAGAGTGTGCATGTATTATGTGTATATGTGTATGTATGTAGAGGTGTATGGATAAATGAGTGGGAGAGCGTGCATGTATTATGTGTATATGTGTATGTATGTAGAGGTATATGGATAAATGAGTGGGAGAGTGTGCATGTATTAGTGTATATGTGTATGTATGGATGGGTGTATGGATAAATGAGTGGGAGAGCATGCATGTGTTATGTGTTTATGTGTATGTATGTATAGGTATATGGATAAATGAGTGGGAGAGTGTGCATATATTATGTGTATATGTGTATGTATGTACAGGTATATGGATAAATGAGTGGGAGATAGTGCATGTGTTATGTGTGCATGTATGGATGGGTGTACGGATAAATGAACGGATGTCTTGCCGTTATTTTAAAAAGATTTGGATGGCAAATGAAGTATGCAATTAAATCTCTGCCTGTGCACTAATGGCCCTGGATGAGAAGGAGAGCACTTTGGGTCATCTTCATGCTTGGCAGGGGTTGTTCTTCGAATCGTCAAGCCACGTGCAGGAAGGAGGGCATTTTTTAAATATTACTGCTGGATTTTTATCAGAAAATTTTAAAAAGCTGTTGGTAATTTTCTTGATTTCAACGAATAAAAGTTCCCTGGAGTCAACCTAAAAAGGGCAAATACTTCTGAAGGCAGGACACACACTCATAGGATACACAGTCTATTTTGTGTTGCTGTAACAGAACACCGAGGCTGGGTAATTGTTTTTAAAAGTTTATTGGGGCGTGGGTGTGGTGGCTCACGCCTGTAATCCCAGCAATTTGGGAAGCCGAGGCGGGCGGATCACGAGGTCAGGAGATCGAGACCATCCTGGCTAACACAGTGAAACCCCGTCTCTACTAAAAAATACAAAAAGAATTAGCTGGGCATGGTGTTGGGCGCCTGTAGTCCCAGCTACTCAGGAGGCGGAGGCAGGAGAATGGGGTGAACCTGGGAGGCGGAGGTTGCAGTGAGCCGAGATCGCGCCACTGCACTCTAGCCTGGGCAACGGAGCAAGACTCCATTTAAAAAAAAAAAAAGAAAAAAAAAGTTTATTTGGCTCATGATTCTGGAGGCGGGAAGTCTAAGAAGCACAGTGCCGGGATCTGCTGTGGTGGCTCCGGCAGCTCTGGTGGCTCCGGTGAGGGCCTCCCGCTGCCCCACAACATGGTAGAGAACTGGGTGTGTGCGGAAACGGACCCAGCATGGGAGGCAGCCTTGCTTTATAACATTTACTCTCACTGGAACTACTCCATTCCAGTTTAACCAACCAGCAGCCGTGGTTATTAGCAAGAATCTACCCAGTCTTTCCAGAAAGACACGAGTCTATCTTAACGACCTAATCACCTCTTTTAAAAAGAATTTTTATTATTCTGTTTTTTATAGAGACAGGATCTCACTATGTTGCCCAGGCTGGTCTTGAACTCCTGAGCTCAAGCGATCCTCTGGCCTCGGCCTCCCAAAGTGCTGGGATTACAGGCATGAGTGCTGCCCCCAGTCATTAATCACTTCTTAAAGGCTCCACCTCCCAACACCGTTGCACTGGCTTTTACATTTCAATGTGAGTTTTGAGGGGATCATCCACATCCAAACCACAGCCCCAGAGTGTGACCTGAGTGTCAGGAAGCAGTGCAGCCTCAGACTGTAAAGATCCTGATGGCTGTCTGTGGTGGCCTCTTCATCTCACCCTGCCACCTGGCTTTCCTTGCATCTGTGTCTTCTTCATAACCCGAGAGCACTGACACTTCATGGCCTCAGTTCCACTCACCAGCAGAGGCTGAGATGTGTCTCGTCCAATTCCTAATTCCTACGACATAGATTCTGCCTTGCACACGGCCAGATGTTCACCTGGGTCAAAAAGTAGCAAATAAACCACAAACAACCCCTACTCCCAAACAAGACAAGGCAAGGCCCCATGGAGAAGGCAGAGCTGTGTGAAGGGGGAGCTTCATGGTGGGCACATGGCTGCTGGGCTTCCCCTGAGGGTCAGAGAAGGAGATTCCAGAGAGAACAGGATCTTCAGGGCCTGGAGAGGCAGCCCTAAGAGGTTTTCTGCAGTTGTATGAGATGCAGGGAAGGACGTGTGCAGAAATATGGTAAATTAAAAAAAATTAGCAACAACAAAACAACCAAGCCCCTCCAGGTCCTCCCTAAAGTGTTTTCTCTCTCACGATTCTCTCATCAGTCCTGGGTCATTAAATGCAACTGATGATTTGGTGTAAGATGAGGTCTCTGCATTGGGTACCCCCTCGGCATTAGTCCGTTCTCACGCTGGTATGAAGAAATATCTGAGACTGGGTGACTTATAAAGAAAAGAGGTTTAATTGACTGACAGTCCTTCGTGGCTGGGGAGGCCTCAGGAAACTTACAGTCATGGCAGAAGGCACTTCTTCACAGGGCGGCAGGACAGAGTGAGTGCCAGCAGGGGGAATGCCAGGTGCTTCTAAAACCATCAGATCTCATAAGACTCAGTCACTATCATGAGGACAGCATGGGGGAAACCACCCCCGTGATCCAATCACCTCACTCCCTCTACACTTGGGGATTACAATTTGAGATGAGATTTGGGTGTGGATGCGGAGCCAAACCATATCACCCTCTCCCAAAAGAGAGTTGAAAGAACACCGTGTCCCTAAGCCGCTCACCTCATACTCTTCTTATGCAGGCACCAAGGAAATCAGTGCTGGTGTCGATGAACAAGGCAACATCTATCTGGGCTTCGACTGCCAGGAAATGACAGACGCGTCTCAGTTCACCTGGTGTAAATCCTACGAGGAGATTTCAGATGATGAGAGGTTTAAAATCGAAACCGTGGGGGATCAGTAAGTCAGGCCTGGAAGTTGGATACTGGAAACTTTTAGAAGTTCCTGCAAACAGAAATGATCGACATTCACCTACTCTTCTTCCTTTTTAGCTCCAAGCTGTACTTAAAGAATCCGGATAAGGAGGATTTAGGGACTTACTCCGTGTCTGTAAGTGATACAGACGGAGTGTCCTCCAGTTTTGTTCTGGACCCAGAAGGTAATATTTATATGGCAGAACCTTGCCTGTTTTGGTTTTATCACACTTTCAAAGATTGACACCAACATAGAAAAGACTTACTTGCTTAGAAAAAAAGACGTATGTTTGCAGGAGGCTGGCGGTGGGGGCTATGTATATAAGCCAAAACTTGCTTTAGAAATTAAACAAACTCTAAAGTTTATACTGTTTCCACCAAGTAGTCTCTGGTCCTGATATATTGCTTGTATAGCCTTCAATTTGTACTTTTAAAGTTGAGTCTTAGCCACATTTTAATAGTTTGGTATGCAGAGGGTAACATATTAACTAAGAAATCCATGAAATTAATGAGAGACCTACGGGTGGAAGAGTCTTCCCTTCCTTCCAACACTGAGAAATCAGATGATCAGAGAAAAATTTTTTTATGCATGTAAAATAATTTTAACTGACAAAGTGAAAATCTGCTGCTGTGTTACCCATGGAAGACGGCAGAGAGAAGTGAGAAAAGTCTGTTTAGTGATCAAGGGGAAAAACAATAGTTTTCTTAGATAGGTTCACAGGTCTGAGTTCACCAGGCACACAGTCTCATGCAGGCAGGGCTGATTTTTTTAAACTGCCTAGCATCACGTGTATTTGTGTGGCCCGTCATCTACCCCACCCACAGGACAGCGTCAGCCTTAGACATTTTTAAACGAAGGGGCAGTGGTGCAGCGTGAACTCGTAGGGCTGGATGGTATCCTCAGATTTCTGGGTTTCTTTGGGTGTCTAAGGCATTTGAATTTCCAAAAGTTTTCTATTAAAGTGCTCTCCAGGGATGGCATAAATGATCTCCAGGGGAGTCCTAAGGTTTACAAGCAGATCCTTTAGTTATCAATCACTGTCCTGGTTGATATCATGCAGAGGCTGTGATCTGAGAACATCCGACCCAGGATCGGTGCTGTGGGCTGGGCAGGAGGATGGGCAGGTACCCACGGAGGGGGCAGCCAGAATCACACTCTCGGCTTCTCGAGTGTGCAGGTCTGGCTCAATGTTGGTGAAATTCAGGAAAACTCATGCACATTTAACAAGACACAGCCAGACAAATGAGGAGGCCGCACTGTCTCGCCTTTCTGGGGTCCTCAGTTCACCACTCACAGGCAGGGTGGGGAAGGACCCAAAATCCATTTGCATGCTTTTAAAGCAGCCTCTGTTGGCCCTGCCTCCAGGGTCTTGACACAGTTTTGTACCTTCACGACATCCTGAAGGACTTCTGAAAAGCTGTGCATTCCTCTGCACCATTTCAAAGTTTCCATCTTAATTTTAACTTTTTTAAATACTTGCAAAAGAAAAAATTCCACCTTCTCTTATATTGTGTATAGACTTCAAATATATTTGAGGTAAAACTTTGCAGTTGAAGATTTAGTTCATTCCATGTATGGAAATTCCTACCAGAAGGTTGAACTGGGAAAGCCAGTCCTCCCTGTGAAACCAGTTGCCAATATGAATTTACTTTTGGGCAGAAAAATCTAACTTCATTTTTCCATTTTGAATAGACATGTTCTTGAAGGCCTTGGAGATCACCATCTTCTTTCTGATTCTAATTTTAAGAAGGAAGGAGAGAAAATGAAGTGGCTTAGAGCCCAGATTTTCTTACCTTGCTCTTGAGACTTTCTCAGGAATGCAAAATGCAGTGTATTTTGTTTATTTATTTATTTTTTTTGTTATTTTCTTCTTTCCTTTTTTTTTTTTAAATTCATGGTAATACACTATAGTGATGAAATGAGCGGTGTGTATATCTTTCTTTAATGAGATTGAAGAAGGACATCTTGAGAGGGGAAGGAAAGTCACAGGCCAGAAGCACGTTCTCAGCCAGTGCAATCAATTTTAGGAAAGAGCTCACATTAAGTGCAAGGATCTGGAAAAGACTCCCTTTAACCTTTCGTCTTCCAAGTCTTCCTATATTCCAGGGATATACCTACCCCTGCCCCCAATTCCTTTGTCCCCATGACTGTGCCCTGCCTTGTCCTCAGCTGCCCCTGTACTAGGTGGGTTCTTTAAATGGTGAAGGTTAAAGCTATCCTCTATGTCCCTCAGACTTGTAGTTTAAATTCCTTTCGTGTCCTCCAATTAAATCCTGGGGGTTTCCAATCTTGCTCGTGTGTCGCCTTGCTGTTGTCTACAAACTTCTCTAGGTGCAGGTCCAGATGAATTGAAATACTTTTTCTTCGTTTTAGAGCTCGAGCGTTTGATGGCATTGAGCAATGAAATAAAGAACCCCAGTAAGTAAGCCTCCAGCCCTTCCCCTCTGCTTGCAGCTGCTGGCTGGAGGGCCGTGTTCATTAATGCATGAGCTCTTGGAAGAACAGCTTTGGGGAAAGGATGGCCTGATTTCCTGATCCCAGCTTACAGGATTGAAACCTATTGATTTAAAACAAATATTAGCTTATATTATAGCTTGTTGAAACTTGCATTGCGTACACAGTGATTAGAATTTTGGGTTTAGTATAGCTGTTGCTAATCCGAGTGAGATCCAAGATTTCATTTCCTATCAAGTGAAATCTTCTGTTATTGAATTGCATTAAATATAGAAAGAATCCAGGCATCTTTACTTATCGAACACATTTGCAAAGCTAACTGAGAACTCATGTGGCATGAGGCTTTAGAGGCAACAACAGGCCAGCTCAAGTTTTATTTTATATTTTTAGCTTCCATAATCTAATACTCCAGGGTTTCACATTCTCAAAAATCTAATAACTAGGATTGATATTTCCCTACAATTTGCAGGTATTCTTCCTCACAAGGATTCATGCATTATTGACTTGCGATTTCTTTTCTTCCTGTAGCAATTCCTCTGAAATCGGAATTAGCTTATGAGATTTTTGATAAGGGGCGGGTTCGCTTCTGGCTCCAGGCTGAGCACTTATCACCAGATGCCAGCTACCGATTTATTATTAACGACAGAGAAGTCTCTGACAGCGAGGTGAGTTCCTGTGTGAGTGATCTCTGGCTTTGCAGGGAGTCCACTTTTGTTGTGGTAGGTCAGTTACTGAATATCAACATTCTCTGTCTGTTTCCATCCTTTTCTGAGCCTTAAAGATTGGGGCATGGAAGGTTGACAAGATGAATGGAGATGGTTGATTCTTACAATGTTCAAAGGTTTGGTCTGGGTTACAGGAGACATCAGGAGTCTTTAAAATCTGAGCCTGTTGGAATTAAAAATGACTTTGAGCTTGTTTTTTGTGAAAAGGTTTAGGTCAGGTGGGGGAAAATATCCTTGATGAATCAGTTCACTTATTCTTGATAATGGTTTTGAAGGTATCTATTTTTTGCTGTATTGTGAGAGAGGCCTCCCTGCATTCTCCCCCCACTGACAGCTTCCCATGGAAGGCATCCGTGGGGAATAAGTTTCTGTGGCTTCTCTGCCTGTTTGGGCAGCAATCTTGGTGTGGCAGACTGACGTGACAGTGTGGCTGTCAAGAGTGATGTTCTGGCCAGGCATGGCGGCTCTCACCTGTAATCTCGTCACTTTGGGAGGCCGAGATGGGGGCATTGCTTGATCCCAGGAGTTCAAGACCAGCCTGGGCAACATAAGGAGATCCCATCTCTACAAAAACTTAAGAAATTAGTTGGGCATGGTGATGCTCACCTGTAGTTCCAGCTACTTAGGAGGCTGATGTGGGAGGATCACTGGAGCCTGAGAGGTCCGAGCTGCAGTGAGTTATGATTGAACTACTGCACTCTAGCCTGGGAGACAGCAAGGCTCTGTCTCAAAACAACAACAACAAAAAAGGCACATGCTCTGTCACGGTCCAGACACCGCCTCGGTTCTGCTTTCGATTGTATAAAATGAACCTTAACAATTATGTCAGGTACTCCTTATTTGTCTGGAGAATATTTGAGAAGCCAATGGTTGTGTTTCAATAAATTTCCTCTTTTCTAATTATAGCGTGCCTGGGACCCGGTTAAAGGACAGCCCTATTTCATGGGGACTTTATTGTTCAGTGGTGGCTTGGGGCTCTCTCAGAGCCCCCATCTTTACTGCTTCTGCCTTTTTCCCTTAATGCCCAGTGTAGAGTGTGGTTGGCAACCTTAGCTGTGTACTAAGTCCTCAGTGTTGATTGGTTTGTTCATTACACAAGTTTTAGGGGAACTGTGGGATGCAGGAGCCTCTCATGCTCCCGGGCAGCCCCCCTACCATATTTCTAAGCTGGACCCCTCATTGCAGTCCAGCCTTTGTGTCTGATGGGCATTTAGCAGGACTCAGTTAGATGAATGTTGATCAGACAGAAGTCTTGCAGGTAAGGATCATAGAATTTTCTTCTCCAGTCAGTCTTTCCCATGAGAATCATGACACACTTTAAGACTCACTCCTACGTGGGAGAGTCGGCTAGAAAGTAGAAAACATCTAGCTTCTTTTGGGCTGCAAAAAAGCCAGTGGTATAACTATTGCCTATGGGAGACTTACTGTCTGATCCAGGTAATTGGAGAAATCTTCTTTGAGCAGAGACCATGCTATGAAATGAAAGGGAATTTAGGGGAATGGCACTTTATTTGCGGGATATCTTTTGATGAGCACTTCCTGCCTGCTGTATAGAGCTTGCTTTCAGGATGGGTGCCCTGGCTTCATGGCTAATCTTTTGGAATATGGTTGTACTATTTCACTTCTTTAATTAGCAATGCACAGGTGACTTTTACATTTGAAGATTGATGCTATTTTGTGGAAGACATATAAAAGTCTGTATTTATGGCACTCATAAAATCATTCAACTTCATCTTGCTGCATAATGGCATTAGCAAGAAGCCTAATTATTTTGTAAAACCTGCCCAGACATTGCAGCACAGCAGCTAAGAAAATGGAAAAAGCTGCTATATTGCTGAGAATCTACTCAGTGAGAATCATACCTTTTTCTTACTCAGAGCCAGTTAAAGTAAGTTCCTATCATTCATTCTCTACTCATAGATGTTTGAGGTGAGGATAATGTCATACAAATAAGGACAGTGCATTTATCTGATCAACCTGAAGTTTACTCTTGATATTCGGAAGTAAACAC
Source organism: Homo sapiens (assembly GCF_000001405.40). Taxonomy (NCBI): domain Eukaryota; kingdom Metazoa; phylum Chordata; class Mammalia; order Primates; family Hominidae; genus Homo; species Homo sapiens. Next base: position 294,604 of record NT_187576.1, read on the forward strand.
TCCACACTGTAAAGAAATCCAAGGTCCACGGGACGGTGTATCCACTGGAATCTCAGGTCCCTCTCCTGCTCATGGTACCTCCAAGAGCGACGTCAGTCTCCAGGGACGGGGACAAAGTTGTTGTGCTTCCTGCAGTTGAGCCATTTCTTAAAATAATCTCCCTCCCTCAAAAACAGTCTGAGGTCATGCCTTCTCATTCATTTCTGTCACTTTCTATCATTGTAGATGTACCAATTTCCTGTGCCAGTTTTCTGTTTAGAAAAAGTCTCAGTGATCTTACACAAGTATACGCTGTGTGATCTACATCTCTGATATAATATTGTAATTTCTAATTGCGAAGGTGATTTTTGTGTTTATGGGAAATCAAAACCTGGGGTAGGAGTGGAGCAGACTTTATTCACACGTAAACCCTGAATGTCAGATTCGATGAAACAAAAATTGCAGCATCCCCGGGAGCTGTTGGGAGCTTGGGCGGTCCTCTTCCTTTCCCAGTGGACGGCAGCACCTACCCTGTACATCACCTGTTGAATATCCACTTGGCCAATACACCAGCAGGGACAGAACAGTCAGATGTGAAGTTGCCCTTACAGAGACTGTCACAGAGTCAAAGAAATACACCTTCAATTAGAGGAGGACAGAGAAGAAAGATAGAACCCAGGTTATATTAAAACAGTACAGTAAACACTCTCAGAATTCAGAGAAGGCAGAGAGTTGAAGAGGCTGAAGTAGTCAGGAAGGATTTCAAGGGTAGAGGGTTATTGAAATGGGTGTTAAGGAGGTAGAAATCATGGGTCGGGGGGTGGGGGTCAGGGATGGGAGGGAGAGAATGAGACATTCCAAGCCGCTCTAGTGCACAGAGAGTGGGGAATGATCAGGGAATAGCGACACAGGGAAGTGGAGGGGTGGGCTCAACGGAGGGGGCTGTTTGCCTGAGTGATCTTAGGAAATAGTGTTGGGGAATAGGAGTGGGGTCAGAAGATACAGACTTTGAATGTCAGGCAGAAGAACTTAGAAACAATGCTGAAGAAAATGAACACAGAGAGAGAAACTGAACCAAGTGGCCAGTTTGCTAATATTTGTCTTCTAAAGCCTCTCCGGTGGCACTGGCATTTGCAATATCAAAACAGAAATGTAAACTCAGAGAGAAAGAAGAACGTGTGAAAACAAATGCACGTGATTTATCAGAAGAAGGTTGCTGATTTTCTGGCTAAACTTACATTGTCACCTGCAGATAGAAATTCTCTGCAGTATTGCTGCTAAGGCAAGGGCTGTGAGAGGAGTGTGGTTCCAAGGGCTGACGGAGTCTTCTCCCGCTACGCCTGCCTCATTTGCCGAGCACCACAGGTTATTAGTTTTTTGTTTTGCTCATGTGGCCCCAAGAGCCTCCTTGGGTCCTGGGTAAGATCATTATTCAGGCTGGAAAGCCTTTGCCCCAATTCCAGCTGAGATCGATCCGACAGGTAGATGCAGATCTGCAGAAAATATTGACAGCAGCTGAGACTACCGTATTGGTAACGCTGGGCACGAGGAAGCCGAGGCCGGGCATCCACACTCCCGTGATTCTACGGTGGCATGGCTGGGGCGAGTCCCGCGCTGGACATTGGATTCCCTCGACGCCATCGTGCCTTGCATTACTGCTGCATTTAGGATGAGTCACACACTGGGATGTGGTCCTTCTACCGTCAAGACCCTGCTCAATGTCAGACACTGTATCATCCAGGTGGAGTACAACACAATCCACTAGCAGCCATAACACCTTTCGGTATCTGTTAGCACATCCCAAAGGCTGAGTGAGCAGAGGTGTGGGGAAGGTGAGCTGGGAGCAGGTGAAGGCCTTGGGAGGTCTCTACCCCAGATGCTGCCTGGGGTGGGGCTTCTGTGCCCAGGGTGTGGCTGCACCAAGGCAGGGAGGTCAAAGAGGGTGGTGCAGGGGGTTAGCTGTTGAAGGAAGAGAGGTGACAGTTGCAGCCAGGGATGGAGGAAGGACCGACTGGGACAGGTTCATAGTTTCAGCCGATGACTGATCTGGAGGGGAAGGTCTCAGTTGATCAAGAAGGCTTCTCAGGTCTGCACTGGGAAGGAAGTTCCGGTCCTGACCATGTCCGCGGGCTCTCACCTAGAAGCATAATTATCTTCCAAAATTGCTCAGTGTCACTTAGTAGTGTCAGAGACCACAGCCACCTCAATGCCACAGATGGCAGGGTGAGCTAAGCCCCCTCCAGCTGACTTTCTCATCAGAACCTTGTTGGACATGTGTTTGGTATTTCTCACTGCCAGGCATGATGCTGGGCACAGCGTGAGGCTGCAGGGATGAGTAAGGCCATGCCTGCTCTCAGGGGCTCATTGTCTGGCGAGACAGACAGACGGCAGGTGGATAGGTAGGGTGGGGAGGGTGCTCCCAAGGGCAGGGTGCTACTGGGGGAAGGGAGGCAGAGCTGTGGAAACCCCATAAAACACCAAGCCTCACCCCGGGGCATCAGGGAAGTCTCCCTTGGAGCCAGTCACAAGGGCTGCATTCGGGTGAGGTGGCCACGACAAGGATGGGCAGAAGCTGCACTGTTGCAGAGAGGCCTGCAAGCTCAGAACTTTGGGGCATGGCCCTCAGGGAACTCCAAGGCATGAAATGTATCCCTGCATTCATCACCAAAGCAGCAGAGAGGCAGGTAGTCCAGGCTTCTGTGGACTGTTCCTGTGATACAGTGTAACCTAGAAATCATGAAGTGATGCAAAGTAGTGTTCTCAGACCAACCAACAGCCTTCCAGTCTTTCTCCTATCTTAGCAACAAGACAGCTGCACTGCAGGCAGGGAGGGGGAACTGTGTGGGCAAATGTTTGTGGTTTGGTTGTATGCATTATATATGACAAAATTTCTTCTTTCCCCCTTTTTTTGAGACAGAGTCTCACTCTGTTGCCCAGGCTGGAGTGCAGTGACTGTGATCTCGGTTCACTGCAACCTCTGCCTCCTGAGTTCAAGCTCATGCCTCAGCCTTCTGAGTAGCTGGGATTACAGGCGTGCGCCACCACACCTGGCTAATTCTTGTATTTTTAGTAGAGTTGGGGTTTCACCATGTTGGCCAAGCTGGTCTCGAACTCCCCACCTCAGGTGATCTGCCCACCTTGGCCTCCCAAAGTGCTGGGATTACAGGTGTGAGCCACTGCACCCAGCCTAACAAAATTTCTTTTTTCTTTTTATTTTTTTGAGACAGGGTCTTTCTCTGTTGCCCAAGCGATCCTCCTGCCTCAGCCTTCCCTGTAGCTGGGACCACAGGGATGTGACAAATTTATATACTGCTACACAGGAAAACTCGTTTTCAGAATTACAAGGAAGAGATGGTCTAATATATTAAGAACATATATTGGCAAAGACCAATACCATATGAAATTGGTTTGAAACAGTTCTAAAAATTACACAGGCTGATTGATGTTTTGAAAGGTTTCATTAGAATTAGAGTTATTTAAGTGAAAAAGTGAAATTTAAGTATTAATATTAATTTATAACTTTAATAATTATCAAGAAGCACAAAAAGGTAAAAATATCAAGCCCCCAAATAAGGCAACCAGCAAAAAAAAAAACAAAAAACAAACAAACACAACATAAAAAAGAGAAATAAGCATTAATAAAGATGGGGAAAATGGTTTTAGTGAAGTTAAAAAGTTAATAAGTAAACATCACAAAATCAGAGGGAAACAAAAGATCAAATTTGCTCAATTCATCTGTGTGTTAGAGAAACACTTGTTCTTTGACTTGTAGGATTACCTAAATAAAACACATTCATATGTATCTGTGCATGTACTGTAGAATAAAATGAAACATTTAAAAAATAAAAGCGATCAAAAAAGTCAACACCTGTTGGAGGTCCATTTATCCTTTCCTCACCTGAAACCCCTGCACCGTGATGGACCACAGCAGGCTGGGGCTTGTGGGTGCTGTGTCCCGGGAGCTGAAGATGACAGTGGCTGTGGAGATTGCCTGTTGTTGCTATCCATGTGGGATTTTTGTCATCAGCTGGTGATCGTTATCATTCATATCAATTGCGTATCATTTTATTTTCTCCTGTGAATTTTATCTGCTTCACGTTAGTAACTCATTCTTGGGTAGGTGTGGAGTCTCTGCCTAGAAGGTCCCTGGTTTGGACTCTCAGATCTCCTCACACAGCCAGGCTTTGTCACTGAGTGACAGCTCATACCCACTGTTTGATCCTTGTTCACCCAGAGGTTTCCTTGATAAAATTTCATTTTGGTTTCTTCCTATCATAATCCCTTGAGATCTCATGGCTGATGCAATTGTTAAATGTTGCAAGGGAAAACTAGGAGAGATTTCCTTGTATAATTCTCCATTTCCCTTGTTTTGCTTGCAGATACACAGAATTAAATGTGACAAAGCTACTGGCATTATTGAGATGGTGATGGATCGATTTAGTATTGAAAATGAGGGGACCTACACTGTGCAGATTCATGATGGGAAAGCCAAAAGTCAGTCTTCTCTAGTTCTTATTGGAGATGGTATGCTATATCGAATATTTCCACATGTCCATACAAGATAATTCAAATGAAATTCTTTTGACTGGAGAGAAGCAAACATGTTTCATATATATTTTTTTAAATATTGAATTTAGCATTCAAGACTGTGCTGGAAGAGGCTGAGTTTCAAAGGAAAGAATTTCTCAGGAAACAAGGTGAGTTTCCTCACTCTGACCGGCTCCCCTGCCCCTAGCATAAAGCAAAGACGATTGGAGTATTTGTCAGAAGCAGATCTTGCATGATCCCAAGCAACCCTAAAGGCTGTTTTAAATGATTAAGAGGTTAGGCTTACCAACTGCATAGGAAAGGAACCTGCTTTATAGCAGGGGAGTGAAGAGGAAAGCGTGCCTCTAGCTTTAATGTCCAGACGGAGTCCAGCAATTTTAATGAAAAGAATAAAGAATGGGGGTAGAGGAGGTGGTGGCTTCATTTGGCTTTGAAATGTAGAGAAGGCAGTAGAGGCTATTCCTATCACCAGGAAATTGCTCATTCTACTTAAGATTGTGGGAGCTGTTAAACTTTCTAACTACAAACAATATGTTTTAAATAGATTGCTTTTACAAATACATGTTAACTAGATACAAAGGAAAATGGATACACTTTAGATTCTCAAACATACCCCAAGGGTTTATTCAAAGAATTTTTTTTCTTTTTTGAGATGGAGTCTTGCTCTGTTGCCCAGGCTGGAGTGCGGTGATGCCATCTTGGCTCACTGCAAGCTCCGCCTCCCGGGTTCACGCCGTTCTCCTGCCTCAGCCTCCCGAATAGCTGGGACTACAGGCGCCCGCCACTATGCCCGGTTAATTTTTTCTGTATTTTTAGTAGAGACGGGGTTTCACCGTGTTAACCAGGATGGTCTCGATCTCCTGACCTCGTGATCCGCCCGCCTTGGCCTCCCAAAGTGCTGGGATTACAGGGGTGATCCACTGCGCCCAGCCTCAAAAAACATTTTTATATATGGGATTTCTGAACTTCTTGAGAAAAATTAGAATGTGAATTATGAAACATAAAATCAAAACATTCATTTTTATTATTTTTCATTGTTTTTATTTCTAATAGTCACAAATATTTTACTTACTTCTACATTATGAACATTTTTGGGCCAACTTTGTAGGATGTATTTATGTATATGAAAGAAGTGACACATACTTTCCAAATCTGCTTTGTATTTTTGCATTGAATGGCAAAAGGGTATTAGTGTATGACTTATTCCTACATGTATTTTAAATAAAAATGATTAACATTTTTTAAAAACATATATAAACCTGTCTTTGATTTTGAATGCTATCTAAAGAAAATGTGTTTTACAAAATTGCTAGGTCAAACTGTTGTTTCTTTATCTCATATCTATTCTCTTATTTAAAGGTATTATTTACCATGTTGTCGAATGTTCAGTTAGACATATACTTTGGGAAACAAAATATAATTATTTCAATAGCCTCCTTTCTGAAGAGCAATAGATATGAGATGTCAGTAAGAAGGAGCCATCAGACGTACGCTCCTACCAGGAAGCACAGATTCCAGTGGAGAATCAGTGTTAACACGTGTCGACATCCCAGGCCTGAAAACTATCTCAGTTTCATCCTCCACAGCTATTGTGTTCTGCCAAAAATGCATTACATAAATATATATAATACATTCTTATGTATTATATATACACACCATGCATATATGTGTGGGTATATATATATAATAGCTATATATTTATTTGTTTACTTTTTCCTTTTTTATATGTTTTCTTCCCTTTTTTCCTCCCTAGGCCCTCATTTTGCTGAGTACTTGCACTGGGATGTCACGGAAGAATGTGAAGTTCGACTTGTTTGCAAGGTGAGAAACCCGGTTCTAACAGGAAAACAATAAATCTCATTCTGGTTCCTATCAGAGAGGCCTTTCAGGGAGTAGCTGTGGCCAGATCTGTGATGCTGGTGAGGAAACGTGTGGTGCCTGTGTAGCTGCGGATGGGCGGAGTGGCTTTTGGGTCCTGTGGACTTTTTAATACTTGGACTTCAGTGCTTATCTTTTCTTCTTCACGAAAAGATTACAGTGTAGTGGGATGCAATGGAAGGTTGGATTATAAAAATTTTACTTAAACGATTATTAAGTGAGTTTATGAGAAAGTGTGCCCTGGTGAAATACACCTAGAAGTGCTGCTCATACGAGTTCATCAGGAAAGGAAAGGCATGCTTTGGAGACAAGATACTTCTTTCAGTTTCGTTTAACAATGTAGTAATGAAATATGTTTTATTACTAAATATAAAAATCTGTTTTTTAAGCAGCAAATCTTCAATTTAATAACTGCCTACTATTTGACTGTCTCAGGATGAGGGGATGGGGGAAAAAGATCAATAATGCATTGTTTTTACTCCCAAACTAGTTTCTTATTGTCTACTGGATAAGAGAGAAAAGTAAACAGACAGTTTCAATAAAGAGATGATTCGTGAGCTGCGTGTGCCAAGGGGACTAAGAATTATGCAGGCCAGTGAGTGGGAAAAGATGGTTCTAGGAAGATCCAGCAGCAGGGAGGGACAGAGAAGCTGAACTGTGCACTTAAAAATAAAAACAATAAAAAACCCAAGGCTGGTGGGCAAGTGGGGCATTCCCCTGCAGGACCCAGAGGCTGGCCATGGACTGAGAGGGTACAGAGCACCTGAGGGCTGTTAGTGCAGTGACACGGGCTGCTGGTTGACAAGGAAGGCTGGAGGTGGCAGGGCTGGAGGACGACGCTTCAGTAGGCTGCTGAGAGATGGTAACTCCAGCAGGGCAGTTTCATATCCACCGAGAGAAGGAGATTTAGGATACACATCCAGCAGTTAAAACCAGCAGGGGCTGGCAAGTAGCTGGGTGTGGGTGAGAGGGAAGTGTACTGGAGGACCGAGTGGGTGTGATATTTCTTGAGATCAGCACTGTACGGGGAGGGCCAAGTTTTAGGGTTTTGAGAATACATTCAATTTCACAAAGATTTAGTTATATCCGTGGAATGGTCAGTAAGGCATAACCGGCTCACGACAGGACATGTGAACCTGGCAGCAATGGGAAAGTCATCTGGAGCATGTGGATTCATGAGATATCGTGTGTGGATTCATGAGGTATTGGGAATGCTTGGCTGTGGACATGACGCAAGTGGGTCAAGCTGCCAAAGGACAGCCTTTAGAGACAGGAACATCACAAACAATTGGGGCATTCTGGAAAATTCAGATTGTCAGAGGAGAAGAGGAGACCAGCTCCAGGATTATTAAGCAGAAACCCTCAGAGAGTTCAGAGGGAAAGCAAGTGACTTGGTGGCCTCTGGCAGGGAGGGACTTTGGAGTGAAGCGCTGCGTGGCCGGGTGAGGAGGGGCGGCTGGAGGCAGCGCTGCATGGCCGGCTGAGCAGGGACAGCTGGAGGCAGCACGGGCTGGGTGCTGGGCTTTCCAACCCCACTCCCTGGCAAGGCAGGGTCTCTACGTGGTGGGCTGAGGAGATGGGACACAAGGGGGGATACGAGCAGGAGCCCGCTGCCCTCTGAGGTGCTCAGCTGGCAGTGAGGGAGAGCGAGGGGAGTCAGGGTGGCTTTGTCTTTCCTTCTGGATGGAGACGCTCAATCCTATTTATAGGCAGAGGGGTCAGTGGAAGAGGACTCACAGGTGAAGGAAGGGGAGCACATGGGGACACAGGAGGGGCAGTGCTGGCCTGGAGGGAGATGAGACCAGGTCAGCACAGCCATGCAAGGGGCTGCTTGGCCCCCAGGGCAGCTCCCTGTGAAGGACAATGAGGGGGCGGGGGGGATGCCAAAAACCAGGGCAGAGCAAGCGGCAGATCCATCAGTGCAGCCCGTTGGTTTCACACTCTTTCCAGTGAAGGGTTGGAGGGTGTTGAAGATGAGGAAGGTAGCCCACAGTGGGGGGAGTGGCAGGAGTGGGCTGTGATTGCCACTGAAGGAGGCAAGACAGCAGCTCCTTATTAAGAATGGAAATCATTGTTGAGTGCATCAACGTGGAGATAGCTCGTAGTGGCCCACATAGGGGTGCTGGGATTGATTTTTCCAGATGTGGCCAGTGACCTAGTGTGAGTCAGGGGACAGACTCATGATTGGGGTCTTGCTGGATGGAAGTTGCAAGAAGGGAAGATGGAATAGGAACTTTGGGTCTTGTTTAACTGTCGTTAGTTGGTCAACCAGCTGTCTAAGTTGAGCAGGAAAGTGAGGCCAGGCGGGATAAATGGAGAGGAGGCAGGGCTAAGCCTTGGTGATCTCCACTTGGCCACCTCAGCGGGGACACTGGGGTGTGAGCTTGTTGATGAGCCTAAGTGTCAGGTGGGGACCTGCCGTGAAGAGCAAGTGCGTGCCTGTGGAGCAGAGGTCTGCAGTGCACTCGGGAGTGGACCCGGGCAAGGGGATTTGCAGGAGGATGGGGCATGGGGGTTTGGAACTAGGTGGCTGTTGAACACACCCTAGATAGGTGCAGGTTACTCCTAGAAATTTGTGTGATGAAAGGAACCGTCTTACTATTCTGACCATCCTCAGTATTGGTAATTAATTTGCAATTTGATTTCCTGTATATATATATATATATTATATTATATATAATATATATATATTATATATAATATAATATATATATATTATATATAATATAATATATATATATTATATATAATATAATATATATAAATATATAATATATATATTTTAATTGCCAATCTAATTGCTTACTGTCTCTTAAATCAATACTGTTTTCCCTTCCTCTCTTCTTGAAAGAAATTTATATAGATATATAATTGATAATACATTATATATATATTAGTGATAACTAGAGCTAAGGCTTTGATTTGATAGGTTCGATAACATGCTCAAGGTTGTGGTAAATTTATTATAGAAAAATACTTAGATTTATTTTTGGTAGTGAATTTCTTGCACTAGTGTGTTTAAAAGGAAGATTCAGAAATGAAAACATTTATAAAAGAAGAGAAGGTTACTTGCAAGGAAGCTGCAAGGGAAGTGGTCTTTAGAAGTCTTGCTCAACAAATGAAAAGCATAATGGACATTTAAAGGGAAGAATCCTGCCAGGTGACTGATGATAGCCTGTGTATGTAGTCCATTCATGCTGCAAAAACAACTTTCTCAAATTATTTACCCTGCACAGAAAGGTATGTTTCTTCCAAATTTTAGACATCAGCACTGCAAAAATCAGTTCCTTAGGGAGTCAGCAACTCAAAGCCCAGAGCAAGTCAGTGTGACTTGGTTATGGTGCTGGTTTATTCTTTTTGTTGTTGTTGGTATTGTTGTTCTGACCGTGCCATACAAGGTGTGTGTGCACTCCCAAGGCCAGTGGCGAGACCCCCGAGTTCTGCTTTCCATGGGCTCTGATATCATCTTAGTGGGATAGAACCGTCTATAAATATTTAAAATTATTTTAGGTTCCCTGACTAAAGTGATTCATAAATCTTTAAACACAGATATTGGGAAAACTAATATTACTTGAGGTTTGAGGGTTTTTTGTGCAATTTAATACATTTGATTTACATACTTGTGTCCCTGTCAAGCCTGTGATTCGGTGCACCATTTTGTCTACAGGGTTTTTCATTTAATAATGTGGTGCAGATGGTTATTTTAAAAATTATTAACGTGAAAAAATAGATGGAGAAAAACTTTTGCAAGGATGCAGTCACATTGTAACTTCAGAGAAAACCATTTTTAAAAGTTTCAGACACAGAGAAACCACAATCATAAACATAAGAAAATCTGTTAAACATTCCTTACACAGCAGAAGTGGAGAATTAGCGCTGACTCTTAGGAAGTGTGAGTCAGGCATGGGCCATACGTAGCCTAAGAGGTGATGTAATCATCTTTCCTAGACATTCATGTGCAGTTTAGGTGCCCATATTTTAAAGAGTTTATGGTAGAGAGAATTTGAGGGAGTGCAGAGAAGAAACAAATGAGTTATTTTGGGGAATTAGAACCGTCTCCCCCAATTATAGGACAAATACATTAATTACAGATATTTATTTCAGAAAACAGTAATTGAAGGTCATTGGAAAGGCATTTATTGGAAAGGACCAGCAATGTAAAATTTTTTTGAAGAAGAGATGAAGAGAAAACAGTATTGACTTAAGAGACAGTAAGCAATTAGATTGGCATTGAAAACAGACACCAAAGAAAATTTTGAAATGTTAAAGTAAAGGGAATCGTCTGCTAGAGTCGTGGAGCCTCAGCCGCAGTCCATTCTAAGATTTGTTATAAAGGAGTGGTTCTGATTTAGAAGGAAGACACTACTTTGCAGCTCAGTGGGATACCTTCCATCTATGTATTCCACAAACATTGATGGGACAACTTCTGTGTGCCAGGCAGGCAGCCATGCACTTGGGGACAAGTGTTAGTGAAACAGACGAAACCCCTGCTTCACAGAGATTCAGTCCCAGTGCTGTCGAGAACGATGCCATTTCCCATAGCGGATGTGGAAATTCTAAGCTGTGTTGCACTGTTACTCTAGCAGAGCTGATGACACTGTTGAATCATTTTCATTCTTTTGTCATCAACATCACTCTTCTTGAATTCACATGGGATGTGAACATCGAATTGTCAGACTTGTATAATCTCATGGGATTCAAACATTCTGCCATGCTGAATCAGAATTCTTCCTCGTCCCTCAGACCAATGCCGGAGCATGTGAATTGGAATGCTCATTTATCTTCGGAGTTCCGCAAAGCTTAGTTTCTAGCCAGCGATTGAATTGTGAGGAATTTCAGTATAGGGAAGGTCCTCACCTCTAGTGAGCATTTTTGTGTTAAGATTTCATTTTCTTTGTGTCCCTGTACCTGAAATGGGATGCTGTTAAAAGAGCAGCTGCCAACCAGCTTTACAGACCCCTCAGAATATTCTCTATTATTCAGAAATCCCCATATATATTGCTTAAGACTTGTCTTTGTTAATGACATTTCATATAGACCAAAAGATCTTTATGCCTAGTCTAATTTCATGGACTAGAATGACGAGAATCATTTGTCCTTCTGTGAGCAACTGTGAGGACTTAATTTTCTTAGAAGCTGGAATTTAGAAATGTGTTTGACGTTATTGGGAGCGACAGCTTTTCCATAAGCCTTCGTCTGAGACTGTCTATAGTAAAAACTAAGGTTTTTTGAGGGGGGGGCTCTGTGATTTAAGATTCTAATAGACTTTCTTTTTCTCATGAGTCAGAATGATTTACACACTAAACTTAAGCTTTCTACCTCACAGGTTGCAAACACCAAGAAAGAAACCGTTTTCAAATGGCTCAAGGATGATGTTCTGTATGAAACGGAGACACTGCCTAACCTGGAGAGGGGAATCTGTGAGCTCCTCATCCCAAAGGTATCAGGCATTGAGTAACACAAGAAAGCAAAACAAAAACGGCACTTTCAAATAACTCGTAAATTCTACAATCCTCTAATTTGCATCCTGAATTTCGGTGGTTTGCAAAGAAAATGTATTAGAGTTTATTACGTTTTCTAAGATTGCAGTATTGACTTTACATAAATATGGAATGTGTTTTCTTTGTAGTTGTCAAAGAAGGACCACGGTGAATACAAGGCAACCTTGAAAGATGACAGAGGCCAAGATGTGTCCATCCTTGAAATAGCTGGCAAAGGTAAAAGAAAACCTCCTTTGTTCTGTGAACAAGAAATTCCTTTCACCAACAGGATGGGATGTATTCTGAAGGCAGGTCTATGTCTAGCCTCAGCTATAGCACACATTGTGTCTTTAGCAGTAACACTGTAGAAAAAAACTATTTGTTCTTTGGTTGCTTTCAGAGTTTTTTCAGTGTTTTAGAATAATGTATGATATTACTCTGGGTTTATATGAAACGTCATTTCGGTCCATCATCAGAAGCCAAGCAACGCATTACTAATGCAGTTAAAATGATGGAAACACTGAGGCAGTGATTCAGTTGAATGTAGAGTTGGATTTATGTTGAGTAAAACGTTCTTGATCCTTTTTTAAAAGTGAATAGGTTAGAAGGATTTATCGCACACATAAGTCTTTTATGGATAAATATTGCCATTTTAATGATTCATTTTTCAACTGAACATCACAATTTCCTGCATCGATTTAATTAAACATTGAAAATGCTGCTTTCGGTTAAAGTTACATGTCGTAATGGTGCGTATCCCTTCTCATTTTCAGTGTATGATGATATGATTTTGGCAATGAGTAGAGTCTGTGGTAAGTAAATGCCTTTTAATTTTCAAGTCATTTGGGGTGCTGAAATCACTATTTCCTGACACGGGAAGTCACTGCTGCAAAAGAGGGCACCATGGAGCTGTGGTGCGTGTTCTGTGGGAGGCCCTGGATGGAAGGGCAGGGTGGTGATCTGCTGCCGATGAAGCTTTTTAAAGGACTTCCCTCAGTTTTGTCTGGAGTTTGAGTTTTACTTTAAGAAACTCAGGTTGGGCGTCCTGATTAGCCACTTCTTCCATCCTGTCTTAGGTTAATTGGCATGACTGCTTTGTATATAATTGCTATGAGCAGCTTTTTACATATGTTGAATAGCCGTAATGAATTTTTAAACCTCTCACTTTGCGTCGTACACATTAAACCATATGTTATCTTTACAAATAAATGCCCAGAGGTGGGATTGCTGGATCACATGTCAGTTCAGCTTGTTTTTGGAGGAAACTCCACACTCTTTTCTATAGTGGCTATATTAATTTACATGCCACCAATCATGCACAAGTGTTCCTTTCTCTGCTTGCCAGTGTTTTATCTTTTGTCTTTTTGATAATAGCCATTCTAACAGGTGTGAGATGATATCTCACTGCAGTTTTAATTTGCATTTCCCTGATGATTAGAGATGTTCAGTATTTTTCAAGTATCTGTTGGCCATTTTTCTGTCTTCTTTTGAGAAATATCTGTTCAGATCCTTTGCCCATTTTTAATGGGTTATTTGTTTTTTTCCTGTGGAGTTCAGTTCCTTATGGATTTTGAATATTAGTCCCTTAGCCAATGCATAGCTTGAATATAGTTTCTCCCAATCCATGGGTTCTTTCTTCCTTTTGTCAATTGTTTTCTTTACTGTGCAGAAGCTTTTTAGTTTTGTGCAGTACCATTTATTTACTTTTGCTTTTGTTGCCTGTATTTTTGATGTCCTATCCAAGCGATCACTGCCCAGATCCATGCTGCAAAGCATCTCCCCCACGAGCTTCCTTCCAGCGGCTTCGCAGTTTCAGGTCTTATGTTTAAGTCTTTTATCCAATTTGAGTTGATTTTTCCATGTGGCATAAGTTAAAGCGCCAATTTCACTCTTCTGCATGTGGATATTCAGTGTTTCCAGCACCACTGATTAAAGAGACTGTCTTTCCCTATTGTGTCTTCTTGGCATCTTTGTTGAAAATCAATTGACCATCAATATTTAGTTTCATTTCTGGGCTCTTTATCCTGTTCCATTGGCCGATCTGTCTGTTCTAATGTCAGTGCCATGCTGTTTTGGTTTCTGTAACTATATATTTTGAAATCAGGAGTGCGATGCCTCCAGCTTTGTTCTTTTTCCTAAGGATTGTTTAGGCTATTAGAGGCTTTCCTAGTTGCATACGACTTTTAGGATTATTTTTCCTTTTTTTTTTTTTTTTTTTTTGAGACGGAGTCTTTCCCTGTTGCCAGGCTGTAGTGCAGTGGGTGAATCTCGGCTCACTGCAACCTCCATCTCCTGGGTTCAAGCGATTTTCCTACCTCAGTCTCCAGAGTAGCTGGGACTACAGGCACGCATCACCACACCCAGCTAATTTTTTTGCATTTTTAGTAGAGATGGGGTTTCACCATGCTGGCCAGGATGGTCTCCATTTCCTGACATTGTGATCCGCCCGCCCGCCCACCGAGGCCTCCCTAAGTGCTGGGATTACATGCTTGAGCCACTGTGCCTGGACAAGGATTATTTTTCTATTTCTGTGAAAAACAACATCGAAATTTTGATAAGAATTGCATTCAATCTTTAGATTGCTTTGGGTAGTAAAAATGTGGCTTTACTCTTATACTCATGAAATTATTTTGTGTTAAAATATCTCATAATGTGTCCAAGGGCCACTCATGGATAATAGAACTGACCAGAAGGTCTTGAAGAGTGAGTGTTTATAAGGAAAATGCAAAAAGCAGAGTCCTCACTGTGTGCTTGTCACCTCGAAGCAGAGATGCAGCGGCTGAGGGGACATGCACATTATGTTGGGAGTTGGATAGGGACAGAGGGGACAGGCCCAGAACTTCCCATATCAATAGGGAGCCTTTATTCTCATGGGAAACTGGACGCCATGGGCTGGAGTCTCTCCCTGACATATCAGAATGGAAGAAGTGGAAGGCATGTTGTCAACACACTCACACCCACACACTCACATCCCCACACTCACACAGCAGTCACACACACACGATTTCCCACTCAGACATACACACACACTGACACACACCAGTGTACCCACACCCTACACACTCACACACTCATACATGCACACACTTACATGTGAACTCACACACTGACACACACACTCATACACACACTTACTCATATGGGCACACACTTGTGTAGACTCACACACTGATGCATACAGACTCATACACAGGAGCCCTGGGAGGCTGGGGGAGCATTGGGGGAGGCTGATACAGGCTGGGGAAGCACCGGGAGAGGCTGATGGAGGCTGGGGGAGCACTGAGGGAGGCTGATGGAGGCTGGGTGAGCACTGGGGGAGGCTGATAGAGGCTGGAGGACCACTGGGGGAGGATGGGGGAGTACTAGGAGAGGCTGATGGAGGCTGGGGGAGCACTGGGGGAGGCTGATAAAGTCTGGGGGAGCACTGGGAGAGGTTGATAGAGGCTGGAGGAGCACTGGGGGATGCTGAGGGAGCATTGAGAGAGGCTGATGGAGGCTGGGGGAGCACTGGGGGAGGCAGATAGAGGCTGGAGGAGCACTGGGGGAGGATGGGGAAGCACTGAGAGAGGCTGACGGAGGCTGGGGGAGCACTGGGAGAGGCTGATAGAGGCTGGGGGAGCTGCTTCTGGTCTGTGTGCTTTGCTCTCAGGCTGCTCCGACCCTCCCGTGTTCTGCCTGGTTAGGGTGGTGTTGGTCTCATGAGTCAGTGTCAGGGAATTTGAGCAGAGGGAAGGGGGGTCGGGTGGGGGAATATGGCTCTGCAGTGTGTTGACTTCACCCAGTTCCCAAGCTCTTTTTCAAGTTGTGATTCCTTGAAGGGTGAACTCCTGTCTCCGAGTAGAGGAAACAGAGTCCCACCTGACTGGGGAGGGGAGATGGTGGTCAGGGATCTCTGCCTTACAGATTTTCAATAACCCTCCTGTCTGCAGCCGGCCCAGATGCAGGGACCCTCCAAGTCCTGAGCTCACTCGGTTCCCTGCGCACTTTTTGGCTTTCTTAGCCCCGCACAGTTCCCTAGACCTCATGCCCCTCCCTCCACCTCCAGAAGCTCTGGGGATGGGCTCAAATTCTGTCATTTCCTCCCCTGTTGTCCCTCAGGCTCCTGGGTGGTTTCCTCCTTTGCAGTGGACTAGCGGGGTTTAGGGAGGTGTGGAAGTCCAGGCAGGCAGTACCTCGGCGTGACGCGGTGACGCAGCCGCAGGCAGGCAGTACCTCGGCGTGACGCGGTGACGCAGCCGCAGGCAGGCAGTACCTCGGCGTGACGCGGTGACGCAGCCGCAGGCAGGCAGTACCTCGGCGTGACGCGGTGACGCAGCCGCAGGCAGGCAGTACCTCGGCGTGACGCGGTGACGCAGCCGCAGGCAGGCAGTACCTCGGCGTGACGCGGTGACGCAGCCGCAGGCAGGCAGTACCTCGGCGTGACGCGGTGACGCAGCCGCAGGCAGTACCTCGGCGTGACGCGGTGACGCAGCCGCAGGCAGGCAGTACCTCGGCGTGACGCCATGACGCAGCCGGAGAGAGCTTCACGCACACCATCTCTTCGTTCTTCCTGAACTCTGTCACGGAGGGGGCCTTTGTTTATTTATTTTTGGTTGGTGCTCTTTCTTTCCTCATGTGTATTTAAGGATAAAAGGAAAACAAAGAGCTTCACCATCATAACAGTTTCTATTTTGGTTTCTATTTCTTTACATAGTCGGAGTCACAAATACCGTTCATGTTGTTTTTTTCCCCCACATATTTTATAATTTTCTTTGTTTTATATAGATGTTATATTAACATTCACTTTAAAAAATAATTACTTATTATTTCATGGAACCACATATCATGGTTTAAGCTCTTTTCTATAGAGAAATTAATGAGTTTCCATTATTTTAAATAATTGTACAATGCACACCTTTGGGCAAGCAAAGGCTCTTTCAGGATTTAGGAATATGTTCTTTGAACTCCTAGAAGCACAATAACTATGTAAAAACTAAAAGTAATTTTAAGATTCATAATATAAATTTCAAGTTGCTTCCCAAAATGAAAAAATACTATTTAAAATGCCTCTTTGTTACACTATCCTCCACAACAGTTGGTGATCATCTTGTTTTCCATTATCTGTGCTAATTATGTAAATCTAGTTTTCTAGGTAACTGTATGTGAATGTAAATTTCCAAGGCTGAATATCTGATAACAATCTCTACTTCCAGTTCAGAGCTTCTGCCTTCATCAGTGCTACTTCCTTATCTTCTCCTTTCTGACCTCTGACCCATAGATCATCTACCTCAAGCGAATTAGTCTTCATTTTTATTCCAAGTACACTGTGTGTGTTCTCGTTTATTGCATTTTCTTATTGCCCCTGGGGTTTCTTCTGCTTTCCTTCCTCTGACCCAAGTTTCATTTGTCTTGAAGAACCAGCCGAGGTGCTCCCATCTGCTTGACTCCCACCTGAAAGAGTCCTGCTAAATCTTAACGTCCCTTTTGCAGATTTTCTACGATAGTTCAGCTTGGGGTTAACTCACGTAGCATTTGCCATGCACTGTTGTTATTTTGCCTCCTTTTCTTAAGCAAAGCTGCTGAGGGGCAGATGTTGAATCTTTTTAGACAGTTCTATATCTTTTACAGTATTCTGCAAAGAGCTTTTCAGATAATTCTAGCATGGTAAGAGCTTGTTTAATGAATGGAGACAGCATGGGAATAAAGTATAAGAATTTGTGGCTGGCCGACTTTATGAGAGACACAAGTGAGAACAGGATTGCAGGTGGGGACAGGAGGGCTTGCCGCCGCGATGCTTTCTGTGATCACACAGCAAGCACTCCTTTTCCTAGATCTGAGGATGTTTTATTTTCTGCAGGGAAATCTGCTTCGCCACTGAAGGTACTCTGCACCCCAGAAGGAATACGACTTCAGTGTTTCATGAAGTATTTTACAGACGAAATGAAAGTGAACTGGTGTCACAAGTAAGTATGACAGCAGCCGATGGAGGCCATGCCATAGATGGGGCTGTCCAGGGCGCACAGCTGGGACCAGGCGCTCCCTGGGGAACATCAAGGCACTGCCATTTCCCCTCAAAATTTTATAATTTTGAGCAATGATGACAACCTTTAGCTCAGGGAAGGGGGCCCTCACGGCAGTGGGGAGGACGTGGAAGAAGGAGGCAGAGGAGAAATGCCTGATAGTGTTACAGACAAATTTCTCTAGTGTCTCAGTCACCAAAGGTGGCTTTACTGGTAACACAGATTTTCTCTGGAAGCGAACAGAGAGCTGAAGCAGAACTAATATATAATTTGTAGAAACCAGACTCCAAATTTACAGTCAGTTGGTTTCCCGCTAGACTTGATTAAAAGTACCAAAACAAGCCCAATCATTAAAATTAAAAACAGAAGAAAACAAGACCAAGCCTGAAGACACAGCAAGGTTTTCTGTATTTCATGCTTCTCTGGGTCGGTACGGATCACTGAGAAAACTACCAGAGACTTCTCATGCAACCCATAGCACTGGGCAGGTCCCTGCTGCCCTGCCTCTGGGTTCTGGCTACTTCCCAGGCAAAGCACAAGCCGACATCTGAAACAACCAGGCAAACTGCTGGCTGAATCGAGGAGTCCCCAAAACAGGACTCGCATCAGGGTCACCAACCCCTATAGATATCACCGCAGATAAAAGTGGACTTCAGGTGGGTGGGAAGGACAGACAGAGCAGGGACGGTGGCTTTTTAACGATCTCTTCGCTATCCAAAGGATGACGTGTTCAGGCCAATTATTTGATGGTGTCAAGGCACCCAGATGTTAACGCCCGTCAGTACACTGTACCCAGGGCGCCCACACCCCGCCTTTAGTTAACGCCCCTCAGTACGCTATACCCAGGGCGTCCCCACCGCGCCTTTAGTGAACACCCCTCACTACGCTCTACCCAGGGCGCCCACACCCCGCCTTTAGTTAACGCCCGTCAGTACCGTATACCCAGGGCGCCCACACCCCGCCTTTAGTTAACGCCCGTCAGTACCCTATACCCAGGGCGCCCACACCCCGCCTTTAGTTAACGCCCCTCACTACGCTATACCCAGGGCGCCCACACCCCGCCTTTAGTTAACGCCCCTCACTACGCTATACCCAGGGTGCCCACACCCCGCCTTTAGTTAACGCCCATCAGTACGCTATACCCAGGGCGCCCACACCCTGCCTTTAGATATCATAGTTACCTAATGAATATTTCCAAAGGAAAATCAATGGTTATGACTATTTCACTTTTAATATCACTGGTTTGCTTAGGTGACTGTAAGTAAATTGAAGAGTTGAAAGCATGTATGTTCTTAGCTTTTTTCCTATTTCAATTTTGACATAGTGTGCTTTTTTCTTATAATGGAGTCAGTACATCTGTGCTTGGAATCTCTCACGTCTTTAATTTTACTAGCCTGGTTTATTCAAACTCAAATGGAGTCACTGTAGATCCCATGTTAAGGGATTTGTTAGGAAAGTGTATTGAAGGCAGGGTCTTTTTTTAAAGGACTGTGATAACAGGAGCTTACAGGACTAGAACTCTGGTGAGTTTTGTGATGTAATTGTTTATCGGGATTTATTTTGTGGGACAATGAGTAAATCTATGTTTCTAGCTGAATCAAACCTTCCCCTGGAAAAGGAGAATTAATCATCAGCATCTTTGAGCTTCCTTCTTATTTACAGCATATTGTCTTGCTGTAAGTTGTACACACTTGCAATGTGTGTCCTGCCATCCGTCATAAACACGTTCATCTTCTGGGAAAGGCCACCCCCCTCTTCAGCCTTGTGTGGTTTGTAGTACAGGCCATGCGCTGTGCTGGGTCTGGGGGGTACAGAGATTAAACACACACCCACACACAGGATTAAACACACGCCCTGTGGATGTGTGTGACCACACAGGAAGTGTGTGTAGATGTAGGTCATGTTAGTGTTAGCAAGCAGGTACTTTGTGTTACACGTTCAACACATGTTATTTTTATCTAATCCTCACAAATACCCTGTGAGTTAGGTATTTATACCCACATTTTATAGATGTGGAAACTGGGGTTCAGGGAGAGAAACATGTCATTTTGTCAGTCACGCCCCTACTAAGTGAAAGAGCAGGGATTTGAACGCTGGCTGGTCTGGTTCTCATCAGTGCTCTCCCGAGAAGCTCCAAGCCCAGTGAAGAGGGTGGGTCCTAGATAGGCAGGCAGATCGGGGCACAGCTCATGCATCTGACTCATCAGTGACCATGGATCAGAAGAAAGCATCCCTAGATACAAAAAGAGAAGGAGGTGTTATTGTAAATCCCACAGACTTGTAAAAGTAACATTATTTCTATGTTTTATCTTCCCCAAACAAATTCATTATACAACAAAACAGGCATTTCTTTCTTTTTTTTTTTTTTTTTGAGACAGAATCTCACTCTGTCACCCAGGCTGGAGTGCAGTGGTGCGATCTCGGCTCACTGCAAGCTCAGCCTCCCAGGTTCACGCCATTCTCCTGCCTCAGCCTCCCAAGTAGCTGGGACTACAGGCGCCCACCACCACGCCTGGCTAATTTTTTGTATTTTTAGTAGAGATGGGGTTTCACCGTGTTAGCCAGGATGGCCTCAATCTCCTGACCTCGTGATCCACCCACCTGGGCCTCCCAAAATGCTGGGATTACAGGCGTGAGCTACCGCAGCCGGCCAATAGGCATTTCTTTAACACCTTTATAACTAAACTATAAGACCTTAACTTCTTACTATTTGACTATTAAACAACATGAAACTATATTAGGTAGTCATCATGTATGATTGTAATTCACTTCTTGATGACTAAATGCGTTCTTATTAGATAGCAACTGGAAAAAAAGAATAATAAGAAAATTAGTTGGAAAATTTGTTGCAATATACTTTAGCCATTTGAGGCTAAATAATCCACTTCACAAAACCTATGAAGCCAGGGAGTGGAGCTGCCAAAGACTGGTGCTGTGGGTCCTGGAATATTTTGTGTTAATGGGTGACATGGAATCAATAGAGTGCTATGAGAATTTTGTGAAATGCGGACATAAGCAAAGACAATTGTTCTTTAGTTAAAAATGCTGAGTAATACATCAGAGGCTATAGAACATGTCACTTTAAGGGAATGTTAGAAACTTATTCAGCGTGAGTTAGAAGCAGGCAAAGAGGAATTCAGTAAAAATGTTCTTAAGAGAAAAGATTTTGTTCTCTTACTGAAAGGTGAGATTAATATATCATCTAGACATGGCTAGATCTCAAAGTCTGAACATATTGACCACTGAAGTCTTGGAAGTATCTCAGAAACTAAAGAAATTGCAGTCTCTCTTTCTCTCTCTCTCTCTCTTTTTTTGAGACAGAGTCTTGCTCTGTCACCCGGGCTGGAGAGCAGTGGTGCCATTCTAGCTCACTGTAGCCCTGATCTCCTGGGATCAAGGAATCCTCTTGCCTTGGCCACCTCACATGCCTCACAGTGTCTTTATGGCATACAAAGAAGTGCATGCTTCAAACTCCAAATGTGTATTTTAATTCATTTCAGGAGATTTCACACGCAGAGTCTGACTTTGTAAATGCTCTCCTAAAATCTCAGCTAACTCTTGAACTAACTGGGAGGAGAGGTGGCTGCCTGACACCCCAGACACCTTCCCCGGCACATCTTCGTCCTTATGTCCACAGGGTGGGAGGGGCCGTGGCTGGCCATGTCTACAGTGGGAAGGGCTGGGGCGGTGACGGGACGTTCCCTTTGTCCTGGTCGTGGCTTTAGCCGATGTGTGTTGTGCCTTGCGGTCCTGGCCTGTGGCAGCTGCAGGGGTGGGAGCTCCAGGTATGTGCAGTCCCCTCTCAGAAAGCACAGGGTGTTTCCAGTTCTCTGCATGTGTTCTGATGTTCACTATTTAGACAGCAGTAGCAAAAGGCTGCTGGGTATGTTAAGGTCCCCTCAGGCTGTCCCATCTTGTGGGGCTCTTCCCAAAGGAGGTCTGCATTCCTCAACACTGTCCTCTCCAGCCTAGAAGCAAGTATTTCCTAGCTTTTGGGAATTTCTCCCTTTTATCTACATTTCCCTTCAAAAGGGGAGCAAGATCTAGGTGGAGTTGACTTGAATTTTGGACCACACTGAGAAGAGCTCAGACACCACAGCGCTATTGAAACCTTCAGTGGACTTGACGGAACCACTGCCTCGGAGGCGCCGGCTCTGTTCTTGTGCTTCCATCTACCTGCCTCCGACAGAGTCGGAGTGTTGCTCTGTCACCCAGGCTGGAGTGCAGTGGCATGATCTTTGCTCACTGCAACCTCTGCCTCCTGGGTTCAAGTGATTCTCCCACCTCAGCCTCCAGAGTAGCTGGGTTTACAGGCATGCGCCACCACGCCTGGCTAATTTTTGTATATTTAGTAGAGATGGGGTTTCACCATGTTGGCCAGGCCGGTCTCGAACTCCTGACCTCAGGTGATCCACCTGCCTCGGCCTCCCAAAGTGCTGGGATTACAGGTGTGAGCCACAGTGTCTGGTCTGTCAGTCATTGATCTCAGACTTAGTTTTTAGATTTTTACACTTGTGTTACTTCCAGCCATTTATTTTATTGTATATAATATTCAGTTACAAATTTATAATATTTCTAAATCGTTCACTGTGAAATAATTTTAGACTCATAGAAAAGTTGAGAAGAAAGTAAGGAGTTCCCTTACATCCTCCACCCTCTTCCCCTGAGGTTAACGTCTTGTGTAGCCACCTCCACCCTCTTCCCCTGAGGTTAACGCCTTGTGTAGCCACCTCCACCGTCTTCCCCTGAGGTTAGTGTATTGTGTACCCACCTTATAACCATCAAAACCAGGCGCTGAATGATGATGTAATACTATTAACTCTGCTACAGACCAATTCAGATTGCACCTTTTTTTCCAGGAACGCCCTTTTGCATGTTCCTGTGTTGAATCTCAGGTCCCATGTTGTGATTAGGTGTCCTGGCTCCTGGTTTCCCCCCTGTCTAGGACAGTTCTTCAGGCTCTCCTCGTCTCTCTCGGCCTGGGTGCCTTGAAGCCTTCTGTCAGTCACTCGGAAGCACGCCCCTCTGTCTGGGTTTATCTGGTGTTTCCCATGATTGGGTTGGTGACTCCGTTTTAGCTGGAATACAACAAAAGCCATGCTGATACCTGATCACTGGGTTAAGGCAATGTCTGCCCCGTCTCTTCCTGGGAACGTTATTATTTTTCTCTTGGTAATTAGTAAATACTTCAGGACTTGGCAAGTCTCTTGTCCCTCCGCAGACCTGTGTGCTGGGATTTGAGGTTCAGCAGTGAATCTGGCCTTCAGCACTGATTTCTGAGGGGCTGAAGTTCCCTTTTCCTTTTACATTTGTTCTGCTGGGAGGCGCTGGCCTCTCCTCTGTGCATCTCCTCATTCAGCTGCTTGGCTGTATCCGTTTGGACTCAGGGATGCTGACTTTGTTCTGTGAGCTGTTACTTTGCTCAAATTGTTCCAGCTCTGGCCCTTGGGAGCTCCTTCCGGTTGTCGCCTGCTTTTTCCAGTGTGTGTGCCTGCATCTTCTTAGGAGCAATGCCTTATTTTCTGGGCCCGTAAAACATTCCCAACTCATCTCATATCTTCTGCCCCATTGCTACAATCCCAGAAGTCCTGGCTCCTGGACAAAGGTTGGCATCAGAGACTATCGATGTCTCAGGGAGCCGCGGGTCTTACATGCTCTGGAGACAGGACTGGGTGATGTGTGAGTGCACACGGAGGCACACACTCGCTCATCCGTGTCCACTTCTGCATCTCACCGTCTGTGTACTAGAATCTGATTGGATCCCAGCCCAACTCCACAGCCTTCATTCAAGCCTTGTTCCTTTCCTGAGCTGTAAAGCCTGGCTCTCACCTACTGTTGTTGTTGTTTTTTGTTTTGTTTTGTTTTCAGTCCTAGTATTTACATCAAGCAGTTTCAGAATTAGTAACTCATATCTCTGTGAGAAACAAATGTGCATACTAGAGTTCAGTGTTTCCTACAATTAATTCCTTTCATCTTTAGCCATACAGTATCAAATCAAAATATTGCTTTCCAAAGTTACTTTATGTCTTTACGTTCTGGGTGGTAAGCAATTCATTTGCAACATAGTTATGTTCATTTGTTACTGTTCGTATTTTGTTTTGGGTTCCCCTTGCTTTCAGGTTGGTGTTCCTCATTTGTTTTGGGAAATGTGAAAGGCAGTGTGGTTGTAAGAGTCTGAGCTACAGAACTGGAGCCCAGACCTTCTCTCCTCCTCCCTGCTCACCTGCCCCCGCCCCTTACCTGTCTCCTTCCTACCTACCCCGTCACAGTTGACCATCCTGCTGGTTGCTTTAGCACGAAGGAGCAGAAACGTGTGCTTTCTTCTATCCTCCACTGTCTTATATTAATGTGAACCATTTTAACTTTAGTTTGGAATGAAGGAATTTGGTCATGTTTTGTAATCAAGTAATACGAAGAAGAGGTTTTGTCATATTTGGCCCATTTATGTCTCTAAACAACAATAATAATAATTTTAATATCCCTATATGTCCAAGTCATTGTCTAGGTAAGGCAACAGTTATAATTAATTCAGCGACTAGATAGTCAAAGAAATTAACAGCTATTTTTGAGCACTAGGACGTGTTTGGCCCTCTTATAAGTTGCTCATTCAGGGGAAGCCAAATGAGTGGGCGTGGGGTCTAGGGTGAGACCCTGAAGCTGGGAGTGGGAAGCTGGAAACCAGCATTTGCCCTCAAGGTGAGCAGCCAGGGTTGCAGACGCAGGGACAGCGGGAGCCTCTGCTGGAAGCTCTGCTAATGGCTGTCCATGTTCTGTGTGTGGCTTTGTCTGAGTCGTATCGAGGGAACAGAATTAGAACCCAGTCCAAGAGAAGTGTGTGTGATGCAAGAGAAGCTGGGGTCAGAACGCCAACATGGGCAGCTCGAGGCTGGGATTGGGGTTGAAGGTGGCTGCTGATCCCCGGCTCATGGCTACCTTTGTGCAGCTGCAGCCCAGGGAAGGGTAGCGTCCCAGCTGCAGGCTGTGGGGTCCTGGCTCAGGGCATCTTGCATGCATGCATGTGTTTACCCTGATCCCAGGGTGGCAGCGGAGGCCGCAGCTGTGACGGAGGTGGGGCCAGAAGCATGTGGGGTGCCAGAAGTGCACCAAGTGGGCCAGTGTGTGATTTGGTGTCCAGTGGACACCATTCCTTCATTACAGTGGTTTTTACCCTTCGTCACTGGCTGAGATTTGGGTTCAAGTGTTCTTCCCCCAGATTGTGTGGCTGTTGTAAAGAATCTCTCGCTGAAGTAGAGGGTCACTTTTTAAAAGTGAAACTTGAATGATAAGTCACTCCAAAGGCCTAGGGCCGTCAGCATGAGGCCAGTGAAGCAATTGTGTGCAGTGGGGCCCTTATCTCCACTGCTGCCCAGCCGGTGTGTCCAATTACACCAAAGTCAGGAGGCCGGTGGGACACATTTACAGCTATTTTATGAATGATCGCGTGAAGGTGTACCTTTTTCCCTTGTCACCTATATCAAAATAAAATTATGTTTCTTTTTCTGTAAGCAAGTTGCTAATTGTGTGAGTAGAATGGATCACCACTGGAATGGAACGTAGTCCAGCAGAACATAAACGCCGCAAAGGCTAAAACGCTGCCACTTCATGAAGCATTTGCAGCGCAACTTTCGTGGCCCAGTGAATTTCACCTGTTGGACAAAGCTGTGGCTGATACGGTGGAAACTCCACTAGCTTTTCTTCATGGCTCTAAGTCTAAACAGTGAGATTTTGGGGCTGTTTGCAATTTTACCCCACGGAAGAATTTCTAGTCTCTCTCTCTTTCTCACACACACACATATACACACACAGAGCAGAGGTTTGAACATCTTCGTCTATACATCTAGGATGCAATAGTTTTGGCACATAATTTAGCTCTTTGAAGAAGACACATTTGAGTTAATGGTGATCAAGAAAACATTGTCTTCTCCCTAACACCCACGTGATGTGTGGGAGGATGAGCTCACACAGGGTGATGAGCTCACACAGGGTGGCAGCGATTGTTGCGTCCTCTTGGTGAGACTGACCAGCGACAGCACGAACAGAGCATTTCGTGCAGGATGCAAGACACCAGGCATGACAAAAATCGTCCCCTTCTTTGCAAGCGGGGAGCTCATCACAAATCCCCAAGCAGTATCCAGGCTTTGCAGGGCAGGGAAGCAGGGTGGGGCCAGGCAGGACTGAGGGCCTTACTGATGTGTGGAGGTTCAGGCTGGAATCCTGTCCCACGGGTCTGTGTGTGTGCAGGAAGCACACATAGCCAAGTTGGCTGTGCCTGGTTGTGTGTGTGTGTGTGTGCATTTGTTTGAACTTTGACCCTCATCAGTTCCAACAAGAGAGGGTGACAAGATGACTAAGGCCTATCAGTGTTGGCAAAACAAGTTTTTCTGACTCTCAACAGAAGAGTTCCACATGCTTGTTGAACCCTGTTTCCTTGGATGGGGTACATTTAGTCAATAAACGATTACAGTGGGCCCAGTTCCCCACTGATCTGCAATTTCTGATTTGCTGATTGGTCTGTAAAGTGTCCAGTTGTAAGTGCATCCAGGGGGATAAAGAAGTCTTTCTTAATCAAGCTGTGATGTCCCTACAGTGTGTCAGTGTCTCTTTGCCTTCAGGTCTCTGCACAGACGGGCTTCTTGCTGCTCCTCACACGCCACGGTTTGGGATTGAGTGGCTAATCCACTGCCTGGTATATGTTCTGTGCAAGGTTTTTCTTTTCTGCAGAGCTGAGAATCACCATGTAAAGTCTAATTTTCCTTTTATACACAGGGATGAGTAGGTCTGAGTGCTGCAATGGCCCATCAATCCCTTTAGTAATAGCGACCTGCTGTGAGCTCACAGGACGGCTGGTGTGGCCACTGATGCTCACCTGCCCTCAGACACACCACGGATGGAGACTCTGGCAAGTCCGTGTTGCCTTTAATGTAAGCGCCAGCCTGCAGCTTGCAAACATGGCACTCTCGGCCCGGCCGGCTCTGGCTGCTGAGTGCTGGGGCCTGGGGTCATGGCCTCATCGCTTCTCCTTCCCTCTCCTGCTCCCCAGGCAGCCCATGCTGACTGTGGACTGAGAGCAGCTGGGCGGAGCCTGGGGCTCTGCTGCGGGGTCAGCCTTCGTGAGGCTCCCAGGTCAGCAACGTATAGAATTCCAGATGCGGGACTGAGAGATTCCTGAAGGATTGCCTGGTCCGATTCTCCCGCCTCTTTCCGGGGAGGGGCAGCTTATGGGAAAAGGGAGCTAATTAACATATTGTGAAGGGCTAAAGGGGTCACTTTTACATTATGTGCATTCTAACACAGTTTTTAAAAGTTTAGATAGAACCAAAGTGCTCACACTGCCCTGCCTTCTAAGGCGGCACGAACTCGCTCCCACATCGGCAACAGGTGAGGCCAACCTGATTATTGTAGACAAATGTGTGTCAGTTATGTTCCAAAGTCGCTTCAGTAGATGTTGAGCATGTCTTCTTGGATTCTAAAACAACCGCACATGGGCAGTGTTAGATCCTCCCTTCTCTGTCCGGGATCCCAGAGGCTAAGTCTCAGGGTGAAGCCAATCCCACAAAACCATCCCTGGGAACAGCCATTTCGGCCTCTCTGGCTTAGTGTGCGCCAGGATCCCACTGTGCCTTCACAGAACTCCCACTTTCTATCCGGACAGACTCAGTTCCGACACACACTGCCAGCACCACCACCAGAGACCCGACACACACTGCCAGCACCACCACCAGAGACCCGACACACACTGCCAGCACCACCACCAGAGACCGGGACGCAGAGCCAAGCATTTATTTTTACATATATACTTTTTGAGACAGTGTCTCGCTCTGTTGGCCAGGCCGGAGTGCGGTGGTGTGATCACAGCTCACTGCAGCCTTGACCTCCTCGGGCTCAGGCAGTCCTCCTGCTTCAGCCTCCTGAGTAGCTGAGACTACAGGTGCTTGCCACCACACCCGGCTAATTTTTTTATTTTTGTTGAGACAGGGTCTTGCTTTGTTTTCCAGGCTGGTCTCCAACTCCTGGGCTCATGTGTTCCTCCTGCCTTCGCTTCCCAAAGTGCTGGGGTTACAGGTGTGAGCCACCACACCCGGCCTGAGCTGTGCATTTATTATGGGCTTAACATATATTTGTTGAAGGAAAGAATAACAGAGAAAAAGGCTATGATGGTGAGGAGGGCTGGAGAATTCCCTTTCCCGATGGAACATAGGCATTCTTGGTTGCCGGCAAGGGTAAGGAAAGATGCCACAAGCACCACAGCTGGCTCTCTGTGCAACTGACCCAGCCTGCTTCCCCAAGCTGCGGCTGTTCTGGAGCTGGTGCCCGAGAGAAACAGGTCCACATTCCAGCTCTTGGGTGGCCCTGGAGTCCGTCCTGTTTTCATGCACCTGTGACTATGACTTCCACAGATCTCTCAGGCTCCCTCTAAACTGAAGTAATGTTAGGAAATAACTTATACACTTTTGTCTGCAGTAAACAGTTTGGCCTTATATGTTGCAGATGTGGAACCTTAGAAGGCGGGAATGTATGAGCACCTTGTTTTTATCTAAACTTTAAAATATTGTAGCATAATACACATAATGTAAAAGTGAGCATTTTAACCACCTTTAAGGGTACTGTTCAGTGGTGTTAAGTACATTCACATCATCGTGCAGGCACCACCACCACCCAGGACCTTTTCATCCTCCCACCCGAAACTCTGTTCCCATTAAACCCTCAGTCCCCATTCCCCTCCCCCAGCCCCTGGTACCCACAGTTCTACTTCCTGTCTCTGTGAATCTGACTACCCTAAGCCCTTCATAGGAGTACATATTTGTCTCTTTGTGACAGGCTTATTTTACTCAGCAAAATGTCCTCAGGGTTCATGCACATTGCAGGAGGTGTTGGGATTTCCCTCATGTATTTATGGACCACATTCTACTGATCCATTCATCACCAATGGACGCTTGGGCTGCCTCCCCACCGGGGCGGTCGTGAACGATGCTACGAAGGATGTAGGTGTGACAATATCTCTCCAAGACCCCGTGTCCAATTCTTCGGATCTACACAAGTGCGATTGCTGGATCATGTAGTAGTTCTAGCTTTAATTTTTTGAGGAACTACCATACTATATAGAGTAATGTTAAGTCCATTATGTCGTGACAAGTATATATTACATAATAATATACCTTTAAAAATTAAGTATCATTTAATTTTAGAAAGTTTTCAGATCTGAGTTACTGATGTGGTCAATACATTCGTAACAGCCAGAATAATCTATTGTGACATTGGCATCAGCAGCTTAGAGAAGGCTGTCACAGCAACGGGACATTGCCCTGTAGACATTGTGCGTGTGACATGGAGACCCTAACTCAGATACGTTCCTGTTGCTCTTTTCAAGAGATGCTAAGATCTCATCCAGTGAGCATATGAGAATCGGGGGGAGTGAAGAGATGGCTTGGCTGCAGATATGTGAGCCGACTGAGAAGGATAAAGGAAAATACACTTTTGAGATTTTCGATGGCAAAGACAACCATCAACGCTCCCTTGACCTGTCCGGACAAGGTAAGAGAATTCTTCTTTAGCATTTAATAATTTCCTATTTAGAAATCCATTTAGATGCTGAAGGGAGGGAATACAATATGAATACAGGAGACAATATGAATTTACAATTTTCATTTAGAGAAAATGAAAAAATAAATTTATTCTTTTTTTATATATCAGTTTTCATGAACCAGATTCACTGGTATAATATTTGAGTGAATAAATAAAATCTGAACACTGAAATGGTTAGTAACGTATGAACTATTTCCTCACAGCTTTTGATGAAGCATTTGCAGAATTCCAGCAATTCAAGTAAGATTTGTGTATTTAGTTACTATGATATCCTGTGGGCAGTTGAGTCCCAGTCGTTTTGGCTGCATGTGGGAATCTGTATGGAAGCCTGGGTGACCTAAAGAAAGAGCCATTCCTGGGACAGAAGTGGGAATTTAAGCAATGCAGTATATGGAGGGGTGGGCATTCTCCTAAACCAGAAATGCATTTATAAACGGACTGTCCAGAGTCATCGGAACCCCGGATGAATTTCGGAAATCATTATTGTGAGAGTTGAAGAAAGAGAAAAGAAACACGCAAAGCAGATTAACAGTCAAAGACAGGTTTATTTTGGAGAATAAACCTGAGTGGGGCTTTTGGCCGATTTCGGTCAGGAGCGCTTTCTTTTACAGACTAAGGGTATTTAAGGGTTCTGGCTCAGGCTAGGAAGGTTTCTGTGTGGAGGAGAGTTTTATTGTGAGGTTGGAATACCTCTGGTTGGAGGGGAGCTTATCTCAGGGTTGGAATGTTTTTGATTGGAGGGCAGGTTATGCCAGGGTTGGTATGTTTCTGGTCGGAGGTGTCATTTGTGGTTTATGGCCATGCTGACATTAGCCCTTAAGCTGATGTTTTTGGGCTGGACTTAGGCGGTTTCTAATCAAGGAAGACTTAAAATGGCGATGCTAGTCCAAGATGGCGGTGCTGCTGCTCTGCCAGTCATCATCAGGGCAGCACATCACACACAGCAACTTTTTAAGGACAATTCGGGGTTTTCAAATGCACCATCGAGTCTTCGCACATCCGAAGCTGACCGCAGTCCTTGGCCCATGCTAGCTTATTTAATGAACATTTGTTGACTGGGTGCAGGGATGAGCAAGATAGATCAGAAACTGACAAATTCCGAAAATATCTCAAGTCTCCAGTGCAATCTAGTGAATTTGTGAAAAAAAAAAAAAAATCTCTTCAACCTGTGAGCTGGAATGCTAAACTTTTCTGTGGGTTTTAGCATCTGGATAATAGGGCATTTTCCACCTCAAAATGGGCAGTGGGAACCATCAGGAAAAATCAGTGATATCCATCCTGGGGTCCTGTGACCCGAACATGTTCTTCTAAGAGAATGCAAACGTATCTCCTTCTTCTTTTGCTTCATCGCTAGTGAGCCTCTCAGCTGTGCATTTTGTTGGAAGCATTTTCTCATACTCTCTTTTCATTCTCTCCTTTCTGTCCCCTTTAACTTTTAGAGCTGCTGCTTTTGCAGAGAAGAGTAAGTACCTGTTGGATTGTAACCAGGATGGTGAATTATTTGGGGTGGGGCAAAAGTGTCCATATTTTGGAGGACCAACTTTGTGTATTAAATAATAACCAGCAATCCCCCACCCTGATGTAACAACGCCACCAACACCACACCCTGTCCTGGAGCCCCATGTCCTGCACCACTGATCCTTGCACTGCTTTCGGCCTTAGCCCCGTCACCCCTTGGACACCCTCCCTCCCTCCTCCCTTGCAGAACCTGCAGCCCAGACACCCAGGGCCACTTCACTTTCTTTCCCTCCCTTCCTCCCTCCCCTCCCCTTCCCTCCCTCCCTCCCTCCCTCCCTTCCTCCCTTCCTCCCTCCCTCCCTTTATTCTTTTTTTTTTTTTGACAGAGTCTTGCTCTGTCACCCAGGCTGGAGTGCAATGGCATGATCTCGGCCCATTGCAACCTCTGCCTTCTGGGTTCAAGCGATTCTCCTGCCTCAACTTCCCGAGTAGCTGGGATTACAGGCACCCGCCATCATGCCCGGCTAATTTTTGTATTTTTAGTAGAGACAGGGTTTCATCATGTTGGCCAGGCTGGTCTCTAACTCCTGACCTCAGATGATCTGCCCGCCTTGGCCTCCCAAAGTGTTGGGATTACAGGCGTGAGCCACTGCGCCTGGCCAGGACCCCGTCACTTTCTGCCCAACTCAGGGACACACGCGGCTCTCCAGGCCTTCCGTCCTCGGTGAATTCTTCACCCTTCAAGCCCAGTTCCCATCTCACATTTCCTCTGGAGTGTTTCTCCCCCAACCCCTTCACAGAGTCTGTTATCTCCTCATCTACCTTCCCTTGGCTTTGGTTTATCCCTCAACTGTAAACATATAAATCTTTTTCTTTGATGCTCGCTCTCTCCTGAGCATAAACTCCTCACCACATTCACCTTGGTACCCACTGCTGCTTACATGGCTCCTGCTCCGTGGGAACGTCCCGCAGATGTTTTCCTAACCAAGGTGCTTTCCCGTTGCAGATCGTGGCAGGTTGATCGGCGGCTTGCCTGACGTGGTGACCATCATGGAAGGGAAGGTGAGGATTCTAAACTCGGCCGGGGTGGGGGTGTCAGCACGGTGCGATGGACGCAACCCCTTCTCTTGGGGCGGAGCAGAGGGAACCCAGTGAGGGGCTTCTGTGTCCTCACTCAGCCTGCAGGGAACCCAGAGTCCCCCCCACTTTTCTGCCCCTCCTAGACGGCTTGGAATAGCCCCTGTATTCTCAAAGGAAGGAATCACATAACATTCCGAATCCACAAACCTGTGTTCAGAGGAACACGTTGTGCCACTCAGGCACCTCAAGGCAAGTGCTGTGGCTTTGGGTGTTTCTATGCCCCTGTGGCCATTCACCCAGAGGAGCAACTGCAGGATGAGGCAGCCACACTCGCCCTGACCTACCTGCGTGTGTGAAGGTGCAAGCCCCCTGCTTCCAGTGTGAAACAGCACAGCTTTTACAACACGAAGGAAAAAAAAATCTCTGCTCCTATTCTCAAGGTCATTGTGGAACACATCGTGGAAGCCACTTATTGGAGTTTAATTTGTTGCCTGTCGGGAGAATTATTGATATCTAATTGATAGCTGTCTGGTTGCTTCAGTGGGTCTAACTCAATGTCACAGGGACAGAGATACTTGAGAAAATTTTATTAGCCCAAAAGACAAAAATTTATAGACGTCTTCTTTAGTAGCTAATGGAAGCCTAGAGAGCTCTTGAGATCTCATCTTAAGGATGTAATTGAGAAATTAGCAATCGTTTTACTTTATCCTAGGCTGAAAGCATGTTTTAACTAAGCTTCAAGAATGCATTTTTTTGCCTCCAATTTACCAGTTATAAAACGATATATTCAATGGGTTTGCCAGAGGAACTGGTAAGAGGGATCCATAACTCTAAATAGAAAGGAAATTTGGGAGCAGACTGGATATATCTACTATAAAACATAGAGCTTAATTAAATTACTTTCAAATTCT
Organism: Homo sapiens; assembly: GCF_000001405.40. Lineage (NCBI taxonomy): Eukaryota > Metazoa > Chordata > Mammalia > Primates > Hominidae > Homo > Homo sapiens. Next base: position 327,520 of record NT_187576.1, read on the forward strand.
TTAATTGACTTAGGCTATGGATAAAAGCTAAGAATAAATAGGACACATGCTCACTGATTTTTTTACGAGCTCGCCTGTGAAGTGGTGAACCTGTTCCCTGCTGTCCTCTGCCTGCTCTGTCCAGAGCGGCGCTCATGTACATAAAGGCTTGTTTCTAAACAAACGATTGAAGGACCAATAAATGTAACTGAGTGTGACCTGGAGCCCACCGTCCGAGGGGGTGACATGACTTTCCTTTTTCTAACTCTTCCTTCTCCACCAACCTCTTCCGTCCAAAGACCTTGAATCTGACCTGCACGGTGTTTGGAAACCCTGACCCCGAAGTGATTTGGTTCAAGAACGACCAGGACATCCAGCTCAGCGAGCACTTCTCGGTGAAGGTGGAGCAGGCCAAGTACGTCAGCATGACCATCAAAGGCGTGACCTCCGAGGACTCGGGCAAGTACAGCATCAACATCAAGAATAAGTATGGCGGGGAGAAGATCGACGTGACAGTGAGCGTGTACAAACACGGGGAGAAGATCCCGGACATGGCCCCGCCCCAGCAAGCCAAGCCCAAGCTCATCCCCGCGTCTGCCTCAGCGGCAGGCCAGTGAAGGCGTTTTCCTAGCCTGGAGATGGGAAAATATGCTTGGCAGAGACAGGAATGCTGTGTGCTTGTTCCAAATGAGCAGCTGGCATCCGAGTGGTGTCCTGTGTGGGCTGATAGTTGATCACACATTGTGCTTTTGATTTTTGCATTTGGTGATGAATATTTTATACCCGTCTAAGGGAGAAAGCTAATGTTTTCCACAAGACTGAACAACGTGTATTTACACGAGGGTAGACGGCAGATGCCTGACAGAGAGTGGGTTGGCAGACAACACACTAGCATTTTCACGGGTGTGGGCACATGGGTGTGGCACCTGGACGTGTGCAGCATGTGGCGGTCTGTGTGAAGCCACCGTGCTTCTCTTTGGGGGGCCGCGAGATCTAGCATCTCTGAAATCCTGGCTGTCGAGGCTTTGAAGCATGTGTTACCTGGTTAAGCTTGTTTTCTCTTGCTTTAGGCAAATAAAAGTTTAAAAATCACCTTGTTGTGGTTTTCCTGTACCAAATCACACCTACCTGCCCCTGCTCACCCCCTGGCTTGTTTAATTATGGGTTATCATGCACTTTCACGGCTGGTGGGGTGCAGATAGTGCACTCACCCTCCAGAGAGCAGGGCATGGTGAATCACACCCCCAAAGCCCCTCCGACCCACGGGGCTGGGCTGCTGGCCCCCAGCGGCACCCAAGACGGCACCAGTCCTAAGAAGTGTGCGTTTTGTGCAAGGCTTAGAAAGGCCACCTAGTGATTATACCACGGATCTAAAAGTCTCTGTAGAGGAAAATGAAATGCAAAGATGGCTCTGTTCTTTTTTAGTGTGCTAATGAATTAGGAAGGGATTTCAAAAGAAAGAAGGCACTCATTCAGAATGATCACTGCAGTAGCCATGGAGGAAAAATAAAAACTTGGCTGCCTACACAAGGCCTCTTGGTGAAGTTAAAAAACGTGTTTAGGAGGAACATACCCTCTCTTTGAACTTTTTCCTCCTTTGTTTGGAAAGAGGCTGAAATTCTTCTGGCATAAAAATCCCATTTCAATATTTTAGTTTTATTGTTGCTTTATAACAGAAAAAGCTTTGATAATTAAGAATGTTTTACCTTTCTGTGTCATTAAGGGCAATCCAAATTTTACGAGAATTTGTTATATTTTTCTAAGGTAATAATACAAATCCTGAGAATTAAATATGTCCCCAGTAACATAAAGCTGGCTGAGCTGGTTTCCATGGCAGTAAAGTGAGTATCAGCAAGAATTTTATTTTTGTTATTTCTCCCTTTTCTGTCGTGCAGATGAACTTGAGCGGAGTTTGTTCTTATTGCGTGGTGGCAGCCGCATTTTCCAAAGCGTGCTTGGCAAGGGTAGGCGCAGACAGTCTCAGTTTGACCTTGATTTAGTTAAACAGATTTTGTTTATTTTCCAGTTTAAACAGTCATTTTTGTTTAGCAATCGTGGTTCATGGGAAATAATTCAAATGGTTGTGAATTTCTTGAAGCCATATATACTATTTTTAATAGACCTCCTTTTTGAGCAGTTTTAGGTTCACAGCAAAGTTAAAAGGAAGGTAGAGATCTCCACTCCAACCCCTACCCCCACCACAGCTTCCCCCGCTACCAACACCTCCCACCAGAGGGATGTGCTTGTTACAACCGCTGCACCCACACTGACACGTCACCATCCTCGCAGGCTGGAGTTTACCCTGGGCTCGCTTCTGGCGCTTGTTACAACTGCTGCACCCACACTGAAGCGTCAGCATTGCCGGGGGCTGGAGTTTACCCTGGGCACACTCCTGGTGCTGTTGGCTCTGTGGGTTTGGTCGGGTGATCAGGACTCAGGTCCACCATTGTAGCATCATGCACAGTCTTTTCTCTGCCCTAAAAATCTTCCCTTCAACCACTGAGCATTTTACTGCCTCCATAGTTTTGAGTTATAATATTTTTTAAAAGACTTTTTTTTTAAAAGAATGAAATAGTCTTAGACATGCAGTAAAGTGTCTTTACAACGGCGCAGAGAGCCCAGTGGACTCCACAGTCTTCCTGTTGTTCACGTCTCGCGTTGCTGTGGGGCGAGACGATGGCCTCACCTCCAGGTGGCCTTCAGACCTTGCTGGGTTCCCCCAATGCCCTCTCTCTGTCCCAGGACCCATCGAGGACACCAGATGAATTTGCTGTTCACGTCTCCCAGCCCCTCCGTCCTGCGATGGTTTCTGTCTGTCCTTGCCTTTCATGACCTTAGTGGCTTTGAGGAGTTTTGCTGGTTATCTTGTAGGATGTTCCCCAATCCAGGTCCCCAGTCCAGGGAAGACGATCTTCGTGTGATGAGACTGGGGATGTGTGCTTTTGGGAAGAGGAGTCACGTGGGGTGCCCGACATCCGCTAACCTTCATCACTTGCTCAGGTGATGTCTGCCTGCTGTCTCCCATGAAATGCCTGCTTTTTCCTCTTCTCCTTCTATTCCTTGGGAGCCTGTCTCAGCCCAGACCACCCTCAAAGAAGCAAGAGCATGGAATCACGTTCACCTCTTGGAGCAGGAGCATCTACCTCTGTTATGTGCAATTCTTCTGGAAGAAAGATTGTCTCCTCTCCCTATTTATTTATTTATCCCATCATTTACTGACATCTGTATGGACTCTTGTGCTGTATTTCAGCTCTGGGATGTGACCCATGTTTCGCCATGCATTTTCTTTCTTTTCTTTCTTTTTTTTTTTTTTTGAGACACAGTCTCCCTTTGTTGCTCAGGCTGGAGTGCAGTGGCACGATCTCGGCTCACTGCAACCTCTGCTTCCCAGGTTCAAGCAGTTCTTCTGCCTCAGGCTCCTGAGTACCTGGGATTACAGGCACCTGCCACCATGCCCAGCTAATTTTTGTATATTTAGTAGAGATGGGGTTTCACCATGTTGGCCAGGCTGTTCTTGAACTCCTGACCTCAGGTGATCCACCTGCCTTGGCCTCCCAAAGTGCTGGGATTACAGGCGTGAGCCACCGCGCCCAGCCTACTTTCTTGCTCAGGTTTTTCCAGTGTTGGCCACAGGGAGCCCTTTCTGCCGGCCTCCGGGGTCTGTTCACAGCTGCCTCTTTGGGCACAGCCTGGTTTTCTGGCACTGCAGGACACCCAGGCTCATCTGTGCGTTCCCTGCTCCAGTCCTAGACCCATTTCTCCAAGGACCCCTGGTTCCTTTTACTGGAGGGTGGGATTAGAAGCCAAGATCTGGGTGCCGCTGTGTTTATGCAAATGAATATCTCAAGATATGTGATGCCAGTCGGATCACCCCTACTCCCTCAGGGCAGAATGCGGAGAACTGAGCACCTGGAAAGACATCGAGGTCGCCCACTGCCTGTGCCTGGAAGTCCTGGGCTTGCCCCTCTTGGAGGAAGTCAGGGTTCCGCCCTTTCGTCGCTTTTTAAGAATCCGTGCATGTGGCAGTGGAGGCAGCGAATGCTCAGCACGGAGAGGGCCGTGGTTGGAGCTCTTCGCCTGAGTCGTTTCATTTGACAGCTGTGAGGATGACACAAAACAAGGAACGGGAAGACACCAGGAGGGTACAGAGTCATTTGCCGAGGTATTGATTCTGTGAAAAAATTAAATTTTCCTAGAGCCATTTGGAAATGCATTTCATACGTTGTCGGCATCCCACTTCTCTGTCCCTTAGTGCTTTGGTTTTTTCCCAAGAACAAGGAGCAGAGTGTTCCCTTGTGTTTCCACAGCACAGCTCTTAAAGTCAAGGGACCCGACCGTCACACAGCAGCGTGATCTGCAGTCCATATGCTAACCTTGCCAGTCATCCCGATAATGTCCCTGGAGGCGTTCCCCAGCTGGAGTCCAGGATGCGGTTTGGGCTCACGTGTTGGGTTTAGTTGCCACAGCTTTACTTCTCTGGAAGACCCTTCTTGGTCATTAGTGACGCGGGTAATTTTGGAGAGCCCAGGCCAGCTGTTCCACAGAGCAGTTCTCCTTCCGGGACCTGCCCAGGGGTCTCCTGACTCCATCGGGGCTGCACGTCCTGGGTGTGTGATGGCATGTGTATTCTGAGAGCTCAGTTACAGAAAGAATGAGTTTGACATTCACAGGATTATGAAATACGGGGCTTCGGGGTGGAAGTGAGGCTTTTTAAATAAATCAAATAGCTGCTAAAAATGACTATCAGTTCAACAGCTTCTGTGGCCACCTCTTGAGAATCGTTAGATAAAAATTGCTGGTGCCCAGCTGAAGAAGTTATCTTCCTGGGAGATGCTGAGCCCAAGAGAGTAAAGGTTGTGTCTGTGGGAGTGTAAATGGTGGAAATTTGACTCAGCATGAAAAAAAACAATAGTTCCTCAAACTAACAATGTTAGGAGTCATTGGCTTCCAAAATGGAGTCAAGGGCTAACAAGAGTGAGACAAACATTTTTTGCAGACTAACTCATTCCTGCTTATTACCTGGAGAATGTGCTAGTGTGTTCAGCTCATATGAGACATAGAAGGATTTTGCATTTTACAAAAGTAAGTAAAACTGCCCATAGACTAATTTTTATCCTTGATTTTAGCCAAAGGGAGAGAAGTGATCATATCCCATTTTTAAGAAATAATTTTGAAGCCAATTAATTTCTTTCAACTCTACCTTCTCAGGCCAGAATGAAATTGTGTAAGGTTAGAAAATGAGCCCAAGACCCCGTACTGGGAACCACGTTATTTTTCAAGCCTCGGAAGGACATGTTGGAGGAAGTGCTGCTTCGTGCAGAGATAGAGAGACCCAGGAACAGAGGCACCATTTATTTTGTAGGATTAAGTAGACCTCACTTTATGTTAAATGGATATGGAACAGTGAGATGTACTGCAGATAAACGAAGAGGCATTTATACCATTTATTAAAAAATTGGCTACTTTCTAAAGGATTCACACAAAGTTTCTTTACTGTACAAACATTAAGCCAAGACCTATTCCTTATACTGTATCACAGCTGCACTTTCATTTTTGGAAAAGGAGGATCATTCTGTGTGTGTTTCACTGGCTGAGAGTGAAAATACGCACCATGGACAGGTCATGTATGGACCACACCAGCCTCACTCCATGGGTGACAAATATGTGGCTGATGGCAGAGCGTGCATTTTTTTTTTCTTTTTTCTTTCTTTCTTTTTTTTTTTTTTTTTTTGGTGAGATGGTGTCTTACTCAGTTGCCCAGGCTGGAGTGCAATGGCATGATTGATCTCGGCTCACTGCAACCTGCACCTCCTGGGTTCAAGCCATTTTCCTGCCTCAGCCTCCCAGGTAGCTGGGACTGTATGTGCCCGCCACCACGCCTGGCTGATTTTCATGTTTTTAGTAGAGATGGGGTTTTGCCGTGCTGGCCAGGCTGGTCTCGAACTCCTGACCTCAAATGATCTGCTCGCCTCGGCCTCCCAAAGTGCTAGGATTACACAGGTGAGCCACCGCACCTGGCCAAGCGCGCGCTGTTTTTTTCCCACAAAACCTGTAACCCAGGAGTACAGTGGGAGTCATCACGGGAACTTTCAGGACTTAGAAGATTAGAAACCATAAGCAGATTTAGAAATTAAATTTCATAAAAGCACACTTACAGTAATGATGACATTCAACATTCAACAAAGGAATATAACTGTTTTTTTTTTTTTTTTTAAGACAAGTTCTTACTCTGTCAGCCAGGCTGGAGTGCAGTGGTATAATCTCAGCTCACTGCAGCCTCTGTCCCCCGAGTTCAAGCGATTCTCCTGCCTCAGCCTCCCAAGTATCTGGGACTATAGGCATCCACCACCAGGCCTGGCTAATTTTTGTATTTTTAGTAGAGACAGCGTTTCACCATGCTGGCCAGGCTGGTCTTGAACTCCTGACCTCAAGTGATCCACCTGTCTCAGCCTCCCAGTTTTAGGCCATTCTTTACCAATCCCCTTTGTGCGTGTGTGTCTACATGATTTTTTTTTAATATTTTATGTTTAATTGACAATAACTGCAGTATATATTTGTAGGGTGAACTGTGAAGTTTTGCCATATGTTTACAATGTGGAATAACTAAATCAGGCTAATTCACACATCCATCACCTCACATACTAACCATTTTTTTTGTGGTGAAAACACTGAAATTCTGCTCTTTCAGCAATTTTGAAATACACAATGCATTATTATCTATTATACTGACCACTGTGTGAGATCAGTCTCTAAGCTTAGCCTTCCTATCCCACTGAAACTTGGTACCCTGTGGCCGTCATCTCTCATTTCTCCATCTGGTCCTTGCCCCAGCCTCTGGTAACCACCATTTAACCACCATTCTACCCTCTACTTGTATGAGTCTGACGTTTTTTAGATTCCACATATGAATGAGAAGATGTGGTATTTGTCTTTCTCAGCCTGACTTATTTCACTTAGCAGAATGTCTTCCAGGCTTATCCATGTTGCTGCAAAGGACAGGAGTTCCTTCTTTTTTAAGGCTCACTTTGGTATTCCATTTCTACATTTCCATTATCTTTTCATCCCTTGATAGACACTGAGGTTGATTTTCTTTCTTGGGTACCGTGAACAGCGCTCCATGAACACGGGGTGCAGGTTCTCTTCCACTCACTCATTTTATTTCCTTTGGGTACATAGCCAGAGGTGGGATTGCTGGGTCGTATGGTAATCCTATCTGTAGTGTTTTGAGGAATTTCCACACTGCTCCTCAGGATGGCTGTATTAATTTACATCCCCGCTAACAGAGCACAAGGGGTTCCTCTTCTGCACACCCTCATCAACATGCGGCGTCTCTTTTCGACAACAGCATCTGAACAGTTGTGTATAAGTGACAGCGCATTATAGTTTTAATTTGCATTTCCCTGATGATTATTTATATTGAGCATTTTTTTTCAGATTGGCCATTCTGATATCTTCTTTTGAGATATGTCTCTTCAGAGCCTTTGCCCCAGTTTTTAATTGAGTTCTTTCTTTTATTGTTATTGAGGTGTTTGAGTTCCTTATGTATTTTTGGATAATATTTTCTTTTCCTTTTTTTTTTTTTTTTTTTTTTGAGATAGAGTCTCACTCTGTCACCCAGGCTGGAGTGCAGTGGCACTATCTTGTCTCACTGCAACCTCCACCTCCCAGGTTCAAGTGATTCTTCTGTCTCAGCCTCACGAGTAGCTGGGACTACAGGCACCTGCCACCACGCTTGGCTAAATTTTGTTTTTTTAGTAGAGACGGGGTTTCACCATATTGGCCAGGCTGGTCTTTAACACCTGATCTCAGGTGATCCATCCACCTCAGCGTCTTTGTTCTGTTGTTTCCTTTGCTGTGCAGAAGCTTTTCCGTTTGTTGCAATCTCATTTGTTTGTGTTTGCTTTTGTTGCCTGTGCTTTTGGGGTCATATCCAAAAACATCTTTGCCTGGACCAGTGTCATGGAGCTTTTCCCTGTTTTCTTTTAGAGCTTCACAGTTTCAGGTCTTACGTTGAAGTCTTTAATCTATTTTGAGTTGATTTTTGCCTATGGTGTCTGATAACGGCCGATTTCACCCTCTGCCTGTGGAGATCCAGTTTCCCCAACACCGTTGATTGAGGACACTGTCCTTTCTCCATTGTGTGTTCTCAGCACTTTTGTCAAAAACCGTCAACCATATGTGTGCGGGTGTGTTTCTGGGCTCCGTCTCCTGTTTCACTGTTTATCGTTTCTCTTCATGGAAGTTTTTATGTGGAGTGCGGGTCTCTCCTCCTGTCCCACTTATATGTGGTCTTATAGATGTTGAGGGATATATCCGCTCTGTCTTTAGGCCTCCTCTGCACATTCACTTTTTAAAATGAGGCTGTTGGAAAGTTGGGCTTGTTCCTCATTGCTTTCAAAATTGTTTTGTCCCCCTAGGAGTAGAAAGTTGACTTTTGCACACATTGCTGCCAATAATTAACACAACTGGTCAAAGTATGTATCTCCATCACACATGTCTAGATAAAAGTATAGATGACATTTGTGATTCCCATATAAAGTAAATCACCAACACCCAGGTTTACCTTTGTCTATCAGGGGCACACGCGCACCACAGCACACAGGAGGTGACTCAGTGTGGAGCCCTTGGCTGGCAGTCTGCGATCTGTCGAGTCAAGTCCAGCCGATTTCCCTGGTGCTGAGATGCCCGTGCTGGCCGCTCCAGCTCTCAAGCACAGTGTGGCCTGGGGCAGGTGGGCTGGATGTTGGCCAGTCACATGGGCCTCTGAGCTTTCTTCTGAGACTCTCGGGCTGAAAGCATGGGCCACCTGGGGTGGGTTTTTTTTTTTTGGTTGTTGTTGTTTTGTTTTTTGTTTTTTCTTTTTTTGACAGAGTCTCACTCTGTTGCCTAGGCTGGAGTGCATGATCTCGGCTCACTGCAACCTCTGCCTCCTGGGTTCAAGCGATTCTTCTGCCTCAGCTTCCCAAGTAGCTGGGATTACAGGGCCCGCCCCCTCCCCCCCACATCTGGCTAGTTTTTTGTATTTTTAGTAGCGACGGGGTTTCACCATGTTGGCCAGGCTGGTCTTGAACTCCTGACCTCAGGTGATCCACCTGCCTACAGCTCCCAAAGTGCTGGGATTATAGGCGTGAGGGTGTTTTTTAAAACACACTTGCTTCCCTTAGATCACCTTTGATGCCTACCTTGTTAGAAAAGGAGCTCTGTTTAAAAGCCTTCCCGAGGCTGGTTCGCAGTGGCTTGGAGTTTTGAGCTCAACTGAGGGTGGCGGTTTATGGGAGAGCTCTCAGTGGCTTCTCTGTGTCTTCATAGGATTCGGCCAGATCCTTTCCTGTGGACGCTGCCTCTCACCCGGTTTTTGTCTGCCCCCCTTGGGAGTCATGCTATAAGGCAGTCGTGCCCTGAAATGCTCTCATTCTCAGCCTTTAAAACATTCTTATGACTAAATTCAGTGAACCTGGAGAAAAGTCCTCCAACCTGCTTCACTCTGCTCCAGGCCCTGTGAAGCCTCTAGATGTCACTGGGAGAACAGACATGGAGCGCCTCCCCCGCCGCCAAGCCAGATCCATCTTTTTGATGCAAACACCTCACTTAGTGAGTGGAAGATTATTAAAGGCATTATACTTACCCCAGTGACAAGGACAGGTCCAGCAAATTACAGTTTCCAGGAAATAGCAGGTCATTTTGAAGGCAATGATATAGCTTCTTAATCTGCACATGATACACATTAGGAGGGATAAAACATATCTTTTGAGATATTACAAGGCTCTTATTACATCAGTGAAGTCATAAAAATGTGTGATCTATCTATACATTAAGTTTGGTTATGAATTTTAAATATTCCATGTTTCAAAGAGGCATGTCAAAGGGAGCGGGCTCACTCATTTTTCAAAGCAGTAAATTACAGCATTGAAATATTTCACATGAAGCATGTGATACTGCAAAGCTATCACAGGGTGAGGCAGGGCCTGAGTCAGGAGTTTCTGGGTCTTCAGGGAGCTGTGTTCACCCTGGTGTCCTGATCTGCCCTTGAGCTTTTTCTCCATGGTGGTTCAGCCTCGCAATTTTCATAAAGACTTCCTCATGTTTGGGAAAAAGCAGTGGTTGGGAGCCATTAGAAACTTCTCTTATGCTTTGTTTTGTAGAGGCTAAACATGGTCAACACTTGTGATTTTTATTTTTTTAATTGCCTTTTTGAGCTGCAGTTAAATAATGAATGGAAGGAAAGGTTGCATATAATAGTCCCATTTTTCACTGTCTTAAAAATAGATGAATATCTTATTTAGACATCATTTTACCTGTAGGATCATGACCATATTTTTTAAAGGGGGCATATTTAAAAGGTATATTGAAGGGGAATAATAAAAGGGAATATTAAAAAGGTACATTAAAATGAAAATTAAAATAAAAGATCCCAAACTGATTGAACTTTATGACACCAAAAGAAACACCCAGCCCCTCACTGCCTCTGCACTGCTTTAATTCTTTGCTTCCACTCTGGTTCATCATTCACATTCCTTCATATCTGCTTTTATGTTACTAAGATGTGAGTCTGCTTCTCAGTAACACAAACATAATTTCTTTTAATATATTGCTGTCAAAAAGCAATGAACCCGGAGTGTACCAGGAAGAACACAGAATCCAGCTTTGGTCCTGGCTCTGTTGGAGGCTTGGCTGTGCACCTGACAGGGTTCAGCTTTGTGTCCCCACCCAAATCTCATCTTGAACTGTCATCCCCAGAATCCCCACAGTCCCCACATGTCAAGGCAGGGACCAGGTGGAGGTGATTGAATCATGGGGTTGGTTTCCCCCATGCTGTTCTCCTGATAGTGAGTTCTCATGAGATCTGATGATTTTACAAGGGGCTCTTCCCCCTTCACTCAGCACTTCTCCTTCCTGCTGCCTTGTGAAGAAGGCACCTTGCTTCCCCTTTCCCTTCCGCCATGATTGTAAGTGTCCTGAGGCTTCCCCAGCCATGATGAACTGTGAGGCAATTAAACCTTTTTCCTTTATAAATTACCCAGTCTCAGGCAGTCCTCATAGCAGTATGAAAACAGACAAATACCACACCCTTGGACAAACTGCTTTTCTTTTTCTGTGCCTCAGTTTTCTTCTCTGTAAAAGTTGGGTCAGCAGTTCTCAAATCGAGCTCCATTCATGTGCCCAAGGGGACTCTGCTTTCCCCCGCTGTAGCCCCCAACCCCCGATCACACCTCTTGGTCACACTCCCCACTCACAGCCCCCGGTCACACCCCTCGGTCACACTCCCCAGTCACAGCCCCCGGTCACACCCCTTGGTCACAGGCTCGGGTTTCGTCTTGTATGTTGCTCTTTCCCACAAGAGTCCTCTCCCAAAGGTTCTCGGGTTTTTGTTTTTCAGGTAGAATCATGTAGTTCAAAGGTTTTCTAAGCTACTTCTCAGATCTAAAATTTTAAGAAATTATAATTTGTCTTTCTCATTTTGATGACTAGCTAATTCAAAATCTCTGCTCCTAACCTTTAGATGTGCTGAGGGCTGAACGCAGCGGTGCCTATCAGGTGGGTGTCTGGGAATAAACACAGCCCATGCCCTTGGCCTTCTGCACTGACCACTCATGGCTCCTTGCCCAAATCAGTTTGCAGAACTCTCAAGTCCATTAGAGATCTTCTCTTGGTTCAGTGGTAACAGAGGCTGCACCATCAGTTCAGACACACGGCTGTAACAGCAGCCCTCACCATTTGTCTGTTTCCTCTTCATTCCCACATCCTAGTCAAACCATTAACAACGTTTAAAGAAACAGGTCACCATACTAATGAGGATGGCTGGTCTCAGAGTCTCCACTCAGTGAGAAACTAAGAAGCAGGTGGTATTTGAGCAGGTAAATCCTGATATTGCAGGACTCACCTGCAGCCGGCAGAAATCAGGCCCAGACAGGAGGGAGCAGCGCCCAGGACCCAGCCCAGGTGAGCTCGCTAATGAGGCAGAGAGTGCCTCCTAGCCAGGTGCTGAGGAAGTGCCAGACTGGATGTCAGGACAGTGGGGACAGCAACAGGGTGTAGACCTAGGAGCAAAATAAGACTAAATCTTCTGGAGCTCTGGCACCAGAGACCTCAAAGCTTCTGGGAGCCTGGGCCCAGAACAGACCTTCTTGCTGGGAAAGGGATCGTATGCTGGTTGTGGTAGCCTAAGGCAGGCTGCAGCCAGCCAGAGGGACAGGGAACCTAGGGACTTGCTTCAGCGGGTGGGCGTGGCCCTCTGTTGGGTGGGCGTGACAAGCTCCACCAGGTGGGTGGGGCCTGCATCAGCACAGCCTGCTCCATCAAATGGGCAGAGCCTGCTCCAGAAGTGGGAACCTTCCAACCCCACTTCCAGGCTGCCGTTTGCTGTCACAGAGTGACGTTTTCAGCATGGCTTCAGTTCTTTTGCCCAAACAGAGGAAAACTTGCAGGTATGTATTTCCGTGTTTTTCTTTTAAAGATTGCAACAAAAAGAAAAAACCCAAGTCCTTCTATTCATCTGTCAACTAGGCTACCTGAGTACAAGGAGGCTTTTATTTTTATATTTATTTATTTATTTTGAGACAGAGTCTCCCTCTGTCGCCCAGGCTGGAGTGCAGAGGCTCAGTCTGGGCTCCCTGCAACCTCTGCCTCCCAGGCTCAAGCCATCCTCATGCCTCAGCCTCCAGAGTAGCTGGGATTACAGGCACACACCACCATGCCCGGCTAGTTCTTGTATTTTTGGTAAAGATAGGGTTTCACTATGTTTCCCAGGCTGGTCTCTCCTGGGCTGAAGCCATCTGCTGGCCTCGACCTCCCAAGGTGCTGGGATTACAGGTGTTAGCTACTGCGCCTGGCCATAAGCAAGCTTTTAAAAAATGTTCCATATGTACACCATTGCTGCTTTACAGCATTTTGAGAAAATACTTCCTGCCTGTATCCAAGCAGCGACACCATTCATTCCTTCCATCGCTCATCCCCTGAGCATTGGAGACCACCCAGCCCTGGGCTCCTCTGCCTCTTAGTGCTACCAGTGCACAGAATAGCTGCTCACTAGGGATTGGAATCAAGCAATACGTCAGTGGGTGGACACTGCATTCATTACAGCAAGAGTTCATGTTATTAACTGATATGCACAATGCTGGTACAATCTTACTTTCTTTGGGATCTTTAATGTGAAATGTGAGATAACTTAGTTTGGCACCAAGGTAAATTTTGTTTAGAATTATTTGTGAGCATAGGATTTACTGAGCAAAAGAGTGAACGTGAACAAGGTCATAGAAGAAATGTTTACACTCACTAACTCTGTTTTCCAGTAAGCTTACAGCACTATTGCAAACATGCAGGCAATTAACACACCGAATCCTTAGTATTTATGCGCCGCGGCTCCATGAGGGCAGAACACCTGTGTTCTTCACGGCTGCACCTTTGCTCTGAGAGCCTGCCTGGCCCACGACAGGTGCTTCATCAAGATTGCCTAAAGTTAAAGAAATCGAAGCAAATCACATCAGAGCCTCTGCTAGATTCGTTCTTATTAGCCCACCTGGCAGGACTAGAGACATCCGAGGAAATATCTAGTTAAAAATAACCTGTAAATCAGCCCTGGTACATATTAAAGCAAACACTGCTGCGTATATTATAATTTATCAACCCAGATGAACTTGTTCTGTCTGTATATAACCAAATCAAGAACAACTGTGCCACTTTGTAAATTCTAAAGGATAATTTTGGAAATTTTTGCTGGGGTACTCTCTTCTGTTTGTTTTTTCTTCCCTCCATTTCTCCTTCTATCCGTGTTTGCTATGCATTGATCTATTTTAGTTTTGTAGTTTTATAATTAAAAATTTAAAAACACTTAGAACACTTCAGAAAAACATGTGACAGGGAAACGCACAGGCATGTGTGTACACACTTAACTATTCGAGGTCGTTAAACCTGGACGCCCATCCTTTCCCTGTCTTCCACTCCAGAGTTTACCACTGTCTTGCTTGAAGTTGGTACATAACATTCTCTTGCCTCTTTTTTCCCCCTCCCCTCCCTTTCCCTTCCCTTCCTGACAGATTCTCGCTCTGTTGCCCAGGCTGAAGTGCAGTGGCAAGATTTTGGCTCACGGTAACCTCCGTCTCCTGGGTTTAAGCGATACTCCTGCCTCAGTCGCCTGAGTCGCTGGGATTACAGGTGCCCGCCACCACACCATGCTCATTTTTGTATTTTTAGTAGAGACAGGGTTTTGCCAAGTTGGCCAGGCTGGTCTCGAACTCCTGACCTCAGGTTATCTGCCCGCCTCGGCCTCCCAAAGTGCTGGGATTACAGCACTCCATCTATCTCCCTGGAGTCAGACTCCATCTATCTCCCTGGGGTTGCAGATTCACGCCCTGGTATTCTGGGCTTAGCCTAGATACAGACCCCGTGTATTTTTTTTAACAACGCATTTTTTTTTCATGATTTTGCTAGCATAAAGTACTCATGGAAGGATAATTTAAAAATATACACAATGGAAAGGTACATAAAAGCCCACACAATGCAATTAGTGCCAAAATTAACAGGGCACAGAGAGGGCTTAGCACAAGACTGGCTCATTGTCATGGCCAATAATAGTTAAAATTTACTGAGAAATTGCTACAGTTTTATATGGTTGGTTTCTCTAAGTCTGACAGCCTTGATTCGAAGAGTAACAGGAAATACTTGATCATAGCCACATTTATTGCTTTATTATATTTCGTATATATATTTGAATATATATTTATACATATAAATGTATATAACATATATATAATTGTCTTAGTCTTGTCATGCATTTATTTGTTTGTGTTTGTAGAATGCCTCTGAAATGAGAGCTCCTATAATTCATAACTGAGGCTACAGTTTGCATCTGGGGGCTGTGTTTGTTTTTCCCAGGGCCCACTCATACCCAGTCACATACCCACGGTGCTGCACGAATGCTGTGCTTGGGAAGGGCCTCCCTGGTTTGCTGTAAGTCGTATGTGCAAGGCAATATCAACTGAGGTGGTTGTGGCGAGTGAAGAGTTTTTTAGTAACGTTGATTGAGGTAGCCATAGTGAGTGGCCCTGTGACTGGACTTGGAGATCAAAGCATGTGGTTCAGACTCCATTTCTGCTTCTGACAAATGGTGCAACCTGCCAGTGCCATTTCCTTCCCATCTTTGTAGAGTGTTGTGTGTAATGGGGCAGCTCATGGACTTCCCAGAGGCTCATGTGCAGCTGGATGCGTGAAAATGCTTTATAAATTAAAAAGATGCCATGTGCAATACAAGATGCACATATATTACAGATTTCTGTGTAAATATCACAGGAAAATGTTACAAAGTTCTGCTCCATGACTTCATAATGAGTAGAAGGCGATTTTTTACATTAAAAATGGTAGGTGACAGGTTCAAAAGAGAGGTTCATGCCATGCCTACCTCCTGCCCTCACAGTGGTAGAAGCACAAAGAGCTGGGGCCTGAGGCATCTGTCTTTCCTTCTAGAAGGTATAGGAAGCATCCCTCTTTCCTTCGAGAAGGAATGGGGGGGCTGTTCCTCTCTTTGACACCTGCTGCCCTGCCTTTTCCACTGAGCCACACGCTGGCACCTGTTTCCACAATTTAGGGTCTGTTTCTTGGAGCACGTCTCTTCTTGTTACCAAATTCCATATCAGTTACGATATGCCTGCCCATAAGTAACTAGGTAACAAAACTTACCATTGCTTAAAAAGAGTTTTATTTTCTCACATCTCAAGGAGTTTGCTGACAAAACCAAAACTGAAACAACAACGGTAAGAATTTTGACATGCTCCTTAACAATGAAGATGTGGAGGTCTTGAACGTACCACTTACCATTTTAGAGCTTAGCAAGGTGGTCTAAGGTTTGTTATTCTAAAAGTCACCAGAATCAGGGGTTTTGCCACTAATATCTAACTTGCTTTAAAGAAAAGATAAATGGAACATTGTTTAAACTAATCTATATCATGTAGAACAATTTGTGTTAAAAGTACCATGCAACTTTAATATCAAATCTTTATAGTCTACTTGATTGATTTTCAGTTGAGAGATGCAAAATTCTGAATAAAAATGTATGTATATAGAATATAATACAATATTAAAGACATACACTAGGGCCTGTTGCAGCTTATTTCAAGAGTCAAAAGGAGGTTTATTTTCAGGAGATCTGTTGATGTAGTGCACACATTAATAAGAGAAAAAAATCAAATAACCATACCATTATATGCTAAAACTGCACTTGGTAGAATATAGCAGGCAGTCCTAAAACACCTCTCTGTGTATTAGGAATACAAGAAGGTAAGACAGATAGGGCAGAAAATACTGTCAGAACAAACAATATCATCTAAGCAGCAAAACACTCGAAAAGTGTCAATTAAAATCTGGAATTAGATGGATCATTTTGTGATTAATATTATTATACAAGAAGTTTTAAAAATAGTAGTAAGACAATAAAGTGAATCAAACCAAATTAATATGAGGCAAAAGACATTACACTCTCTATCTTTGCTGATTTTATAATGGCTGATGGGGAATACTCAAGAGATTCTAGTTAAAGGAAACTAGAATTAAAAATATGTCTTATGCTGGTTACGTTCAAAATAAATATACAAAAGTCCGTAGCATTTCTTTAAACTCACTAAGCATCTAGAGATGAAAAGGGGAAAGACCCCGGTCCACTTACACTCATACCAGCAATCAGGTCTAGTTGATAGAAGGACAGGAACAGCCTGGCCTTCATACAGAAAATTTAAAACTTTTTGAAAAACACAGCAAAAGGTTCTGACAGAATAGAAAGATATTCCAGATTCTAGCAAGAGAAGACACTGTGCAGTGCCTTCTTCTGCCATCCCCGTATGCTTCATTCAGTTCAAAATTAAATCCCATCAAAACTTTCTGGATTTGAAAAATCAGTAATCCAAAATTGCTGAGAAAGAGTTAAAATGTCAGTAGCTGAAGTAGGGAGGGGGATTGTGACTGACAAAAACACACTACAGAGCCAGCACAATCAGGTCGATATTGCCTGGGTGGGAGAATAAACAAATTGATCAGTGAAGTAAATTGTGAGCCACCGAATAAAGCCCATGGCCTCAGGAGAGGACTCCCAGCTGCGTGAACGACCTGCAGGGATGTAGGATCAGTGCCACATTCCCCTGTGACGTTAGGAGAAGGCACTCCAGTCCGCAAAGATTGATCTCACATGCTACCTGACCATATAACCTCAGTAGCAAATCCTAGGTGCTAATATGTATTAATATGTAAGAGCATATTTTACTTTCAGGTGTATTAGTCTGCTAAGGCTCTCATAATCAAATACACAGTGGGCGGCTTAAACAACTGATATTTATTTCCTCACAGTTCTAGAGGCTGGAAGTCCCAGAGCAAGGTGTGGCTGGGCTGGTTTCTCCTGAGGCCTCTCTCCTGGGTGTGCATATGGCCGCCCTCTCTCAGTATCCTCACGTGGGCCTCCTGGTGCCCAACCCTGGCGTCTCCTCCTCTTCTGAATAGTACAGCAGCTCCATTGGATCAGGGCTCCAATTAGGGGGTCAACATATGAATTTCAGCCAGATGCGGTGGCTTATGGCTGTCATCCCAGCACTTTGAGAGGCTGAGGTGGGAGGATTGCTTGGACCAAGGAGTTTGAGACCAGCCTGAGCAACATGGTGAAACCTTGTCTCTACCACAAAACAAAAAACCCCATAAAAACCAAAAATTAGCCCACAGTGGTTTGTGCACCTGTAGTCCCAGCTACTCAGGAGGCTGAGGTGGGAGGCTTACCTGAACCTTGGAGGTTGAGGCTGCACTGTGACAACGGAAAAAGATGCAACTACACAAAGACAGAGGAAAGGAAGGAGGCTGAGCAAGAGTGCAGTGTGATGGCCACTTCAAGCCCAGAGACACAGTGGGTGAGGGAGGGCTACCGTGTGCTGAGATGTAGGTTTTGTCAAAGTCCCAGCTTTTATTTTAAATGCTGGATCGGTAAATTATGGAAAAACAAGTAACCAAACACTGAACTGAATAAATATAAGA
Source organism: Homo sapiens (assembly GCF_000001405.40). Taxonomy (NCBI): domain Eukaryota; kingdom Metazoa; phylum Chordata; class Mammalia; order Primates; family Hominidae; genus Homo; species Homo sapiens. The sequence continues at coordinate 345,499 of NT_187576.1, forward strand.
GTGTCATTCATAAAATAAAAAGATGATAATCTTTTATGAAGATTATATCATCCAACTTTGCGCTCCTAAGATGTAAATAAATTCCCCAACGACTCTACTTAGAGATTCGAGATACTGTTTTAGTCAAGACCAGATGCTCAAAGTTATATGGAAAGGTGACAAAAATTCCAGTAAAGTCAACAGACAAGTGATATGGAAAAATATACTTGTGAATTTATGTCATATACACAGTGTTCTTACAAATTAAAAGAAAAAGACAAATAAATAGAAAAATAAGCAAAGTTTATGACTTAGCAGGTCATAGAAGAGCAATGAAAATGACCATTGAACACAGGAATCAACATTTAAAACTACAAGGAGACTGGAAAGTCCCAATTAAAATAGCAATGAGGTATCACTGGTATCCATCACACTGGTAAAAATTTTAAACAGCAGTAACACTTATACTGCCAAGCAGGGCTATGTGGAAAAGAAGGCACAGATACAGTGTTGCCGGAAATAGAAACTGTTACAACATGTTTTTTTTAGAATAGGATGTCAAATTCTATGCAAATTAAATATACCTATGCCCTGTCACCTAGCAACCCACTTCTGACACTATCCCACAGAAACACCAGTACCATAAAAGTCTGTATGAACAAGGATGTTCTAGTAACATTGTTCATAGTGACCCAAAGAACTCCTGGAGACAATGAAAGCTCATCAGTAAGTGTAAAGACATCTTATGATACTATGCAGCCTTAAAACATGTATTTGATTTATGCCAATTAATTCAGTGAGGTTTCCACACAGTGCTGTTGAGTAAATAAGATGAATAGACCTCATTTTTTGTAAAGCAAATATTGACCACAACACTTTATACAAATGTTATATAAAAGTATATGCATGCATATATGGAAGCACATTCATATGTATTTATATTAATATTGAGGAAATTATGGATGGATACATACCAGGTTGTTTTGAGTTGACCAGTCTAACAATAAAACTATTGTTAGAAACATGTCTATACCAAGTTAGCCACGGGCATCGTGACTCCAGGAGTGAAGACGACTGCGTCTGCATTTTGTTTTGTTTTGTTTTCTTTTCTTGAGACAGAGTCTTGCTCTGTCACCCAGGCTGGAGTGCACTGGTGCGATCTTGGCTCACTGCAACCTCCGCCTCCCGGGTTCAAGCAATTCTTGTGCCTCAGCTGCCCGAGTAGCTGGGATTACAGGCGCTCGCCACCACATCCTGCTGATTTTTTATTTTGTATTTTTAGTAGAGATGGGGTTTCACCATGTTGGCTAGGCTGGTCTCGAACTCCTGACCTCAAGTGATCTGCCCACCTCGGCCTCCCAAAGTGCCAGGCGTGAGCCACTGTGCCTGGCCCCTCTGCATCTTTTATCCATATGTTTATCTTTTCTCTTGTGTTTATTGTTTTCCATCATGAATATGCATATATTTAAGTTCATTCACAATACGCTTGCTTAAATGGGTCCACTCCTTTGAGATTTATGCTCATTTTTGGAGCATGGAGCGGAGGACAGTGTGCAAGAAAAGTCACGCTGCATGATTCATAGGTGGGACAGATTGTAGCCTCACAAATCACACCCTGTGACTCGTAGGCCGACATTTCAGCCACATTTGAACGGCATCACATCGGTTATTTACAGAAATAACAATAAATTACCTATTAACATTTTTAAAAAATATTCTCAATTGTACCACTTCCTTTCATATTTGTAGCCTATTTTTGCAATGAAATAGTGAAGTAGTATGCTGGGAAGCTAGGTTGATGGAGAAAATGAAGTTTTTTTTTTTGAATCCAGCTAAAAAAATGGATTGAGCCCCTCCTGTGGGCTACACCATGCTGTATGCTATAAGAAATACACTTACAATATGAAATGTTCTCCAAATTAGATTGTGAGGTTCTTTAAGGATAGGACGAAAGACAGCTAGACATTCTCGATCGCCCAGTTTTAGAAAGATGAAATCATTTTCCACGTGGAGGGCAGTGAAAGAGAGGAGCTAAGTTATCAAGCGCCCTCCTCGCTTCTGCTGAGCTGTGGCTGATGCCCTGGCCATGGACCCCCTCAGCCGCTGTGTGTGCGCCTCTCAACACGCACGGCTGACTCCAGCGGCACGCCTGCTCCTCGGCCCTTGTGTCTAGTGAGTACGACTGAGAATGCGTCTCCTCTCGTCAGTAATCGCTTTCATCGTGCCACTACTTTACAGAAAGTCTTTCCGGCATATGCAGTGGAAGGCCACGGACCTCCTCATCCTGCTCTTTAGGGTCCATCCATCTTCACTGTGCAAAGCAATGGTCCTTCTGGGTGAGTTAGACAAAGTCAAAAGAGCTGGGTTCCAGCTTGCCATGTTCTCATCCTCATCTGCTGCTATTTCTGTCTTTAAGCAGTTTATGCACCATCCCTACCAGTTTTTAAATTGAATCTGCATAAGATTTGTGAAACGGAGCAATTGGGTAATGGTATCCGGCATCTTCTAAGCACAAAATAAAAGTGCTTGGAATGGAAGACTTGTCATCTTTCTCCTTTCCTCTTTCAGAGGGTGCAATCTTCCAACTCGGAGAGATGGAGAGATTTGCTGTCACTGTCCTCTCGGAGCTTTTCCTCTTCAAAACACTCCACAAGCAGGGCAGGCCTTTCTGTGCCCCTCTTCCCTTCCCTTGATGTTTAGCCGGTGTGCGTGTCGTCTCTCTTGTAGGGGCCTGTCTTTCCTTAGAATTTGGGCTAGTGGGTTGCCCTGAAACCTCAACTCTCCTCTGATTAAGTTGTAATTTTATAGTTTTCCAGCTTTATTCTTTTTGTTTGAGAAGCAGCAATGTTCCTTCCAGCTTTCTGCACCCTGGGTAGAAGCCGGAAGCTCCCCAAGCAGCAGACTCGCATGCCCATAGGTGATGTCTGTGACGCGCCACATCCAAACGAAGAGATATCGTTGGAAGACTTGAATCTAGCTGGAAGGCCAATGTTCTTTTCAATGTAATGCCAAAGAAAATTCACACTTGTTTGTTCTGTAGAAAAAAGTGACATAATATTATTTTTATTTTTAAATTTACTTATAGTCATATGTGCATGCCTGCTCAAAAATGCTCACCCATCATTTGCATAAGTAAATCAGTTTGTATTTAATGTTACAGTTTAAGACTCATGTTTCAGAAATACAATTTTTATTAACTGAATTCAAAGTATCTCATTTATGCCTTTTATTTTATATTGCAGTCTCTCGTTGGATTTTCCATTCCTGTGATATCGCCCTTGGACTTGGTCTCTCTCAGACATCTCAGAAATTGAGCTGTCATAGTTAATTAGAGAAAGAAAGACATAAGTTTGGATGTTTATGATAAAATACTCAGACATCTCTAGGAGACCTGGCCTCAGCATTATATTTTCCTGTCCTGTCTGCAGATGGCCCGATGTTCAGGTTGTTAATTCATTGTGTGCTGTTGCTGAAGTCCTGAGATGCCTGATTGCTTTATTGGTGCCACGCAGAGAAGTTTAGCACGGAGGCTTTCAGAGGCTGAAGAGGGTAGGTGCCCTGGCACCACCTTTCACTTCAGACCAAGGTTGCTCTCCCTCTCTCTCATGCTTTAATTTATTAATGGGCTTTGTAGGTTCCGCCGTGCTTCCTGGTGTTTTCAATTTCAGGGTAATCCTCGTTTGGAGGTAAACAGACAAGGCCTGCTTGGGCCAATCCCCCTAAGATGGGCTTGAGGAGCTGTGAAGGCTGTTGGTGGGGACATTGGGCTTGCTGAACAGACTGAAAGGTATTTTCGTGTAGGTGGGAACAGCTTAGCACCAGCGTCATGAATGAGAAATTACAGCTGTGCAAACATGAAGCTTACATGTCACCAGTGAGTCTGAAAACAGACCCACCTGGTCTTTTTATTTTCACCTTACCTTAAAGATGGGACAAAAGAAGTCTCTGGTTAGTTGAAACTGCTCAAGGCTCAGATTTTTTTTTCCTTTGTTTATTGGTAAGTTTCTTTTCCTTTCATCAACTTGTTGTTTCACACATTTCAGAATGAAAGGAACTTATGACCACTAGAAATGTACCAGGCACTAGACATAATAAGTCATTTAATTTTCTTTCTTTTTTTTTTCAAGTCTTCCCTTTTATTTTATTTTTTAATTTAATTTTAATTTGATTTAATTTTTTTATTATACTTTAAGTTCTAGGGTACCTGTGCACAACGTGCAGGTTTGTTACATATGTATACATGTGCCATGTTGGTGTGCTGCACCCATTAACTCGTCATTTACATCAGGTATATCTCCTAATGCTGTCCCTCCCCACTCCCCCCACCCCACAACAGGCTCCGGTGTGTGATGTTCCCCTTCCTGTGTCCAAATGTTCTCATTGTTCAATTCCCACTTATGAGTGAGAACATGCGGTGGTTGGTTTTTTCTCCTTGCGATAGTTTGCTGAGAATGATGGTTTCCAGCTCCATCCATGTCCCTACAAAGGATATGAATTCATCATTTTTTATGGCTGCATAGTATTCCATGGTGTATATATGCCACATTTTCTTAATCCAGTCTATCATTGATGGACATTTGGGTTCGTTCCAAGTCTTTGCTGTTGTGAATAGTGCCGCAGTAAACATACGTGTGCATGTGTCTTTATAGCAGCATGACTTATAATCTTTTGGGTATATACCCAGTAATGGGATGGCTGGGTCAAATGGTATTTCTAGTTCTAGATCCCTGAGGAATCGCCACACTGTCTTCCACAATGGTTAAACTAGTTTACAGTCTCACCAACAGTGTAAAAGTGTTCCTATTTCTCCACATCCCCTCCAGCACCTGTTGTTTCCTGACTTTTTAATGATGGCCATTCTAACTGGTGTGGGATGGTATCTCATTGTGGTTTTGATTTGCATTTCTCTGATGGCCAGTGATGATGAGCATTCTTTCATGTGTCTTGGCTGCATAAATGTCTTCTTTTGAGAAGTATCTGTTCATATCCTTTGCCCAGTTTTTGATGGGGTTGTTTGTTTTTTTCTTGTAAATTTGTTTGAGTTCTTTGTAGATTCTGGATATTGGCCCTTTGTCAGATGAGTAGATTGCAAAAATTTTCTCCCATACTATAGGTTGCCTGTTCACTCTGATGGTAGTTTCTTTTGCTGTGCAGAAGCTCTTTAGTTTAATTAGATCCCATTTGTCAATTTTGGCTTCTGTTGCCATTACTTTTGGTGTTTTAGACATGAAGTGCTTGCCCATGGCTATGTCCTGAATGGTAATGCCTAGGTTTTCTTCTAGGGTTTTTATGGTTTTAGGTCTAACGTTTAAGTCTTTAATCCATCTTGAATTAATTTTAGTATAAGGTGTAAGGAAGGGATCCAGTTTCAGCTTTCTACATATGGCTGGCCAGTTTTCCCAACACCATTTATTACATAGGGAATCCTTTCCCCATTTCTTGTTTTTATCAGGTTTGTCAAAGATCAGATGGTTGTAGATGTGTGGTATTATTTCTGAGGGCTCTGTTCTGTTCCATTGGTCTATATCTCTGTTTTGGTACCAGTACCATGCTGTTTTGGTTCCTGTAGCCTTGTAGAATAGTTTGAAGTCAGGTAGCGTGATGCCTCCAGCTTTGTTCTTTTAGCTTAGGATTGACTTGGCGATGCTGGCTCTTTTTTGGTTCTGTATGAACTTTAGGGTAGTTTTTTCCAATTCTGTGAAGAAAGTCTTTGGTAGCTTGATGGGAATGGCGTTGAATCTATAAATTACCTTGGGCAGTATGGCCATTTCTTTCATGGTATTGATTCTTCCTATCCATGAGCATGGAATGTTCTTCCATTTGTTTGTGTCCTCTTTTATTTCATTGAGCAGTGGTTTGTAGTTCTCCTTGAAGAGGTCCTTCACATCCCTTGTAAGTTTGATTCCTAGGTATTTTATTCTCTTTGAAGCAATTGTCAATGGTAGTTCACTCATGATTTGGCTCCGTGTTTGTCTGTTATTGGTGTATAAGAATGTTTGTGATTTTTGCACATTGATTTTGTATCCTGAGACTTTGCTGAAGATGCTTATCAGCTTAAGGAGATTTTGGGCAGAGATGATGGGGTTTTCTAAATATACAATTATGTCATCTGCAAACAGGGACAATCTGACTTCCTCTTTTCCTAATTGAATATCCTTTATTTCTTTCTCCTGCCTGATTGCCCTGGCCAGAACTTCCAACACTATGTTGAATAGGAGTGGTGAGAGAGGTCATCCCTGTCTTGTGCCAGTTTTCAGAGGGAATGCTTCTGCCTTCCGAGGTCAGCTCAGACCCTGCACCCAGCAGTCCCGTGTCTGTGTGAGCCTCTCTTTCTCCAGTGAGCACCCCCCAGTGCATGGCTGCAGGCAGCTCCAAGGGAAAGTCTCAGCACACACTTGCCCTGGGGTGGCCAGGATCTCCTTGTTGCCACTTCAGCACATTCGATTGGTGTCTTGCACGTTGAAAAAATCACTTAGCATCTCTGAGACGCTGATTGCTCACTCTATGATGGGAAGGAAGACTCTTTTCTCCCCTGCCTCACAGGACTCCTGGGGAATCAGCAGGCCTTGTGCCTAGGACATCGGGTCAATCAGTGCCAACCTCAATGATACAATGCTAACCAACATGAATTTTCAAAACCAAAACCTGCAAATGAACAACGATTTTATCTGGCGACGAACATTCCGTGTTCTCCTTTGATGAAGGGCTGAGTGGACTTGCGGTGCCAGTGAGCTTTTCCCGGTCAGACTGTGTACCCAAGCCGAGCATGAATTGGCTTTCCAGCTTTCATGCCTTCTTCCTGCTCTAATGACACTGCTCGCAGGTTGAACATCCACTGGCAATTTCAGCAGATGCGACCTCAATTTCCACGCAATCATGTCTGTTCTGGCAGCGGGCATCACCGCACAACACTTTTGCTTGGTGGCTCTGAGGACAGAAGTTACAGCCCGGCGCTGGGGTTTCCTGCCTCGTGGTAACATGAAAATCACCTTGTCAATCAGGCTACCTCTATCCTTTATGAAATGGGACCATGACACTGTCACATTACCCCAGGAAGCAAGATAATTGTGCCTCTCTTGACATATGCCTAAATACTTGGTAGCACTTGAACAGCATAATTTTTTATTCTCATAAATGTATCAAATATGAATATGGGAGGAGGCTCTGGCAGGCCCCCACTAAGTCACTGAATACTCATTTTATGCTCTTCGTTACCCCTCAGCATTGTCTGAAATCACTGCTCTCATATATTAGATCTGTAATATGTTACCATGAACACATTCTTCTCTTCTTGGATTTAAACTGAAACAATTTTGAGTAATAAACATGGTGATTTAGAGAATTCAATTATAATCCTAACCATAGAGAAACTAGGGTCTCTAGTTTCTTTGATATAATTCTGACTAACAGAGGGAATTTGTGACAAGTTGATGAAAACGTTGACAGATTTCTTTGCTTCTCTCAATCTATCCTTTGGCTTGTTAAAATAAGGCCAAGGTAACAGGTAATTTACTTAGTGATACAGAGAAGAGTTTTCAAAGGCTGCCATGGAAGCATAACAGAACTATTTCAAACATTTTGGAAACTGTCTAAATTCCCACCTAAAACTTGGACGGCCAATGCGAATGGAGTGTCTGCCGTGGGCTGGTTCCAGGTGAGCTCACCTGCAGGTGGAAAGTTGTCTTTCTGCGTGTATGACCTACCCTGCATCTGACTGGGGCACTTGTTACTCGGGCAGCCTGAATCTCCTGGTGGTGAGGAGGTCAGGTCATCCTGCTGCCGTGTTGTTTAACCCCAGAGCACAGGGGTGATAGTGATGATGTCAGCGGGGTTAGGTTTTCCGAGCAAGAAACTCTGCAGGTGTCTTGCAGGGGCTGTGGGGAGGTGGCTGGCGTAGGAGGGAAGGCACAGGGGATTCCTTAACAAGAGCTGCTTGTTCTTGAAACAAAGGTGGTCTTACCGGGGTATCTATAGCCCCACACCACGTTAGCTGAAGCTGACCTCTGTTGCTATGGACTCATCCTACCGGAAAACCAGATCAGACTCAGATGCTGGGTCCTTACTAACTGGTTACAGAGTCTTGGCCTGAGAAGCCAAGAGACCTTGGCGTTATCTCTTCCGATGTTTCCAGGGAGTGGAAGGGGGTTTCCTGAGGAAGGAACTCCCTGTGTAGCCACTGGGCTGGGGGCACTTAATCCCCAAGCCACGCTCTCCTGAGTGGGGCAGTGCATGTTCCTAACTCTGCTGCGTGGAATCCAAGGATGTCTCTCCAACCACGAGTGTGGGCTGCCTCTGCTGGTCTCAGTTCTCCCTTCTTCCAAAGGGCAATGGCAGGCTCTGCACAGGCATGCTTTTCTACACACGTGGCTGATGGGGCAGGCGAGGAACTTGAACCATCTAAGACAGTAACCTCAACAGGTTTAGAACTGAACATTTTAATTAGATGTCAGCTGGGATTGCTTCTGGCCATGAAGGGGGATTAAAGGCTCCTGCCTGCTGATAAACAAATGTGCGTTTAATACCAGAGTGGCAGTGAGATACCTGACTGAGCTTTGCCACGTGGATTTTTTCAAAACTTCATGAAAACACAGGCGCTTTTGGGATAACACTGCAGACCATGGAGATCATGCCCTCCCCTCATTCGGCAGATTAATGAGGCTACCTGGATTTGGGTCTCTCTAGAGTCATACATATGTTATAATTTTTCATTTAGTATTATAAGTTACAGCATTATAATTGGTAAATACCAATTTGAATATCGAGTCTGACTTAAGGTCATGGAAGTCCCCCGTCACCTAGAAAAATTGCCGTGTTCTATGATTGCAGCCGCCTCTGTGGAATGGTGTGTGGGGCGCTAGAATTATCCTCCCTGCTCGTAAATAGCTTTTTTTTTTTGGTCTACCAACGTGCCTGAGGCTCTTGTTATGGGAGAGCCTTTTCCTTCAGGGGGTGACATTGTTCTGGCCTCCTTAGCTTGAACCTGTTTCCTCCTGGATGCCTGTTGCTGACCTTGGCTGCCCTGGTCTACACACCTTCCCCATTTCCCAGGATCAGAGCTGGACGTGGAGGCAGATAGCACGGAGAAAGGACACTGTGAGGTCTCAGCAAAGACAGCCCTTGAGAGCTTCCCAGAGGTTGGGTTCCTGATGGGGATGGTGGCTACATTACTGTGTTCATTTGGCAATAATTCGTAGAGTTTTGTATATATATTATATATATATGTGTGTGTGCCTGTATATATATATATATATATATAGCTTGTTCACTTTCCATGCGTGTGTTATTTATTTTAAAATACTTTATTTATAGAGTAGTTTTAGTTTCACAGCAAAATTGAACGCTTCTTCTCTACACACTCCCTGCCTCACTCAGGCACAGCCTCCTCGTTAAACTGACATGGCACACTGGCGGGCGTGTCTGATCAAAAGCTGCTTGTGCCCCAGGGGCCGTGTTTTAGCTAGTCCTCAATGTGGTCCATTGTCCAAGCCCCACCTCTGGAGTCAAGTTCCACCTCCTACTTCACTGTTAATGAAAATAATAATTGAATCATCTTGAAAAAGAAATCTCCAAATGATCCAGTTACACTGTTTCTCATAGACATGCGCTTGGGTGCCTAATAGTCCTTGTAATAAGAGGGTTATTTTTCACACCTCGCTGAGACCTCCTGACCCACTGCTCCCTAGTGGGTAATGGAGAGGACGTGGGGAAAGAATGTGGGTCCCAGTCTTCTCATCACAGCCTCATCACCAGCTAGTCCTGTGAATTTGAGCAAATCCTAAATAATTTTGTATCACATTTGTCAGTCATGAGAAGGGAATAGCCATATGTAGCTCTGTGTTTCATTGGATGTATGAAAAAGTCAAATGAGAAAATCACACAAACATGAAGTATAATATGTAAACTATCATGTGGATTAAATGATACAGTGAGAGCTAATTAGGATCACCGTACCTGCATTAATGTAATGCTGCTGCTTCTTTTTTTTTTTTTTTTGAGATGGAGTCTCGCTCTGTCGTCCAGGCTAGAGTGGCGAGGTCTCTGCTCGCTGCAACCTCTGCCTCCTGGTTTCAAGCGATTCTCCTGCCTCAGCCTCCTGAGTAGCTGGGACTACAGGTGTGTGTGGTCTCAATCTCTTGACCTCGTGATCCGCCAACCTCGGCCTCCCCAAGTGCTGGGATTACAGGCGTGAACCGCTGTGCCTGGCCGCTTCTGCTTCTTAAGAGTGGTCTTAGATGACAGTCATAGCACTCACTGGTTATTTTAAGGAGAAGGAGAAGTTTAGAGGTGGGAGAGAGACAGCTGTGGCCTGTCACTGTCTCCGTCACCTCGGAAGTCACTGGAATCCTTAATTTCTTCTCTGAGAGATGACAGGCTGCCTATGGCGTGCCTAAATTCTTACTCAAGTTTCACAGTCTTAGTCAATCTTTTCAATCATGCGAGGTTGGATTTGCAGGTGAGATCAAGTCACAAAATGCAATTATACTTTGAGTCAAAATTTATTGGGACCAAATTCATGTTCCTCTTGGGAGGAGGTCTCACTTTCTCTAAAAGAATTTAGGGTAAAGTAATGACTTCCCTGCTTGCAGTGTCATAAAATTATACTGAAACGATCTTTCGGGATAGTGTCTGTTAGCTATTTATATTTGAGTCCTGTACTGGCAAATGTTTTGGATTTTATGACTTACATTTATTATTGTGTGGAGCCAAGTAGGTCCACATTCAGCAGTGCTTGTAAGTTATGTCCATGACCGGAAAAAATTATCGCAGAGGTCCTGTGCTTGCCAGGATTTAAGCAGATTAAGGAGTCCTCAGTCAGGTAGATGTCCATGAGCGAGGTGGTTAGATGAACGAAATGAAGTCATTCCAAAGCCAGAGGACTCACAGACATGTCTGTGGTCCCGTGTGTGCCTGTACTGTCAAAATGAAGGCCCGCGATAACCCAGGTTCCTGGGCTACCGTCAAGGGTTTTATTGTGCCTTTTAGGAGACCCTCAAAAGTCTCCTCTTGCCCTTCAATGCCTTCCTTGAGGCAATTAGCTATGGGGCTGAACATCCCCAGGTGGTCAAGATAACCTGAGAGGAACCAAATCTCATCGTGTGTAATGAGGGCTTCTTCCTTCTCTTCAGGGACATATGTCTTGGAGGAGTTCCCTATCAGTTTGTAGGACGAAAGAATGATGAGAGACATGGGAAGAGAACAGCTGATCGGATCCCGGTCCTCTTCCTCGAAGAATCCATGGAAGGCTCTCGAATGGCTGAATGTCAGGGGTGCTTCATCAGCCTCACTAAAGATGGAGGAGGAGAGGGGTCAAAGCGGGGCTCAGATGAAGCTAGGACAGTGTGGCAGAGCCCTGGGCTCCCTGCGGGGCATGGGGAAGCCTCTGAGGATGGCTGAACCTTGTGGGGAGGTGAGATTTCCACCCGCTGGTGTCCCTGCTCCCCTCCCCTGTATGACAGTGTGAGAGGGGAACCATAGCCGGCTCCTTAGCTTTCCACTGGTAAAATGATCACTAACTTGCCCTGTGGGTGATAATTTAACTCACATCTTAACCATACAGTTCCCTGATGCCTTAAATCAGTGGTCCCCAACCTTTTTGGCACCAGGAACCCGTGGAAGACAATGTTTCCACAGACAGGGTGAGGGGGATGGCTTCAGGTTGACTCAAGCACATTTACGTGTATTGGGCACTTTATTTCTATTATTATTATTACATTATAACATACATTGAAATAATTATGCAACTCACCATCACATAGAATCAGTGGGAGCCCTGAGCCTGTTTTCCTGTAACTAGAGGGTCGCGTCTCAGGCTGATGGAAGACAGTGGCAGGTCATCAGGCATTAGTTAGTTTCTCATAAGGAGCGTACAGCCCAGATCGCTCGCACGCACAGTTCACAATAGGGTTCGAGCTCCCATGAGAATCTAATGCCGCCCCTGATCTGACAGGAGGTGGAGCTCAGGCGGTCATGTGAGCAGTGGGGAGCAGCTGTAAATACAGGTGAAGCTTCGTTGGCTCACTTGCTGGACTGCCACTCACCTCCTGCTGTGTGTCTGGGTTCCTAACAGGCCACGGCGCGGGGGTTGAGGACCCCTGCTTTAAATATCATCACCATTTAATTCCTTTAAAAACATCCATGAAGCACGGACTCGAGCCAGCTATTGTTTTGTTTGCTGGGGCGTAAGCCCACAAACAAGCCCCGTCCCTGCTGCTGAGGAAGGCCGTGCATTTGTGTCGCCAGGAAGCAGAGTGGCTTCCTGCATGTGCGCGGCTGACCGTGACAGAGCCTGGCACAGATGTGGAGAGGGGAGAAGTACATCCCTCCAAGACACCCGGGAGGGCCTCCTGGAAGAGGGGCCCAGGGTGGCTCAGACTCCAAATGTGTGGGAAGTTGAATTGGAGGGAGAATTGCTGTCTAGGAGGAGAGCCTGAGCAAAGTCAAAGAATTGCGGGAAAATTTCCCAGAGATCATGGATAATTCAAGACTGAATTTTGTACCCCCACCTGGTTGGCGTCAGCTGCTGGTCTGTCAGCTATTCTTAGCAGAAAAAAAAAAATCCCAGACAATATTGTCTATATTTCTCAAAAAAGCCCTTGCGTTTTGAATGGATATTATTATATCACACCTTAAATTAACAGGGAACCATTTCAAATCCCCATTTGAAGTTTTACTTTACATCAAATTCTCACTAGACTGAAAGATCCCCGAGAGTGGGGAGACATTGTTTGCTTCTGTTTATAGAGGCTCAGTACAGTCCCTGGAACTTGACAAGTACTAGCTGTGCTGGCTGAATGGACGCACATACTTTATATGGCGTCTGGTGACTGTCTCTGACTTTGCAGGGTGTCATGTTTTCTCTACTTTGAAAGGGTTGGGTTTGATCAGTACTTTCTCAGTTTACTCAGGGAGTCACTTACACAGCACAGCCACCATGAATAGCGAGGATCAACTCTCCTTCCAAGATTTCCTGTCGCTGAAGACAGCACCGCATGGATGTATTCATCCTGTCCATGGACTATTGACTGATTCCTGTTTTCTCTTTTCTTTTCTTTTGAGATGGAGTCTCACTCTGTCTCCAGGGCTAGAGTGCAGTGCTGCGATCTCATCTCACTGCAGTCTCTGCCTCCCAGGTTCAAGTGATTTACCTGACTCAGCCTCCCGAGTAGCTGGGACTACAGGCGCCCACCACCACGTCCGGCTAATTTTTTTTATTTTTAGTAGAGATGGGGTTTCACCATGTTGGCTAGGCTGGTCTCGAACTCCTGACTTCAAGTGATCCACCCGCCTCAGCTTCCCAAAGTGCTGGGATTACAGGCCTGAGCCACCGTGCCTGGCCCTACTTTCTGTTTTCTATAGTCAAGTATGCATTAAGTAATCCTGATGCACCCATGTATCCTGAAAGCAGGTGTTTATCTTGCTTGGTTAATGCGAGAGTAGCATAAGGTAGACACCACAGGTCTGGTTCAGGGCTGCCACACATATTCTCTGTTCCCACGTCAAAGACTTCACTGACTTCCCTTGGTCAACCAGAGCATAAGTATGCTTTTTGCTAATGACAACAGATGAACAGGAGGTCATCAGCTGAGCAGAAATTATGGTGAGTGTGTTTCAAACCTGGGGCCCATGGCTTTGTAATCACTTAGGTTTTTAAATTATTTACGTTGTATTTCACCAATGTGCCCTCTTATAGCCCCTTTTTACTTTAAGTACAGTAGTTGGGAAACTAAGTGACTCATAAGAAACTGAAATTAAAATAGATTTGTATCAGGAGAAGCTGACAGTTTGGAGTTTGATAGTCGATAAAAACTTGAAAATTTCTTTCTTTTTATTTGGCCCTGGGGCATAAATTATTTATTGAGCTGACAAACTCAAGCTGATATACTACAAGAGCATTTCATCAATAATATCTCTTTTGCTTATCCAGTAAGTAACCTCAGTATTAAATAGAGAGGAAAAAAAATCACTTGGTGAAGATATCCACTCCCAAACAGCAATAGATGGAAAAGGTTATACATCCAGTTACGATTCAACTAAAGACTAATTGGACCGCTTTCATAAGAACAGATGAGACTTCCTAGCAAGGCAGACAATTGATCGTGCCCTGTAATTCCAGACAGTCCTTCTGTCAGAGATGCTGAGAAAGGTCCCACTGAGTCAGGACCTGCCACTGGAACCCTGCGCCTGGCAGGGAAGGGACCCCAGACGATGAAGGGCAGGGACTTGGGGTACTGACTTGGCTATGCAATGACCTAATTCTCTAAAAAAATGCAGATTTTGTCATGCCTTATGTCCTGAATCTGTGAGTATCTCTGTTCTATGTGATAGTGTAGACCGTAGATGCTAGAGGAGCAGCAAGTTGTTTAAACATTTTAAATAAAAAGATCAGGTAATAATATTAGGATCTCTTTAGAATTTAGCTAGAAATGAACAGATTTGAATCATCAATGCAAAAAGATCTCCCAATGAATATATTGAAAAATAGTATCATATTGCAATTAGGAGTAACTATTTTCCCACTTAAATAATTTTATTTTACCAGTTTTGTGTAACTTGAGGATAGTAAATCCTTTTTAATCTACATTTTAATGTCATTTTGAGGACCCAATACGATGCTAACAAGTGGTTCCACAATCTCAAACTTCCATGTGTGAAATGTTGTATGTGAGGATTTTATCCCTTCCCCAGCAATACTGACACTTTCCAGTAAAAAAAAAGATACTAATTTAGAATGTCTCTACTCTGTAAAATAAAAATAGGGAGAATATGTACTTTCGGCCGCCTTGAGAGGGAAGGAGCTCTTTCAGAATATTGTTCCTTCGAAGGTGACCCTCCTTGGTGAGGCTGGGCACGCCCAGGGACAGGGGATCTGTCTTTCCTGCACAGACATTCCCATCGCAGAGCAAATGCAAACATTGAGAGAAGCCACAAATGGTTTGTGTGTGTGCTGCTGCAGTGGAATGCACTGTCTTTATTTTAAAATTATTTTTAATTTTTGTGGGCACATTGGAGGTGTATATACTTATGCGGTACATGAGATGTTTTGATGCAGGCGTGAAAGATGAAATAAGCACATCGTGGAGAATGACGCTTCTATGCAATAATATGTGTCTGGATACTTGTCACAAGTATCCAGCCCTTCGAGCATTTATCCTTTGTGTAACAATCCAATTATACCGAGTTCTTTTAAAATGTACAATTAAGTTCTCACAAGTGCTTTTAATGAGTAAGAGATGATAAAGGCAACATGCTTTTACAGGTCCAAAATGACTGAAGTTGTGATTTGTAATGTGGCATTCCCTCTATTGTGTGTAAGGTCAACACCATTCTATTTTGAATAACAGAAACACTATTATTATTATTACCTTTATATGGCTCACCTTGATTTTTGGTCCTTCTACACTACTTTTTTCCTGTAGGTGATTACTTTTTGGCTGGGTGCAGTGGCTCACACCTGTAATCCCAGCACTTTGGGAGGCTAAGGCAGGCAGATCACCTGAGGTCAGGAGTTTGAGAACAGCCTGGCCAATATGGTGAAACCCTGTCTCTACTACAAATATAAAAATTAGCTGGGCGTGGTGGTGGGCATCTGTAATCCCAGCTACTCGGGAGACTGAGGCAGGAGAATCGCTTGAACTGGGGAAGCGGAGGTTGCAGTGAGCAGATAGCACCATTGCATTCTAGCCTGGGTAACAGAGTAAGACGCTGTCTAAAAAGAAATTTTTTTTTTTAACTTTTAAGCTCAGGGGTGCATGTGCAGGTTTGTTACATAGTTAAAATCACGTCATGAGAGTTTGTTGTACAGATTATTTCATAGCAGGTGTTGAGCCACTACCCAATAATTGTTTTTTTCTGATCCTCTCCCTCCTTCCACCCTCTACCCTCCAGAGGGGGACAACCCACACTGGGGCCCAGGGAGGGTGGTGGGCGGGAGGAGGGAGGAGGGAGGGGATGAGAAAAATAATGGTTACTAGGCTTTATACCTGAGGGCTGAAAGAATCTGCACAACAAACTCCCACGGTGCGAGTTTACCTATGAAACAAACCTGCACATGCACCCCTGACCTTAAAAGTTAAATAAGAAAACCAAAACAGCCACAACAGCAAACACTGTGTAAGTGAATATGAAGAGTGGAAATTCTTGACGCCTTTCCTCCTTGTGTACACGTGAGCCTGTGCCGAATCGCAGGGGTGGTTTCCGTGCTGTCCACTCGCCGTCCGCTTCAGTGTGTGAGGACTGGGAGCGTTATCAGTTGTAACCAGAGACAACACTCCCACAGGAGATATCACAGTGTCCCTTCCTATGAATAATACGTGTCTGTTTCTTGACGCTTCCTCTACTTTTGGACATTTGGGTGGTTCTTGGCATTTAATCATAAAAATGCTGAAGTAAATGTCCTTAGGTGTCAATTTTGCATACTACTTTATGACATTAGTATTTTCTTTTCTTTCTTTTTTTCCCCTCTCTTCCTTCCTTCCTTCCTTCCTTCCTTCCTTCCTTCCTTCCTTCCTTCCTTCCTTCCTTCCTTCCTTCCTTCCTTCCTTTTTTTTTTGACAGTGTCTCTCTCTGTTGCCCAGGCTGGAGTGCAGTGGTGTGACCTCGGCTCACTGCAACCTCTGCCTCCCAGGCTCTAGCAATGGAACTATAGGCACCACCATGCCCAGCTAACTTTTTGTATTTTTAGAAGAGACAGAGTCTTGCTATATTGCCCAGGCTGGTCTTGAACTCCCGGGCTCAAACGATCCGCCCCCCTCAGCCTCCCACAGTGTGAGCCACAACATCTGGCCGATATTAATATTTTCCTGCAGAAGTGGACTCACTGTTTATACATTCGTGGTGTTACCAGTGTGATAGTTTCGTATGGGCACATATACCCTATGTATACATAGGCATAGGTGCATCTTACTGGTTTTCCTTTCATCTTGTTTTGGGGTTTCCATAGGTTCAAACCCTTATAGTGGAGGCATTTGCATGCTTTATTTCAGGTAACCCTCCCAACAATCTTGTGAGGTAGACGTCACCGTCACCGCTGTGCCAGGGAGAAACTTCGGCTGGATTCAGGCCCAGAGCTGGGGCGTGGCAGAGCTGGGGTTCAGGCGGGGACCCCCGCACACAGCCTGCTCCTGTTTTCTGGGCTGCGTCCCCGGCGTGGTTAAGAGTCCTGGGCGGCTCATGCAACTGCACGGAGTGGCTGTGACTCCACGTAATAAACGAGGAGGCTCTGTAAAGCCCCCTTTTGTCCGAATACGAGGGCTTCGGCGATTCCTTTCAACAGTCCCGTGCATCTGAAGCTCATGCTGCTGCTGCTGATTTTGGAATCGCCCTTTTTGCCATTCACGTTTTCAAGACTTTTTACGTAGCAGTTCGAAGGCTTTTATTTAATTTGAGAATCATCAGTGAGCTCATCAATTCTGGAAATGGAAACATTCCCAGTGTGCTTCATGGATAAAAACCTGTGACTCTGAAGCCCTGTCTCAGGACTTTGTGGATTTTAACATCACTCATCAGCTCCGGCTTGCTGTTTAAAGTTTTTAAAAATATAAAGCAAAAGGTGTTTATTTAATTTGACATTAATGCACAAACTGATCAATTATGGAAATACAAACATTTCCAATGTATTTTATTGATAAGAATTTTAAGCAACTAAAAGCATCCCCTTGTATGTTTTTCATTCCAACCCACTTGCATGTTGTAATTAAGACCCCACCAAGTCACACAGACAACACGCAACCTAAAAAGACCTGATCTTTCCTACTCTTCCTTTCCTATGAAGTTTGAAAAAGTCAGAAGTTAAAAACTGTTCATTTGTCACCACGGCCTATTACCAGACACCATCCCAGTTACCCTGGGTTCCGTGGACTCAGTGGAAGTGGGGGTAAAGGATCCCGGGCATGCTCAGTCCTCCGTGGTGAGTGCCGGCAGTGATGAGATTTCCTCCTGTAATGGTCTGGGGGCTTCATCATGAGCTGCACCCGAACAGGGAAGGTGTCCCCACTGGAGGCAGTCTATTTTCCAACATCCCCAAAGACTACCAGTTGGGCATGGTTTGGTGGAGGCCGGGGGTTAGGACAAGCCTTCATCCAGTGTCCAGTGTTGCCACATGGGAAACAGACTCCCGGAGAGGTGGGGGAGTTTTCTTTCGGGTTATTGGGAGGCTTTTGTGTAACTGACTTTTGGACAGCAGAGGCCAGCATCTGGTATTTTAAATGGTGTTCTAGTTTGAGAGCAGTGAGGAGTGGTTGTCTTGGAGAGGTTGATGTAATTAGGAAAGTTATATTGAAAGAAACAAGCAAAAGGAGAAAAAAGTTATTTGTGTAGGAGTAAACTCCTGGAAAGTTCCCTGAAATCATAGGTCTCATAGTGCAGGGAGGAGGTCATCAGGACGTGTAATGGAAGTTTCATAAGGGTACCACCGAAGGTCTGTGACAAGGTTGGCTAGGAAACAATGAACGTCTGGAAGAAAAAGAGACATAAGTGGCTTATGTAGATTTCTCTTCCTTTTCCTCTGGGATTTGGATGGCGTGAAGGGAAGTGGGTCCCTTCCCTAGGATGAAAAAAACGCCTTTTTGGCGTTTGATGCTTACAGAGAGTAAGCAGCAAAGGCGCGTGTCGTGACACTTGCGGAGGCTGCAGTCCATGCTCCTTCCCCGCTTCCATGTGCTCTGCTCCAGAAACAAAGCGAGTTATGTGCTGACTCACAGATTCCTAGAAAATCCACTTGCTTTCCAGGGAAGAGCTGGGAGTGAGGAGACAGAGACAATGGTGTTTTTCCCACACCTGCCTGGGTTGCAGCTGGGATGGGCAGTGAGGCAGCTTCGGGGGGAACTCGCTTCTGTTTTCTCTTTTTAAATAAAACAGGGGCTGGATTTGATAAAGTCTGACACTGCTTTCTACTCTGTGGTTTCCTAATTCTGTTGTTCTTTATTTTCACAGACCATGACCTGGAACTTCTGAACGAACCTACTGTGAATTTTCTAAACCGTTGGCTGCTCTTGTTATTGTTAAATAGTGGAGGCATTTGGTGTAATCTTTTTCAATCCACATCCATTCCCCCAAACCAGAACAATGTTAGGCACGTAAAAGACACTCAGACATTTGGCGGGTGAGTGAGTGAGCCGAGGCCATCCTTGGCTTTGTTGCAGGACAGCCTTCCTTGTCGGCCTGCTGCTGGCTCTGCTGGTGTGGGCGTCAACTTGTGACGAGGACCTTCTTATGTGTGAGTTTGGGAGCTGGGCAGGTGCCTTCTCTAGGCTGGCTGCCTTCCTTTTATGAGAGAGCACTTTCTATAGATTATCACATATTTTTATATAGCCTACATCTTGTGCAGCTGAATTGAGGCAGCCTGGAGTGGCAGAAATAATTGTGGAGCCAGGAGGACTGGATGTCAGCATCAACTGTGACATTGATCCGTTGTGTGGTTTGGGGACACGTGCCTTGTGTCTCTGGGTCGTGTCCTCTCCAGCTTTAATGTGAGGGGATTGGGTGACACAGTCTCTGAGTTTCCTGCCCACTCTAAAAGTCTGTCTTCTTAATTCATTCTTGCATGTGAGGAAGAAATTCAGAGGTTATCAGGGGGACACGTGGGGAAGTGATGGCACCCGGCGAGGTTATCAGGGGGACACGTGGGGGAAGTGATGGCACCCGGCGAGGTTATCAGGGGGACACGTGGGGAAGTGATGGCACCGGCGAGGTTATCAGGGGGACACGTGGGGAAGTGATGGCACCCGGCGAGGTTATCAGGGGGACACGTGGGGGAAGTGATGGCACCCGGCGAGGTTATCAGGGGGACACGTGGGGAAGTGATGGCACCGGGTGAGGTTATCAGGGGGACATGTGGGGAAGTGACGGCACCCGGCGAGGTTATCAGGGGGACACGTGGGGAACTGATGGCACCCGGCGAGGTTATCAGGGGGACACGTGGGGAAGTGATGGCACCGGGCGTCGGCCATGGCTTTGGGCATCACGTGGCCACAGCTGCAGCCTGAGAAGTGGGGGTGCCGGCATCCGGCAGGGGCGGCTCTGCAAGCTGTGGCTCCGGGTTGGGGAGGCAAAGTGCTCCCGGCCTCCTGGGAGATTCGGAACATCTGCGTCGTCTTCATACTCCATTCCAGAGGAGTTGCCATCTTGCTGGGTCATGACACACACACACACACACACACACACACACACACACACACTCTCTCTCTTACTTTATGCTGACTCAGGTGTTGGTCACAGGCTTTCCCATTCACATCTTCTCATTTGAGGGCCCAAGTTCCTGTGGGTCCACGCTCAGTCCTGCCGGTTCTCTGCCTCCACCTTGCACCTGCCCAGGTGGCCTCTGAGCATTTGGAGGGGTGCATGCAAGGTGCCCTGTCCTGGGTAAAGTGGCTGTGGCTCTCTGGGGCACCCAGTGGATTCCAGCTGGTTTTGGCAGTGGTGTGGCTTGTCTATCCTGGACTGGAGGTGTGCACAGTGGACCCCAGCCCAGGAAGGGGAACTGGGGAACCTGTGGACTTGGCCATCTGCTTCTGCCTCCTAAATGACCCCGTCTTCTCCAGGAGTGGACGGGAGCTGGCAGCAGGTGTCCTCATCCATGCAAAGCCATGGGCAGTTGTGCCCTGATACCTCCTTGGAGAGGAGCAGGGGAGGATGAAGGATGCTCTGTGTGTAGCCCATGCCTGAGACTAAAACAGGTAGAAATCTCACTGAAACCCGAGGAGTCAGATGCCAGGAATTGGTGTCCTCTGTGTTTTCCTTTGTATCGCATGGAGGCGTGGACTCAAGAGGAGGATGAGCCTCGAGCACTGTGGGTGTGGGTGTGGACGAGTCTCCTGCCAATGAAATAGTTGCGCAATCGCAGAGCAAGGGAGACAGGAACGTCAGGGCCAAACATTTCCTCCTGCCAATTTTGGTTTCATGTTCCTCTAAACGCCTTCTTCTCTTTCCCAGGAGCCTCTTTGAAAACTCTGTAAGTCACACATGAGCTTGTTTTGCTGAGAAGGGCACCAAGACCAGCAAGTCTCCTTTATTCATGCAACCAACGTGTTCCGATCCACCCCATCAGGGTCCGTGCTGAGTCCGAGGAAGACACAAAAGTTCAGTCGCTCCCTGTTCTGCCTTTGTGGCTTCACAGAGGAGAATCATGTCACAGTGTGTTGGTGAAAATGAGATGATGTGGGGACACTTTTCTGTCTGAGTCAAATTGCTTAACACCATATATGCAATTCGTGTCTAGTTTTCTCTGCTTTTAAAGGACCACTTTAGAATCTTATGACAACGATGTGTAACCCAGTTCATCGTCACCCTTTGTGGATGGCGATGAGGGCTGGTTTGTTGAAGTGGTAGGGTTGCGACCCAGGTCTCCAAACTCTAGGTTTCTGTGTTTCCCTCCCCAGTCCGTGAAACCCCTCATGCCTGTCGGCTGGGGGAAGATGCCAGTGGCCTCTCCAGAACATCTGAAGGCCAACCTGAGTGGCGCTGGACTCTGTCATCAGAGCAGCCCACAGAGGGCCAGCACGGCTCTTCCACGTGAGATGCCTTGGCTGATCACCACTTCTAGGTTAGCTCAGGACACATGATCACCTAAACCGAGTGCACAGGAGCTGTGGGGAGGTGGACGCAGGCCTTTCCTCTGCGAGGGAGCTGATGGGGACACGCGATCACCTAGACGGAGTGCGCGGGGGCTGTGGGGAGGTGGATGCGGGCCTTTCCTCTGAGAGGGAGCTGATGGTTTTGTGCAGCAGTCACATGTCACTGACCCCACTCCAGATAATGCCACTGCTACGTTCTATTTTAAATACCTTTCCTGTCTTTACCAGAGTTGATTTATGCATATGCATATGTATCCCTATTTCACATCTTACTCTTTACACATTCACAGACTACTCATGTTGGAGGGGCTCCTAGAGACTGAAGTAGTATTTGGGCTCCCATCTGTCTTTCTGCCTGTCCTTCTTTTTTTCCTTTTTCTACAGGTGGGAAACACCCCTTTCCTGACTCCCTGATTCTGAACTGGGCTGTCCATCAACAATGCAAGGTCTGAGTTCCAGGGGTCCGGTGGGCAGGCCACATCGTGCATGTGGTGTGAGGGCCTGAAGGTGCTTCCACAAGACGGATACTCAGAGTCATTTTACTCTGGTTGAAGGTATCTGCGAGGAACAGGGATTACATCCACCTGAGCAGAGTCCAGTGGGCAGCAAGTCTCACTGATACCTTACAGGAGGGACCCCAGGCCTGGGAATGATCGCTGTGTTCAGGGCACTGTGCCACTTGTCTGGGCACTGAGAACACAGCGCAGGTCCCGTGACTCCCATGCGTGATGACAGGGATGTGTAAAGTAACCCGGGAAGCTTGTCAGGTGTAGAGCTGAATTTCACACACACAGAGCATCTACTTTACCACGTTCTCTGATGTGTGACATCATCGGTCTCTGCATGAGTCCTGTGAGGGGCCGAAATTTGGATCCTTGACATATTAACTGTTATTGAATAGGCTGTAAGTGAATCTCATACTTCATTTATGCTTTTAATGTTTCTTTAGTTAGATTCTAAATGCATTTTGCTTTCTCCTGCGCTCTTCCCTGAGACCAGAAAAATTGCCTGTTTTCAATTCTCTGATAAGTGAGTCTTCCCCCATAATGAACTAACAAATATCTTCATTAGTGCTTCTCATTTCCACTTGCAGTTTGCTCAAAATTAAGCAATGCAGTGCTTCTGCAGATGTGCTTTCTAAGCATCTAAAATAGAGACATATAGGAATCAAATTTCCATTTCCCTACAGATTATCTGATTACATAGGATCAAACGCAGCCACTCTCAATGATCCATGCTAATGGGAGCAGGGGTGGCTTGGGAAAATGAAAGCCATTGAGCTCAGAAGCTCTCTTCCCCCATTTATTTCAGCCTTCCCACCCAGCCAGCATTTGACAAGCACCACTAACAAGCAGTGAAATTGACTGGCTGATTCCATCTCTCCATCCTTTCAAACTCGTGCTAATGAGCAGGCGAATCACAAACAGGGAAAAGAGGGAAGAGGCAGGATGCTCGGATAATCCCCCAACTGGAACACCCCTTCTGCAATCATTGCAATCATGTGGACATGCACCAGCTGGATTTAAAATCGATTAGAAGGATTGACACCAAAAGGTGCGTTTGGGAGTGGCGTTGGGATGAAGACGGCCTGCTTATTATTATTTTTCTTTCCACAAAATCTCTCTCATTACACGGCAAACACATCGCACTAAACTGGCCATATCTCGGCACCACTGTGTCTGGAAGTCTCACCCTTTAATGCCTTGTTTTGTCTGGTGGCGAGGATTTTCCTCTCCCTCTCGTTGAAATGTTTCTTCTGCCCGTGCTTCTGTAAAATATATATGTGTATATATAGATAATAATAGTCATAATCATAATAATTATTATTATTTTTGAGACGGAGTCTTGCTCTGTCTCCCAGGCTGGAGTGCAGTGGTGCGATCTCGGCTCACTGCAAGCTCCGCCTCCCGGGTTCACGCCATTCTCCTGCCTCAGCCTCCCGAGTAGCTGGGTCCACAGGTGCCCGCCACCACGCCCGGCTATTTTTTTGTATTTTTAGTAGAGACGGGGTTTCACCGTGTTAGCCAGGATGGTCTCGATCTCCTGACCTCATGATCCGCCTGCCTTGGCCTCCGAAAGTGCTGGGATTACAGTGGTGAGCCACCGTGCCTAGTCGCTTCTGCAGTATTTTAATGTAGGATCTTTTCCTTCTAAACTGTGCACCCTAAATATACTTGGTTTCAAAACTCTGTATTTTCATTCTTGGCCTTTTCTTGTGTCTATTTCAGCACTGTGTTAACATTTCCATGTATCTTGTTTCAAGTTGAAGTAAGATTTATCTCTGCTTTAAAAATTTAAATGTAAAAATAGTAGTGGGTTTTTAAATGTAATTTAAATTTAAAATTCAGATTTTCTTATTCTGTTTTTGGCGTGGTATGTGCTATGAGAGAGAAATCAGTAAGTAAGAAGACAGTCATGATCATCAAAAACTACAGAGGGAGAGAATAAATGCCAAGACAGAAATGGGGTTATTGTTGAAGTTTTTTTTTCTTTTCTTTTTTGGTACGGAGTTTCACTCTTGTTGCCCAGGGTGGAGTGCAGTGGTGCCATCTCAGCTCACTGCAACCTCTGCCTCCCGGGTTCAAGCAATTCTCCTGCCTCAGCCTCTCAAGTAGCCGGGATTGCAGGCATGTGCCACCACACCCGGCTAATTTTTGTATTTTTAGTAAAGACAGGGTTTCACCATGTTCATCAGGCTGGTCTCGAACTCCTGACTTCGGGTGATCTGCCCACCTCAGCCTCTCAAAGTGCTGGGATTACAGGTGTGAGCCACTGCGCCCAGCCTATTGTTGAAATTCTGTATGCAGAACCCAAAAGTCCTCACTTTATTGGTCACATAGCAGACTGCTGGGACTGCACTAGGTTATCACATACATGATCTCATTTAGTTTCCACAGTAACCCAGAAAGTACATGACATTTCAATCCCCATTTCATTGATAAGGAAAAGGCAGCTTTGAGAAGTTCAGTAACTTCCCCAGGGTCTCTTCAGTAGTAAATTCCGCAATCTGATTCCATAAAGGGTGATGACCCTCTGTACTGTTATTTTTTCCTTCTCATTCAAATGTCATGAGAAGGATAGAAAGTGTGAGGGCAAAACCAGCTTTTCAAAAAAGACTTAAAATGTACTTTTTTACATGAGGGAGGCCTAAGTGCTCATGCAGACCTCTTAATGAGTCAGTCAAGAGGATGAGGACAAAGAGACAGGGAGAGGAAGGGGCTTTCGTAGTAAGTTTCTTAAAAAGAAATATGGAGGTGGAGGCGTGACCAGGGGCAGGTGGGGTCGCCAGGTGGTGGCTCAGATGCAGAGGACATGGAGGCATCCTGAGGTGGATGACAAGGCGTGGAGGGATGCGATGCACCAGAATGCCTCCATGTCCTCTGCACCTGAGCCACACGCTGGAAAGGATGGAGAGAAGATGGAATCAGCCAGTCCGTTCATGTCCTCTGCACCTGAGCCAGATGCTGGAAAGGATGGAGAGAAGATGGAATCAGCCAGTCCGTTCATGTCCTCTGCACCTGAGCCAGAGGCTGGAAAGGATGGAGAGAAGATGGAATCAGCCAGTCCGTTCATGTCCTCTGCACCTGAGCCAGACGCTGGAAAGGATGGAGAGAAGATGGAATCAGCCAGTCCGTTCATGTCCTGTGCACCTGAGCCATACGCTGGAAAGGATGGGGAGAAGATGGAATCAGCCAGTCGGTTCATGTCCTCCGCACCTGAGCCGTATGCTGGAAAGGTTGGAGAGAAGATGGAATCAGCCAGTCGGTTCATGTCCTCCGCACCTGAGCCGTACGCTGGAAAGGATGGAGAGAAGATGGAATCAGCCAGTCCGTTTTGCTGCTTGTTAGTGGTGCTTGTCAAATGCTTGCAGGGTGGAAAGGTTGAAATAAATGGGGGAAGAAAGCTTCTGAGCTCACTGGATTTCATTTTCCCAAGTTATTTATATTCCCACTAGCAGGAGTAATCAAGAGTGGCTGCATTTGTTCCTGCAAGGCATTAATACAATGTTCTTATACCTGTAATAGCAGGTGGAGAGTTTAGAGTGTCTGCTTCTAAGAATCTGAGGAGTGTCTTTTTTGTGATTAGTATGAGCCAAATAGTTCTAGTTGACTTAAGAATATGTTAATGTATCATCTTGATAAAATATTTAATTTGAAAGAAGAGAAATAACGGCAGCTAACTTTTGGCTAAAGTGGTGATCAGGGAAGCGCATCTTGGAAACAATGATTTATACTAAAGTGTTTATTCCAGAAACTCAAAGATAAGTGTCAGGTGGATTTTTGGATTCTTCAGTATACTATCCCGGGTGTGATGAGGAGCACATATAAGGAAATAGAATGGATAAAGAAGAAAAGTGTAGGAATAAAGAGCTAAGGGAATGGGGAAGTTTCAACATCATGGGACTATTGAACTGTAATTCAGAAGACACAGTCAAATAAAACTACAAGTAGAAGCTCGGAGAAAAAGCTGCTGCCTTCTCAGCTGCTACGAGGTGAGGAGTCAGGGATGGGGATTCAATGGACATGTGAATGGCCGTCGTCTCTGTCACCTGGGTGGAAGTTCATAGCATGTCTCTGGTTCTCCATGTGGGGGTCACGCCCTCCACTTTCTCAAGCTATGAGTCACAAGCAATGGCCCATGCTGTGTAGCTCCATTTCTAACCCGGAAGCTTCTGGAACGGAACTGTTCACCTACCATTTTCATATGATGGGATACATTGAAAGGTTTTGGCCGACAGAAGAATTAGCTCAACGCTGTAGTTTGCATAAAGAGCTGCCCTGCACTGTGTTCACAGAGAAGCACTGCTCTTGCACTTTCCTCATGGTGTTTGGTGTTTGCACATGAGACTTAGCTCATGTGGCTAAGCCCATGGGTTTCCAGGCGAAAGAAAAGGCTTATAACTAGCAAGGTGTCCCTAGGGTCTCAAGTGAGGGAGACAGAGCAGAGGGGACTTCTGAAGGCCTGAGGCACCCCTGACTGCTGCATGGTAAAATTTCTAGGGTGAAGCCAGTTTTCCTTTCTGCACAGTGGTCACTGGGGGCAATGAAACCGGATCATCGGGAAGGGATCTGGTCTTCTCTCTGTGTAAATGCTCGTGTAGATGAGATTGAGACTACACTCCTCTCAGTTGTCTGGCCTTTTTGTGCAGCTTGCATTTTCAAAGACTCACTGAAAAAAATAAGAGGCAACGGACTTTGACTTGCTCCCTTCAGTGGTACTTGGTGCAAGTTATAACAACCTGACATATGAATCTAGAGGTTTACAGATGGAGAGTCACTGTTATTTGTCTCTACAAAATTATTTCTTTATCCAGGTCTGCTACTTTATCTGCAAATACATTTAATAATGTTGGCTTGTACTGTTCTTTTTTTTTTTTTTTGACAGAGTCTTGCTCTGTCTCCCAGTCACCCAGGCTGGTGTGCAGTGGTGTGATCTCTGCTCACTGCAGCCTTCACCTCCTGGGTTCAAGTGATTCTCCTGCTTGTATTGTTCTTGTTTTAGCCATTTCATTCACCCCCAAACTGTAGAGTAAATGAATGTTTTCACATAATAGGCATTTAATGAGTGCCTGTTGTATTCCACAGCACTGATTTGACTGACACGTTGCTTTGTTTCGAGACACTAGCACGTGGGTTTTGGAGTCAGACTGATGGTCACCTCTTGGCTTGGCCCTAGTCGGTAGTTTATGCTGGGCAGTTTATTTACTCTTGTGAGCCTCATTTTCCTCACCTGAAACAAAGCAATTATAACAGTTGTGTAATGTATTCGTCTGTTCTCACACTACCTGAGACTGGGTAATTTATGAAGAAAAAAGTTTTAATTGATTCACAGTTACGCTTCAGAACAGCCCATATAAGCTTTACAGCCCAACAGTTTGCTGTGGACTATAATTCTATTGGCTGTTCTGAAGTCGGGGGTGTGTGTGCCATCTAAGTCAAAAGTTTTAATGTGCAAAAGTTGTTCACACCCAGGTTATGGAAAGATAGGAAAGAAAGCTAATGAATTTCATCCTGTGCGGTGGTGTGGTAGCTTAGCCCTCTGGTCCAGGCTGCCTGTTCCCCAGCGTTCCGCAGTATGGGAGCTCTGATCCCAGCTGAGGCCACAATCACACGAGATGTGATTTTGAAAACTCACCATGTTCCCTCCAGATCACACCACTGTTCATTCAGCCCCGCCCCCACGGCCCACAGGGGTGGCTGCATTTCAAATGGCATTATTAAAAAAACTAGACACCTATTTAATTACTTTAAATTCAGTGTTCCCAGTACACGTTCTGGAATTAAACACATCCTGAGACGGGCATTTTTTGCACCTATAAATCAGGTGGATGTCTGGAGATGATTAGTTCTGTTATGCCGCATTGTAGGTAGGAAGTCATTTGCTTCTTTTGTTGTTTCTGATCCATGTTTATCATTCTCTCCAAGTTGAAGTTATTTATCCAAACAGTGCAAGTAAAGAAGTGGGAGGAAGGGAGATTAAAATAAGAAGGATGTTCCTTGCTTTAAAAATGCGGCACTGAGAAAACATCTCAGGAGATGAAGTGGAGCTGCAGAAAGCCTGGGAGGAGGAGGGGCGGATTAGAGCTCCTGGCTGGGGTGGAGAATTTAATGTCTGTTTGTAAACGATGCAGGTTCTAAAAATGATCATTAGCAAGCAATGGTGCTGAAAGGACAAGTAAAAAAGTACCCCCAAATAATATTCATTTAGACAGACCTGAGAACACTGCAGGCCCCCATAGGACAGGGCTTGGTTAAGACTTCAAATGTGAATCGAGGCATGCTTTTAAGATAGTCAACATGGTGGCTTTAGAGATAAGATGGCAACAGCCTTTTTCTTTTTTTCTTTTTTTTTCTTTTTTGAGATGGAGTCTTACTCTGTCACCCAGACTGGAGTGCAGTGGCGCGATCTCGGCTCACTGCAACCTCCACCTCCCAGGTTCAAGCGATTCTCCTGCCTCAGCCTCCTGAGTAGCTGGGACTACAGGCACCTGCCACCATGCCCAGCTAATTTTTGTATTTTTAGTAGAGATGGGGTTTCGCTATGTTGGCCAGGCTTGTCTCTAACTCCTGGCCTCAGGTGATCTGCCTGCCTTGGCCTCCTAAAGTGCTGGGATTACAGGCATGAGCCACCACACCTGGCCAGCAGGCTTTTGACTGAAGCAAAGATTGGAGACTCTGCCAGTTACAGGAGCTGCCATACTCATATCCTTCTTCACAATGCAAATAATTCATAATAGTAGGCCACGTGTCTGCTGTGTTCTTTAATAAATGACTAATGTTTCCTTTACTTATTCTTATGAAAACCATTCCAATTTGCTGATATATTGTAACTTGTGAGGACTGAAGGAGACAATATTGGTCAAACAACAGGACCTTGCCAGGTGAACAGTAGGTCTCGCTTGCTGCCGGGGCCATCAGCTCTGTCTGGGCTCCTTCAGAGGCAGCAACAAATGCAGTAGTCCTCACTCCTTCCTTCCTTCCTTTCCTTCCCCCTCCCTTCCCCCTCCCTTCCCCCTCCCTTCCCCCTCCCTTCCCCCTCCCTCCCTCCTTCCTTCTTTTCTTCCTTCCTCTTTCCTCCCTCCTTTCCTTCCTTCCTTCCTTCCACCTGTGAAGTCTGATTGAGATAAGCCACAAGCAGGCAAAGCCCATATTTATTCATTTCTGTATTTATAATGTCTGAGCCAAGCCAGGCACTTGATATACGTTTTTGAATGAATTAATGAGTAACTGATCCTAATTAATAGAAAGCAACCCCAGACACACACACACACACACACACACACACACACACACACACAGTATATATATGTATATATGCACATAATGTATATTATATAAATATATGTTATGTGTGTATATTATGCATATTTGTGTATATGTATATATTACTCTATACAAGTCATGGTCAAGTAACAAGGTACAGTGATTAAGAGTTTGGCTGTAGAGTTTGACAAACTGCTAATTAAATCCTCATCTGTGGCTTTTTAACCCTGTTTCCTCAAACAAGTTACCTTAATACCAGCTCCTTCATTATAAAACAGGGGCAATAATTGTCTCTTGTTTATGAAAGCATATCCACCTCCTAACAGCATGCTTATTTTCCATATTTACCCATGTGCCTGTCTTTCCTCCAACCTTCTAGCCTTTGAGCCCCATGAAGGCAGTACTACGTGTGCTCATTATTTTATTACTGGCACTTAGAACAGAGTTAGGAACTTGGTAATTATTTGTGGAATAAAAGACCACTTAAGGTTGTAGTCAGGTATTTAACAAAGTGCCTGATGTATAGCAAACACTTATCTAATTAAAGTTCAAATTTACTATTATCATGATTAAGAGGTACCATACATCTGGGATACAGAGCAGTGCAGAGAAGGACTTTTATAGATTTTATCACACACAGAAAGTTGAAGGAGGTTGAACTTCAACTGTGGATAAGACTTGAATTAATAGATGAATGGGATTTGTTTGTAATTAACATATTAATTGCTTTTATGTAAAACAGAACTTTTAAAGTGTTTGAAAAGCATTTGCTTTCTTACCTGGAAGTTTGGCCATTGTTTCTGCCATCTTATAATTATTGTTAACTGAATTGCTAAGAAACCATTTTTTCTGTTAAAAATCCTTAGATATTTAAAGGAAAAGTTGCCTGATGTTCTTTCAATTCCTCCACATTATGAAGACTGATTCCAGTTTAAGGAGAATTCTAGGTAAGAAAAATAATTCAATTTTTAATTTTAGACAAGACTATTTCTGAAAAAATCTCTCAGTTCTTAGGTTATATTACCAGTTACACTGTACTGTAATGCGTAGAGTTTAGACTTCATGTAGAGTTTAGACTTCATACACTAATTTCTGATGGGAAGAAGAGGATGACAGCCCTTTAGGGGAAATGAATGATAACATCACTGAGGTTTTCATTAATTTTTAATGAGGCTTGTACATTTCACTCAGAGAGTTAAGCATCACCCAACTCTGGTAAATGTTATACCTCATACACGTCATTCAATCACCTGAGTTTTAAGAGCAAGTTACTATTTTTCATTGTGCACTCTGAAAAATATCTTCTATACAGGGAACAATTAAAACAGTAGGACTATATTAATTATTTGGCTACTTAAAAATGACTCAATTATAATAACAATTTGCTACATGATATATTATACATAGTTCCTATTTTTATTAAAAAACAAGTTACTCCAGCAATTATATGATGAAACTAACCTGTTTATATTTGAGCTGAACATCTTTGGGTGTTTGTTGTTTTGTGCATTTTCTTTAATTCATTTTCTTTTCTTAATTGACATTTTACAACCTGTTTCCTAGATTTCATATTAACTGGTGTTGAATCTGAATCATTTGGTTGATACAGTAAGCAATTTCTTTAATATATTGGAGACATAAAAGATACAGTAGAAGTTTTATAAATTTTTAATTAAAAAATTATTCTACTGTACAAAAGTCCCTTCCAGGCACCAGTCTCTTCAAAGACACACCCGGCTTGTGAAGAGGCTGTGTCCATGCCAGTGGGGCTAAAGATAGGTTCTGGTAGTTTCCTAGAACAGCTGTGTGGCATGCATCGTTCCCAGCTCTGATTTTATTAGGATAAAACTCCCAGGTTTCTGTTGCTGAAAAGTCCTGGAA
Source organism: Homo sapiens (assembly GCF_000001405.40). Lineage (NCBI taxonomy): Eukaryota > Metazoa > Chordata > Mammalia > Primates > Hominidae > Homo > Homo sapiens. The sequence goes on from NT_187576.1 coordinate 376,691, forward strand.
AAGCCCTGAGGCCTCTGACACCGGCCTCTCACGGTGGCTTTCCTGCAGTGGAGGCTGCAGGGTCGTACTTCTGAGTGACGGGGTCCTCAGCAAGCTACTGATAGAGCTGACCCAGCTGGGAAAACCCCACCCCCACTTGCTTTCCATCAGCAGAGCTGGGAGGCGGTTGTAGAGACAGGACGTGGGGCCTGGGGCTAAGGGCCTGGCTGGGGGTGGATGGGGCCCTGCACCTGTGCCTGGCCCCGCTGCCAGAGCGCTCAGGGGTCAGCCCCGCTGACAGCTCATCCACAGAAGAACTGTGATCTGGAGACACATACTTGAATCTGATTCAGTACGTGGATTCAGACATCAGAATCAGAATCTTGGTGTACTTGAAAACGGCCCCGAGGTAGAGGGCAGCCAGGAGCATGTGGATTCTGGCCACGGCCATGAGCCAGCATACTGAGGAGTTCAGGTGGGTGGGCCGGGCTTTCTCAGCTTTACTGTCCTCATCTGCAAAATTAATCGGTTTGATTACATCTGGAATGTTCAGTCTGCTCCAGTGAGTCCTAGAGTTTCTGAAGAGCCCTCTTTGAGTCTTTCCTGGATGGGTAACCATGGTGAGGAGCGTGGTCTCGGTCGTCCAAGCCCCGACTCAACCAGAGCAAATGTGGATTCATGGCTTTCCCGTGTGCTTCTGAGTAAATTCTGATTTGACAAAGATAACCTGCTGCTGAGAAGAATAAAGGATCTGAAAAGTTACCGTACAGCGTGAGTCTCTGACTGAGCCCTCTCAGGATGATCAGCGCTGGCTTCCTCTCTTGCTGCCTCTTTATGTAAGACATGCCATCTCAGACGTGGGGACGGCACCCCTGGACCAAGTCCCCATGCCTCCACGGAGTCAAAACACAGACCTTTCCTGCTGCACACTCACTTAGGAGCACCAATAATCCAGAAGCACTTCCAGAAATAAAGGTGGAAAATGATTCTAGACAGTGCTTCATATTCTATAGCTTGAAATTTCTTAAAAGAGGCAATAACACTTACCAATTTGTAAAATATGGAAAAAAATTCCATTTCATAAAAATGATATTAGTGTAACACTGACAATGGCGATGACACAGTCACAAATCACCCCTGTCCCATCAGAACTATTCCCTTTCTGCTTCAGGCTTTTTGAAGGTGTTATAAAAATAAACATTTAAATAAAACAAGATTAAATTCCTGCAGGAAAAGACCATTACTTTTAATGAGATTCCTTGAAATGAAGAACTATAGCTTAATTGATTAAAAAAGATTAATAGGTAATTATTTGCTTAGGAACAAAAATAATCAAAATAAAAAACACCTGCAGTTGCTCATCAAGAGCAGGAATCCAGAGAGAGAAAATTTTCACCCTGGCTTTAGTCTTATAAAGGTGCTCATTCTCGCATTGGACCAAAACGTCGAGAGACATGGATCTGAGTCCTGGTTTTGTAATTATTTCTCTTGTGACTGCAGGAATCTTCCTTCAACTTTCTGGTCCTGAAAGACCAGGTCCATAAAACGATGTGGTTGGAGCAGATAATCTGCAGCAGCTCTGGTGTGCCTGAAACTGTCAGCAGTTAAACCGCTCCTGTTCCTTTTTGAGATCTTAATCAGAAATGAATATGCATCAAAGACACCCCAGAGCGAGACCCTCTTCCGTGTTATTTCTACTGAATGAGAGGCAGGAACTGCATCAGTGTTTTGGTATGTACTTTTCACGTAGTGTTTTTGATGGTAATCCTGGTGGAAAAACACAGTAACCCTTCTTCCCTTAACTTACAGCATGTCGTGAACTATGGCCATGAGACTAGAGTCCCCAGGATGACACTCCACCATCTGACTCATGCTGAGGGCTCACACTGGCCCCTGATATTATTTCTGAAGCCCTAACACTGAACGTAAAAACCTGGGAGAGAACTGTACGGAAGGACCCCAGGATCCTGATAGCCCCCATGGAACAGGGCTTCGTGGATTCAGGCGTCAGAATCAAGCCTAGAGAGAGGAGATGTTTACCGCTCATGGCAGAGTGAGGCCTCGCGGTGAATGGAAAGCATGGCTGGGCACAGGGGTGGTCCTGATGGAGGGGCCAGAGGCTGATGATGGCGTGGAGGCCCTGACACAGGGCAGCCCCGCCAGCCTCTGCATGGCCGGGGGAGTTACACCCTTGAGGACGGGTTCCAGGAATAAGATGTGTGATATGCAGAAGACAACAGGGCCTTTGTGTGGAAAGGCATCCGTGAATTAACACCAATGGCGGAGAGCAGGCAGTAGGGAAGCGGCCGCGGTGGGCGCTGTTCCGCACCCCGTGTGGTCTGGCTTGCACGGCCAGGGCAGCCCAGGCGTCGGCCTCCTGTTTCTCTCCTGCCATGATCCTCTTTCTACCCCCAAAGCTCTTACCTGGCCCCTGTATCCAAGCCTTCCTCGGGTACTGCCCTGGCCAGGAGAGAAGAAAGCACCCAGCCTCCTGGTCAGTGTTCCGCTGAAGCATTGTATGAGTCCGGGTTCTCTAGAGGGACAGGACTAATGGGATAGGTGTATACATGAAGGGGAGTTCATTAAGGAGAATTGACTCAGGATCACTAGGTGAGGTCCCACAATAGGCCGTCTGCAAGCTGAGAAGCCTGGAAGCCAGTCCGAGTCCCAAAACCTTAGAAATAGGGAAGCCGGCAGTGCAGCCTTCGGTCTGTGGCCAAAGGCCTGAGAGCCCCGGGCAAACCACTGGTGTGAGTCCGAGAGTCCAAAAGCTGAAGAACTTGGAGTCTGATGTTCAAGGGCAGGAAGCATCCAGCCCGGGAGAAAGATGGAGGCTGGAAGACTCAGCCAGTCCAGTCCTTCCACCTTCCTCTGCCTGCTTCTATCCTAGCCGTGCTGGCAGCTGAATAGATGGTGCCCACCCAGATTGAGGGTGGGTCTGCCTCTCCCAGCCCACTGACTCCAGTGTTAATCTCCTTTGGCAACACCCTCACAGACACACCCAGGACAATACTTTGCATCCTTCAATCCAATCAGGTTGACAATCCATATTAAGTATCACGAGCAAGTTCTGTGGAGGGCAGAAGCTCCCGTCTGACAGGTCAGAGGCTGCTGCAGCCACAGAGGCTGGTGGGGGCCACCATGCTGCCCTCATGTGTGTATGTGGGGACAATTGGGCAGCCTCTGTTTGCTCGCCCTACTCACAATCTGAGTGTGCAGTTTACCACCAAGTATGGGTCAAAATCCCAGGATTACAGTTGGACTTTGTTTAATTTAAAAGACTTGTTTTATTGGTCAGAGTTCCCCAGAGAAACAGAACCAATAGGATCTGTATCTCTATGTATGTCTATATCTACACCTATGTTTGTCTGTATCTATATCTGTGTCTTTATCTATATCTCTCTGTATCTATATATCAATATCTAGATCTATCTGTGTCTGTATCTAGACCTATCTGTGTATCTATATCCATTTGTGTCTATATCTACACCTATCTGTATCTATAGCTATCTGTGTCTCTATCTATACCTATCTGTATCTATATCTATACCTATCTGTGTCTATATCTATACCTATCTGTGTCTATATCTTACCTGTCTATCTATATCTATACCTATCTCTGTCTGTATCTATCTCTATCTGTGTCTGTAGCTATACCTATCTGTATCTATATCTATATCTATCTTTATCTATCTATATATACCTATCTATCTTTATCTATATCCATACCTGTTTGTATCTATATCTACACCTGTCTGTATCTGTATCTATCTCTGTCTGCATCGATACCTATCTGTATCTGTATCTATATCTATACCTATCTGTATATCTATTTATAACTATCTGTATCTATGCCTATTATCTGTATCTATATCTATACGTATCTGTATCTGTATCTATATATCTAAAGAGATTTATTACAAGGAATTTGCTCACCTGATTATGGAGGCTGACACATCCTGAGACCTGCAGTCAATGGGCTGGGCTGGAGACCGGGGAGGTGAAGGTGTGAGTTTCAGTCTGAAGGCTGGCAGGCACCAGACCCAGGAAGAGCCAACACTTCAGTTCAAATCAAAAGGCAGAAAAGCCCCAGTGTCCCAGCTCACAGTATCAAGTAGGAGGAATTCCCTGGCTGGCTCTGGGGTTGCACAAGCAGCTTATTCGTTGGGATTTGCTTTGTTTTATTTTTAAATTAAGTTTTTTTTTGAGACAGGGTCTTACTCTGTCATCCAGACTGGAGTGCAGTGGCACAATCTTGGCTCAATGCAGCCTCGGCTTCCTGGGCTCAAGTGATCCCTCTGCCTCAGCCTCCCAAGTTGCTGGGACCACAGGCACCTGCCTTTACGCCCTTCTTGTGCTGGGATTTCGGGTGTGAGCCTCCACACTGGCCCTGTTTCTCACGATGGGATTTCAGCTATGAGCCTCCACGCCTGGCCCTGTTTCTCACGCTGGGATTTTGGGTGTGAGTCCCCTTGCCCGGCCCTGTTTCTTGTGCTGGGATTTCGGGTGTAAGCCCCGGCGCCCAGCCCTGTTTCTTGTGCTGGGATTTCGGGTCTGAGCCCCTGCACCTGGCCTTGTTTCTCTGGCTGCCTCCCTTTCTCAGACTCCTGTAGTGGTGTTTCCGTCCAACACCTGTGTTTTACAGCATGTGGGTTTTTTTCTCCTCTCTGCTATCAATATGCAAAGTGCTGAGGTTGCACTCTTAAGCCCTGTGAAAAGGACTTTGCTATTGTTACTGGACAATTTTTCTTCATGTTACTTCCAATTTCTTGGAAATCGGTAGGTGCTTTTCCTCACCCAACTGGGGTTTTCCATTTCCGTCTCCTGGATCTAGATGGCTCTGCTCTTTTATCAGCAGAGAGCACTGGTTCCCGCGCCTTCAGAGGGGACTGTTTTAGAGCCTCCAGCTCTGTCGTGTGGCTGTGCCAGTAACCCCGGAAAGGCTTACACCCTAGTGTAGTAATAGAACACGGATCCGTTATGTGTCTCACTACACATGCATTAACTGGAAAATCCAAAGGCATTTTACATAATCTGAAGTTCAGTCAAGTCAGCGGGGTGTTTGAGAAGAGGAAGGCGACTTCCTGACGCCTGTCATGATATGAACCAAGTAGTTTCATCCGGAGTGGAATCTGGCTTGGTTCTGGCCTTTGAATTTTTCCAAGCCAGATCACTAGTATACCTAACTATAACCCTGCATAGTAACTTTTGGCTGAATGGATGGTTTCCGGTGCAGTAATAGCTGAGTTTCTGTCAATATGCACTGTCTATTCTGTGAGAATGTTAAAGTATCTGAATTTCAAAGGCACGTGCAGAGGTACAAGGGCCGCGCCTGTGAGAACACCGAGCAGCACTGCATGATGGCTGGAGGCTGGGGAGCCACTTTCCTTCCCTCACGCATCCGCCTCCACGCAAGCCTGCTCTCCGCCGTGGGAAATCAGACAGCTGGGCTGACAGCCTGCATTCGGGATGCAGTGGAGGTGATGGACAGCCGGCCCCGGGAGGGGTGAATACTCTGTCCACTGTGCCCCCAGGCCAGAGCCTCGCATGGTGATGAATAGAGTCGTACTGACGTGGAAAATCAGATACTCAGCACCTTTCCTTCAAGACAGATAGGGGAAAAGCTGAGGAAACAGAAAAAAAAAAAATGGAAAAGAAGAAGTGGTCAAGAAAGGGCTGCAAACACACAAAGAGATGATTTTTTAAAGAGAAAAGGAAAATAACAAACCAGATGCTGACATGGTACTCCAGTTCCAATATCCTATTTATTATCATGCATTCAACTCCTCAGGTATTTAATGACAAGCTACTCATAGCTTGTCTCAGAGCACCAGGAATTCTGAGTCACAGTCGGGGTGTAAAGCGGGGCCCTGCATTCAGGGAGCTGAGTCTGACTGGGAACTGGAAAGGCTCCCCTACCTCCCATGACCGTCTGTGAGCTTCACCTGTGAGTGGCAGGTGCGCGTGGAGTCAGTTCCCCTCCATGCCCGCCTGCATTCCTACCCGGAGACCTCCGGCCGCGGTGGGAATTGCCCTGCTGTTTTCATTACTGCAGGTTTTTCTTCTGTATTTCTGAACCCCTCATATCTCAGGGAAGGAAATCCAGGGAGAAGTATCTGTTGCGACCCCATCTGTTGCATTTTCTGAGTCTCCACGTTAATGAAAGAGCAGCCATCCAGTTTCCTGCAGTGCCGAGAGTCCTCGGGGCCTGTCATTGTTCTAAAGGACAGAGGACACTGTTCAGATGTGACGTCTGTCGCCATTTCTGTCTCCTCTTAGCAAACTTTAAAGCCCGGAAAACCTTCTATTTTCAAAGTAGGAAAATTAGATTACAGCAAAGCCATAACCCTGTATCTCTCCTAACCTTGCTCCCTAATCAGGAATAAAAGGGAAATTATCTGAAGAATTATCTAATATGTTCTTCATCAGGAGATCATAATTAAATCATAATTGCCATCCGGCAGCAAAATGTGATGAAATTACCAGGGCAAACTATTAATTACTTCAAAGATCCATTTTAATCGTAAACAGTTTAATATACCTCTATAAAAATTGCCATCAGGCAGGCGCTTAATGAGGGAGCTGTGAAGGCTCTGCTGTCCTTGGTGACTGGAGGATGTTTTCACGAGATCTTCACGGTTATTTTCCATTTCCAGTTCCTTAGGCCTGGCTCTTACATTCTCTAATACTATGGGGAGTAGAAATTTCTGCGTCCTCCTGGGTGGAGTGTGTGAGTGTGTGCATACATATGTGTTTATATGTGTGTGTGTGCACTGTGTAGGTGATATGCGTGTGTGTGCGTGCATGTGTATGTGTGTATATGTATGAGTGTGTGCTAGTGTGTGCATTTGTATATGCATGTGTGTATGCATGGGAATGTGTGTATGTGTGTGCATATGTATAGTTGTGTGTGTGCATGTGTATGTATGCGTGTGTGTACATATGTGCGCATATGTACTTGTGTGTGCATGCGTGTGTGCATATTTATAGGTGTGTCTCTGTGCATGTGTATGTGCGTATGCATGTGTGTTTATATGAGTGCATGTGCATTGTGTACATAGGTACATGTATGTGTGTCCATGTGCATGCTGTATTTATGTGTACATGTTATGCAATGTGCAGGTGTGTATGTGTGTACATATGTACATGTGTGTACATGTGCATGTGTATATATGCAGGTATGTATGTATATGTGTACATATGTACATGTGTTTATGTCTATGTGTGTGCATGTGTGTCTGTGTGTGCATGAGTATATACATGTGCATGTATATTTGTGTACATATGTACATATGTGCGCACATGTGTTTGCGTCTGTGTGCATGTTGTGTGTGTGCAGGTGGGCCGTTGCTTTGTAGTTTTGTGGGGGCTAAACAAAGGATGTGCATGATGCTGTCCATGTGTGCATGTGTATATGTGTGCATGTGTGTTTGTGTACGTATGTACATGTATGTGTGTGCATGTGTTTGTGTCTCTCTCTGTGTGTATGTTGTGTGTGTGCATTCGCGTGTATATGTGTGCATGTGTGTTTGTGTGTGTATGTATGTGTATTTGCTACGAGTGGTATCTTGAAGAAATGGGATTGTGAGGATGAAAGGGAAGAGTTTGTGTTCGCAGCCACACATAAACTCACAGAATAGCTTCTGATGGAGCACAGTAAATTTTGGAATTAGGTATGAGGAAGCATCTTTGGTCATTCTTAGTTCTTTGAGATATTTTTCATTTAAATGAAAACGTATGCCTTTTTCTAGATCTTGATGCAAACAGTTGCATCAAAGTGGAGCTTGTGAGTAAGAATGCAGATAGAAAATCATGGGAATTATTCACGTGGATGACCTGATTTTATTCTAGTCTTACTTATGAAGTCTTCTTCCTGCTCCACAACGATTGAAGAGACAGGAAACAAACTTTTAAAATTACGTAAATAAACGGGCCAAGGGGAAATACAAGAGGACAAGCAAAGACAGACACAGCTTTGCACTGCACTCGTGGCTTATCTCACCATGGACGCCAAATTCAAACCTGTTGGCGACTCATCACACTGGACTGACGGCACAAAGGTTCTTGGGAAATAGAATCATGTTCAGCATCAAGTAGGAAAAAAGTCACAAGTACTTGCAGACAAGCCAATCAAAATTGAAGGAAAAATAGAATCAGCACCTAGTGTAAATTAACTTCAGAAATATGCAGTCAGGACTGTCCTTGCGGACTTGCATTCTAGCTTCTGAGCTGAAATTTGTGTCATTAAACTGATATCTAGATGATGTACATTTCTTGACTTACTACAATTCAAAAAAAATGAAACAAATTACATGAACACAGTGGCTATCATTTCCCCCTTGTGAATGGCATAGTAGCAGTCTATACAATTTTGGATGTTGTCTTTCTGTTGACTGTTAGTTACTTTAGACTACAAATCTCAGAACATTTAAATAATGATTTGTTACATTACTCTAAACCTAATTATTTTATATTCACTCACACCATCCCCTCTGTTGGTTCTGAAATAAACTATTCAAAGGAGTGCAGAGCCAGTGGGTGTAGAGAATTATGTTTTATTAATTGGAAGCATTCTAACAGTAACCATATTGACTGATCACATGCCCAATATTCTCTTTTTGACCAACTTTGCTGCTGTCAAGAAAAGAAGGATAATATTGTACAGTAATTCAATGCTAATAATTTATCAGTTCCACTATTTTGTAGGTATTAATATCAAAAGCTGGTTGTTGGAAAGTCGAACAATGTAGCAAGGGCTCCCAGATGTGCCATTTCTATCTTCCTGTGTGTGATTGGATCTCAGCTCTACAATGTGTTCTGTGCTGTGTGGGAAATTTACACAATCCCACTGGTTGCGGGGTTCTGGGGGTCAGTTGATTAATGGGGTGCTGAAAATGAGATCGTTCCACCACACTGCAGGCAGGAAGAAGCATTTGTCATCCCAGATGATTTTCTGGAATACTTGGCAGCATTGTCAACTCCAGATTGGAAAGCAATGAACAACTCCATTCAGGCAGCACCTCCCAGGGCTCAAGAGGAGAGGTTTAGTCCCACTTAGCAGGTAACAATTGCCAGCCAAGCCGCTGGATTACGATAAAGGAGGCATAGCTGGTAAAAGAGTAAGAAGTCAAAAACCAGCTCTAAGCTGGGAACTTGCAGCAGAAACTGACTGTAGCAAACGCGTGTTTTCTTCTGTGATGTGTGTGTGCACTTGCCACTCATCTGTGTCCAAATCCTCTCTTCTCCTGCCAGGTCTGGGCTTCCCTCTTCCTGCTGAGCTCTGTGCCCTGCAGGGCTGGTCTCCTGGTGCAGCATCGGAGGGGTCCCCTCGGTGGTCTGGTCCTTATCAGGTTCTGCCACCCGAAGGCTCTGGCAGGACCCGAGAGGGAGGGAGGGCAAAGGATCAGACGTGGATGCCCAGATCTTTGGCTCCGGCTGCAGGTTGGTGGTGCTGCACTTCCCGTGCACGGGCGTGGCTTTGCTCAGGAGCCTTTCGTGCGGTCTGTGTCTCCCTTGCCACTCTTGCCCAGGTAGTCATGGTTCCTAATGCGGGGCTCTGCTCTGCCACTCAGTGGATGCCCTTGACCCCTCCCCCCGCCGTGGCTTTTCCCAGAGCCCATCCTCACACCTGCCTGAGCCCCTTTTCCGAGGGCACCTGTTTCCTGCCAGGACCTGGGCTGTGGTCCATGATCCCTCACTTCCTATTGCGCATTTGGATGTGCTGTTGAGGGTGAGTTTTTAAATTCCTCCCGCAGGTGATGTGCTGTCCAGGTGGCCTTGTGACCACCTGGACAGGGAGTGAATGGCTCAGAGAAGACGGCAGTGGCTGAGGAGCTGGTCAGGAGGGAGGGAGATTTGTTTGTGTAGGGACAGGTGTGCTACGCTGGGGCGGGTGGACTCTCCCTTCTTAGTTTTGTGGGGGTTAAACAGAGGATGTGCATGATGCTGAGCACTCCAAGGAGAGGGGGCTGTGGCCGGGGTGCACGGCTTGCCCCTAGTCACACAGACCTGCTGCAGCCTGGCTTTCTGTGCCATAGAAACAAGGAGGCTCAGAGGCCACGTTGGCTCTTTAGGTGGCAGGGGAGGCGCCACTGCAGGGCTGGTGTCTGCACCGTGCCCTGTGAGAAGGAGACTTGGGCCCGGGGTGGCTCTGCAGCCAGGCACGGTGGGGCCACCCCACAGTTTCACACTGACTGCACCTTCTCCAGTTTCCTGGTCGTGGCAGAGACAGGAGTGGCTCCGAGAGGCATTCTATTCCCGTGATTTGGGCCGTGTACCCGGTCAGTTAGCCAAAACTGGGCTCCTTACAGATTCTTAGAATGCTAGGGGTCATGTGCTCATCCTAGGTGAGACAGAATCCAACGCCTGCAACTTTCATCTTTGACAGGTCCTACGCCTACTCTTAACTTCTGCCTACAATCAAACCCAAAGGTTAAAAGCTTTGAACTTTTCCTACTCTCAAAATTGTACCAGCTATTCATATATTCGTCAGCCTAGTTTTTGGCAAAGGTGATTTAAATTTGCTGTTTAAAAGGTAAATACTCTCATGCAATTCAAAAACCAATAATATAATACAATAAATAGTAAACACTCTTCCTGTTCTTCATTTCCAGAGAGAATAAATGTAGCCTTTGAAAGACATTTTTAATCTATTCATGCAGGTGTGTGTGTGCACAATTCATTTAACAAATCGTCGCAGGACACTTATGATGTGCCATGCACAGTGCAAAGCAATTTAAAGTCTAACCTTTTTTAATTCTCATAATAACTACATTAGGTCCTCATCCTTTGTATGAACTTAGGGGCCAGATATATTTTAGAATTCAGAACTTCCTTTGATGAATGGGCCATATACAACACCCCAACAACTTCTGGGGTAGCACTCATAATTAAAGACATTAATATTTTTGCAGGAAACTGAATGAGAATTCCTAGTCAGTAAGATAAATGAAGAAGGTAGTTTTATGTCCATAAAGGCATGATTTTGTCACTGAATGCTCAAAAAAGCCACGTTTAGTTCTCAGAGCTGTAAATAACGGACTTGGGGCTTGTAACTCTTCATTTTAAAGATAAGAAATTGAATCACAGGAGTTTATGAACCATGCTCAAGGCCACACAACTAGTAAGAGAAAGAATTGGGGTTTGAACCCAGGCTGTCTGATTTAAGACTATCTATCTATCTATCTATCTATCTATCTATCTATCTATCTATCTAGCTAGCTAGCTATTTATCTATCATCTATCATCTATCTACTCTATCTCCTCTACTATCTATTTTTCTGTATATACATGTATAAATGTTTTCCTGTTTTAATCAAGATTTTACAGTGATACACACACTATTCTGCACCATGCTTTTAAAACGTAGCACTTGGCTGGGCGTGGTGGCTCACGCCTGTAATCCCAGCACTTTGGGAGGCCAAGTCAGGCAGATCACAAGGTCAGGAGTTCAAGACCAGCCTGGGCAATGTGGTGAAACCCTGTCTCTAATAAATACAAAAATTATCCGGGCATGGTGGCACATGCCTGTAATCCCAGCTACTCTGGAGGCTGAGGCAGGAGAATCACTTGAAGTCAGGAGGTGAAGGTTGCAGTGAGCCAAGATCGTGCCACTGCACTCCAGCTTGGGCAACAGACAGAGAGAGACTTCATCTAAAAACAAACAAAGCCAAAAAACCATAGCACTTTATTTTAAGGATATTTCTACTTTAATCCATAAATGGTTTCTAGTTCTTGTATTAATGGCGACATCATGTTCCATGTTTTCATGAACTGTGATTTATCAGAGAAGCCCTTGCAACGGTGATCTAGGTTGTGTCATCGCTTCTGCGTAACAGCAAGGCAAAGCTGCGGATTTATCGCCGTTCTACCCAGGTTTCCTGTTGATTACGGCAGGGTTTGAGGTGCGGTCCCTGGTGTTTCATCATGACAAGTGGAGGTTTGCAGGAGAACTTCATAACCATCTGCAGAAAAGGTGAAGTCACATCTTGAGACCAGCTCTAGATATGTTACCGATGGGCTAATGGTTTTGATGTAAAATAAGTAAAAACATTAAAGGGCTAGAAGAAGCCAGAGGAAAAGTCATTTAGAGGGTTGTAGTGTGAAAGTCTTTCTAACTGCAACACAAAATCCTGAAGCTACAAATTAATAGATTATATTAATAGATTATAAATTAACCTAAATAATGATATTGACAAATACCTAAGATAAGAATTCTCCATGGAAATGCCCATCATGGAAAACAACAAGTGGGGGAAATGTTGAAATCCTGTCAGAGAGAAAGAGCTAATTCAGGATATGGATGGAATTAACAAAACATCATCAATAAGACTTTTTTTTTTTGAGTCAGAATCTCACTCCATCGCCTAGGCTAGAGTGCAGTGGTCCAATCTCAGCTCACTGCAACTGCCTCCCAGTTTCAAGCGATTCCCCTGCCTCAGCCACCCGACTAGCTGGGACTACAGGCACCTGCCATCATGCCCGGCTAATTTTCATATTTTTAGTAGAGAAAGGGTTTCACCATGTTGGCCAGGCTGGTCTTGAACTGCTGACCTCAAGTGATCCTCCCGCCTCGGCCTCCCAAAGTGCTGGGAGTACAAGCGTGAGCTACCGCGCCTGGCTCAGTAAGACTTTTAGGCACAGGTTAAGTATACTAAACTTCATTCACAATGTGAAAAATGTAAATCAATTCTCTCTTCAAGCTATAAAGAAAAATAACAAAAACAATATCTTTACTCCTAGGCATGTGCACCAGGAAAACTGTAATTTTAAAAAGCTTGCTTCTAAAGTAGATAAATTATGTTTAAATTATCAAAAATGTACAGAAGCCAAAATAATTATTTTGTCATGCTTATGTAAACATGGCAAAGGTCAAGAGAATCTTTTTTGAATTTTCATCCCATCTTTTCTGTTCTGACAATAGAATGAACATAGATTTAAAGACTTTCAACAAAAGCCTCTCTATGTGAAGGGTTTATTTTGTTTATTTTGATCAGTTTTGTGGTGTTTTCTCTGAACATCATCATTTGTTAGTGTGATGTTTCTTGAGATTGCTGTAAAGGAAACTCAGGAACGAAGCATTCCAACTCCAGATAATTATATCTGTCTGAGTTATTCCTATTCTTTGCTGAAAGAGCACAGGTATTAGCCAATTCTAAAACTAAATGCCTCTCTTCAAATCACTCCTCTCCCACAAAAGGTTTCTTTCTTTTCTTTCAAGATAATCTTACACAGAAAACTCATTTAGCAATTTGCTTAGGAAAGATAATATTTTGGGTGTTCTGAGCTTTTCATTGGGAGTCTAAGCCAACATCTGAAGCAGAGTTTAAAAACCAAAACACAGGTTTAAAGAAAAAGATGAAAATTGGATTATTGAAGAGGAAGAGTGTGATGATTAATATTGAATGTCAACTTGTTTGGATCGAAGGATGCAGTACTGTTCCTAGATGTGTCTGTGAGGGTGTGGCCTAAGGAGATTAACATTTGAGTCAGTGGACTGGGAGAAGCAGACCGACCCTCAGTCTGGGTGGGCACCATCTAATCAGCTGCCAGCGTGACTAGGATAAAGCAGACAGAAGTTGGAAAGAGCAGACTGGCTGTGTCTTCCAGCCTCCGTCTTTCTCCTGTGCTGGATGCTTCCTGCCCTCGAACATGGGACTGCAAGTTCTTCAGCTTTTGGACTCTTGGACTTATACCGCTGGTTTGTCAGGGACTCTCAGGCCTTTGGCCACAGACTGAAGGCTGCACTGTTGGCTTCCCTACTGTTGAGGTTTTGGGGCTCCGACTGGCTTCCCTGCTCCTCAGCGTGCAGATGGTCTATTGTGGGACTTCACCTCGTGATCGTGTGAGTCAGTTCTCCTTAATAAACTCCCCGTCATGTATACATCTATCCTATTAGTCCTGTTCCTCTAGAGAACCTGGACTCATACAGAGAGGAAGGCATCCAGGACAGAACTGAAGTTGAACAGGAGCAGATGGGAAGACAGGATATCAAGTTCCAGGCTTGGGGTGGAGACAGAGAACAGGAGCTGCTAAAATGGAGAGCCATAGAGCAGGTGGGGAGAGTCCTGTGGGCACACAGTTCACCTGGTTCCTTTAGGGATGGTGTATTTGTCCCTTTTCATGCTGCGGATAAAGATATACCTGAGATTGGGTGATTTACCAAAGGAAGCGGTTTAATGTTTAATGCATTTAGAGTTCCAGGTGGTTGAGGCTTCACAGCCATGGTAGAGGGCAAGGAGGAGCAAGTCACGTCTTACATGATGGCAGCAGGCAAAGAGAATGAGAGCTTGTGCAGGGGAACTTCTCTTTATAAAACCATCAGATCTCATGAGACTTATTCACTATCAGGAGAATAGCACGGGAAAGACCTGCCCCCATGATTCAATTACCTCCCACAGGGTTCCTCTCACAACACCTGGGAATTCAAGATGAGATTTGGGTGGGGATGCAGCCAAATCATATCAGAAGGCCTGCTCCAAGTTCTGGTTTCTCAAGGAGCATTTGTACATTAGATGTCCTCAGGCTCTGTCTGCTGCAATCTATTTCCTTTGCAGTCTTGTTCCCACTGGAATCTGAGTGTCTTTGCAATCCACAAATCCTAAGGAGTGAGCTAAACTGGACAGTCCTGACTGGTCTGGGGTGAGTATTCAGCCACTGGTCTGGTTGGCTGGTGACCCAGGAGATGGCCTTCCCCAGGCCCTGCAGCTGAGTGGCAGCCCCTCGTGCCACAGTGACAGAAGGAATGAGTGCCATGGGCTCAAGTGCACCATGTCCTCCGTCCATCACCGTCCACGAGAAATGCTTTCGAGTCTGTGCGTTCCGGCTGCCTGGGAATATGCATACTTTGTTTAGTTGTCAATTTGGAGGATTTCTTCTGCAACCAAAATTTCTATCTTCTTATTTCTGCTTTGTCCTCAGAACAAATCCTTGGTATTTAGGAGACGTGGACACGTCTCTGTTTCTTGAGGAAGAGTTTTCTTCTGCTCTTGTCCTGCTTCTAACTCTTGCTTCCCATTTGGGAGATTCTCTGCCTCATGCATGGTGGTGGGAGAATACTCTGCTCACTGGAGTGGACGGAAGCCCTCGTTCTAAGCCTCTTCTCAGCTGGGTGCATCTGAAGCACCCATTCTGGGCTTGGGCACAGGTGCCAGTGGCAGAGAGAAGCAAGGACATCATGGAATTCGCTCCGGCTGGGGAGGCTGGAGAAGGGGTGGCATGTCGTTTTCCAAAGGCAGCAGGCCCGGTGGTTTGAGCAGCTGGTGTTTGATGGAAGCCTGGTGGAGGCCAGTGTCCCTGGGACCATTTTGTGGTGTGGTGTTCCATGTTTTTCTTGGCTGGGCAGCCTTCGAATCCATTTTCCAAGCCTCCTGGAGATTCTCTTAGCTTCCAAAGTCATTTAATAATTCCACGTTCTGCTAATGTTGGCGTTGGCTTGTGGGACACACCTGGGGGAGGCCCCAGACTCCTCAACAGCCGGGGGAGGCCCCAGACTCCTCAACAGCCGGGGGAGGTCCCAGACTCTTTAACAGCCGGGGGAGGTCCCAGACTCCTCAACAGCCGGGGGAGGCCCCAGACTCCTCAACAGCCGGGGGAGGCCCCAGAATCCTCAACAGCCGGGGGAGGTCCCAGACTCCTCAACAGCCGGGGGAGGCCCCAGACTCCTCAACAGCCGGGGGAGGTCCCAGACTCCTCAACAGCCGGGGGAGGTCCCAGACTCCTCAACAGCCGGGGGAGGCCCCAGACTCCTCAACAGCCGGGGGAGGCCCCAGACTCCTCAACAGCCGGGGGAGGTCCCAGACTCCTCAACAGCCAGATCCCACGGGAACCAACCAAACTCACTTATCCTTGGGATGTGCTAAGCATTCCCCACCAGGCCAGCATGCCAATCAGGACCTGTGGGACTTCCTGCAGGTGCTGAGGACAGAGGGGCGAGTAGGACGGCCACACTGGCCGAGGAGCAGAGCCCCCTGGATCACAGCAAAGAGGGAGGCGGTGTTTCAGTGGGAGCCGCTGCCTTTATTCAACTTCTCATTTTAATTCCTCTGTGGAAAAATCCTATCAAATAGTGCCTAGATGAAAACAAAGTTCTTCATCTCTGTTTTTTTTTAACCAAAAAATAATTTTCCAGGTGAAATCCCAGGTTTTTATAACACAAAATCTTCTGCCTATGCCATTAAGGCCTTGAGTTGTATTCTAGAAAAATAATACTTTGGGAGATTTTTCAAAAATCTACTAGAGAAAAGCATATAAACTGAAATAAAAGAGTTATGATTACTATTAGGTCATATCATCTTTAATGTTCCATTTATTCATTGAGAGGTCTCTTAATTTTAATGTAAACCAATTAGAAAAGATGGAGTTTGGTTCAGCTGCAGGAGGATCCTCCATGAATATTAGAGGCAACTCATAGCCTGGTGGCCCCAAGATAGCAAAGCAACCCTAGCTTGGAAGGCAGCCACAAGGAAGGCTTTCTCTGGATTCCTAAGTCCTCAGCTCTGTCCTGACCTGAATGCCCCAGGTAAGTGACTGGAGAACGACTTCTGTCCCTGCTTAGGCCTGATATTTTGGTTTGAAATTGAAGATGCTGAAAATATTTATAACTAGGCCCAAGAGACATGCCATTCTGGTCTAATGACTTCATGAAACATTTGAAAGTGAATTATTGAGTTTCATCTTATAGAATGCAAATAAGAAATGCCTTAACCCCCAGAATTTCTTTTGGATAATTTAAAATAAATATATTGCAAATAACACATGAAGGCAGGTGTTAATAATTCTATTACTTGGTCATAAATAGAGCATATGGGTATTGAGTTTGATGCATTTAAATATTTTAATGTGTCACCTGAAGACAGAAATCTGCTAAGGAAATTTTCATTAATCACACATACCAAGCATAAAGTAAAGAAAATACATCTTACAGGAAAATTGATTTTTATGCTCTCAGTTTTGTCATAAAAATATGCTATAGATACAATCAATCACAGCTTCCACACTAAGTCCTTTAACACTGGACATTGTTTTTGAAACAAAACAGCTGGGTTGGAAGTGTATTCAAAGTTTATTCCACATGCAACATGAGAATAATAGTAACGTTACCCCAAGAACATCTGAAATAGTATTTGCAGAGCCATAGCATCTTCCCAGCTGCAAAGGACATTAGAATCCATTTAGTTCAATAATAATTTACAGAAGAGAAAACAGACCCACCTTCATTGGGAGAGACTTGTGAGAACTGCCCAAGCTAAATTTGGTTTTGGCTAACACTCTTGGACACTGCTGAGGTCCAACATGTGGGGTTGCCGGGAGCTAACTATGGGGATTTCCATTTCCCAGAATAGAGGGAGGCTGAGAGGTGCTCTAGGGTCACTTGGCGCACAGCCCACGGAGAGCAAGGCTGGGGCTGACCCTAGACTCTCGCTTCATGGCACACGTTGATGCCCACCGTCTTCCGTGACATCTGTGCTCCTTCGCCTTCCGTTCACCTTCCACAGACAACTGCGCCCTGCAAGGATCGTGGGTCCAAGAACAGCCTTGCGTGCTGGGTGTTCACAGCAGTGCTGCCTGCCCTGCCTCCAAGAACAGCCTTGCTTGCTGGGTGTTCACAGCAGTGCTGCCTGCCCTGCCTCCAAGAACAGCCTTGCGTGCTGGGTGTTCACAGCAGTGCTGCCTGCCCTGCCTCCAAGAACAGCCTTGCGTGCTGGGTGTTCACAGCAGTGCTGCCTGCCCTGCCTGGGGTAGGGCCCACTGGCTCTCGCTGCTTCAAGTGCTCCATGTCCTAGGGGCACCTGTGGACCAGGCACCTTCTACACAACCTGGAAAGCTACACAAGGGTGCCTCACAGGATTTATTCTACACATCCAGAGCGCTCCAAAAGACCAAGAAAAACTTTGTAACTCTTGGGTGCCAATGAGTACAAAGGCAGATCTCAAAGAGAAGCAAATTTGGTTTTATAGCTTTTATAAATCGCAAATCCTGCTCAGCTTTGTAAAATCACTCATGAGTATGGCAGGCTCTTCTAGCTATATGTGTGTGCGCATACCCTCAGGAAAATCTCTTTATGGCAAAAGAGAGGAGAGAAGCACCCAGAGAGAGAGGGAGACAGAGAGAGAGGCTGACCTACTTATAAGCCTCGACGATCTTTAACTCAGCATTGTCCCTCATTTCCACAATAATTCATCAAGCTTAATTACAGAGAGGTATAAAATATAACCACTTGGTATGGACTGACTTGTGTCTCCTCTACCCCCCACCAAAATTTGTACATTGAAGTTATAACCCTGGGTACCTCAGAACATAACCTTATTTGGAAATTGGGTCTTTGCAGATGGAATTAATTAAGGTGAAGTCATTCTAGGGTAAGGTGAGCCCTAATCTAATATGACTGGTGACCTTACACAAAGGGGAAATCTGGAGACAGACATATCCACAGGTGAAGAAATGTGAAGACTGGCATTCTGGGGCTGCGAGTCAAGGAGCCAGCAGCAGCTCAGAGACAGCCTGGATCAGCTTCCTCCCCAACACTTCCGAGGAAGCCGTTCCTGCAGGCACTTTGATCTTGGACTTCCAGCGTCCAGAACTGTGAATCAATAAACTCCTGTTGTTTCAGCTGCAGAGTTGATGGTAATTTTGCAAGTCTTACTTGGAAAGAGAGTTCTAGGATAGTTCCCAATTCATTTTCTAATAAATATTGTATTTTAGAGTAGTTTTACACTGATAGTAAAATCACACTGATAATGCAGAAGTTTCTCATATATTGCCTCCCCAGGGCCCCTGTCTTTGCCACCTTACACTAATATAATACATTTGTCCCAGTAAATGGATCAATGCTTGATTAATAACCGAAGTCCCACTGGTGATGATGAGAGTTCCTGTTGCTCCAGATCCTTGCCAGCATTTGGTGGTGTTGTCAGTGTCTGGATTTTGATCACTCTAGCAGGTGTGTAGTGGTGTCTCATTGGTGTAATTTGCATTTCACTGATAATATACGACCTGGAGTATCTTTTCATATGTTTGGTTACCATCTGTATGTCTTTTTTGGTGATGTGTCTGTTCAGATCTCTTGCTTATTTTTAAATTGGGTTGCTTGTTTTCTTATAGTTGAGTTTTGAGGGATCTTTATATATTTTGGACACACATCTCTCCTCTAGGCAGCTGATGGTTCTATGAACACATGGCAACCTTCTCTAAGCAGGATCATTCACGGTAGCCATGATGATGAGTTTTACGTGTCAAGTGAATTGGGCTAAGGGATGCCCAGACAGGGGGTAAAACCTTATTTCTGGGGGTCTGTGAGGGTGTTTCTGGAAGAGACCAGCATGTAAATCAGGGACTAAGTAAGGCAGGTGCCCCCCAGTCCCCCCGCAATGTGGGCATCATCATCCTATCCATTGGAGAGCATGAGTAGAGCAGAAACGAGGAGGAGGGCGAATTCTCTCTCTCTCCTTGAGCTGAGACACTTGTCTTCTGCCTTCAGACATCAGAGCTCCTGGTTCTTGGGACACTGAGCTCTAGGACTTCCATCAACATTGACCTCCACCGTTGTTCACAGGCCTTAAGCCTTGGACTGGAATTTACACCATCTTGTACCCTTGTTTTCAGGGCTTTGGGCTCAGACTGAACCACACTACTGGCCTTCCTTGTTCTCCAGCTTGCAGATGGCAGATGGTAGGACTTCTTGTCTTCCAGAATTGCAGGAGCCAATTCCAAAAATAAATCTCTCTCTCTCTCTCTATCATCTATATATCATCTATCATCTATATATCATCTATCATCTACATATCATCTATCTAATCTACCTACCTAATTTTCTATCATCTATATATCATCTATCTATCTAATCTACCTACCTAATTTTTCTATCTAATTTTCCTATCATCTATGTATGTATGTATGTATGTATCTAGCTGTCTATCTATCTCTCCTGTTTTTCTGGAGAACACTGACTAGTACAGTAGCCTTCAAAGTTGCAGGAAGAACTGGAAAAGTTGATCACGTATGAAGTTGCTCCAAGTCACCACAGTGCAAGGGCTTTATAAAAGGACATTTACACACATTAGAGTACATTGGAAAACAAAATTTAAAGAAAAAAATAAAGGTAAAACAAACACAAGCTACTCCTCACAGAAGAAGAGAGGACAATAAAATAAACCAACAGCAGGAAGTCAGGAAGAAGAAATGCACATCCCGTGGACGGGCGGACGTCGCTGAATCAGAGCAGGAGCAGCAGCACCTCAGAACCCGGCTCAGGAACCCGATGTGACAAACATGGCCCTGGAGGGACCAGAGCGTAATGAACAAGGGCCGCATGAGAAAAGGCGGGACTTTAACAGAATGAAATAAAATTTATGGAAATTAAATAGTTACTGTGGTAAAAATGTACACAGGCAGTTACACATATTGGAAGCAGGCAAAGAATAAAATCAAAGGTCTGGTCTGAGGAGAGCTGAGGCTGTGGTCCAGGAATCAAGGGTCTTGTCTGGGGAGAGCTGAGGCTGTGGTCCAGGGCGTGCTATAGAGGAAAAAACCACTAGGAACATTAAAGGGAAGTTAGGAAATACAGAGGCTGGAAGGAAATTCCAAAAGGAGAAGGAGGAAAGAGAGATGTGATGATTTTACAAGCTCATGAGTGAGACCTTTGCAGAAACACATGAATCCTGAGATGAAGAAACTCAGTTTAAATCTAGACGTGTATAAATGAATGCCATCCTCTTTGTGGCAAAATTACAAAACATGAATAATTGAGAAAAAGAAAAGAATTTATTAATACATCCAGAGAATAAAGCAACCTCAATCAATCAAATGGAAGTCAGGAAAGGACAAAAGGGAATCAATGGAAAGTGTACGGATAGAGAGAAGGATGAAACTCTGTAGTCCCTCTATTGAAAGGAAGCAGTCTAACAGAAAGATCATAATCTTTAACTAGGTTCTATCTATAAATACACCTTAGAGGATGTAAAGTTTTAAAAATGACAAGATTGTGAAGTGAAGTGAACACACCCACGATTACTGTGGGGCAGATTAACACAACTCTCTCAGATACTTGGAAACAGCTCTGCCCAGTGAGCACCTCACTGTGGGACCTCAGGCGAGCACTCAGGGCCAGCCGGGGAAGCTGTGGTGCAGGCCTTCAGGCCACAGAATCTGGCTTCATAGGCTCAGCTGGACTCAGAAAATGCCCGTGACTGCTGACCTCCAAAGGGTCTGGAGCATGCTACCTCCCTGTGTAGAAAATGCTCGCGGTCCGGTGGGGGTAAATAAGTGAGGAAAACAGCTCCAGGCAAAGCTGAGTGAGGAAGACAAAGAAACAGAAAGCCACGGGAGCAATGCCCTGTTGGAAAGACACCGTTAATCATGGCCACAACTCAAGAGCGAGATCTTGCATTGCAGAGAGAGAAACGTCACCTCATCCTCTCCCCGCTCAGCCGTCCCCACCACATCCTCCTGCTCATGGGTGGTCTAGGGCAGTTCAGCTCACTCCGTAGATGAGTGATGGAAAGAAAAACTGGCTGTATCCGCACAAAATACAGAAGCAAAACCTAAACGGGCTTCTGAGCGGGAGTAAAAGACCACCCCAGAAAAGAGCTCCTGTAGATTGGAGGGAAACAAAGAGCCACCATTCCAGCAGGGCTGCAGGACAAAGCAGCTCAGCGTGGCAACTGCGAACATGGAAAAAGGATCACAAGCAGAAATAAGGTGACACGGAGAAGAGATAGCCAGGCACCAGGAGGGATGTCAGAATAAGGGGATGTAGAATAGGAAGTGACCAAACTCAGAAAGGAAATTGAAGAAAAAGACGCAGCTGTTTTAGAAATAAAGATGGAGCCATATAGAAGCCAAGAGACAATGGACGTTTCAGAAAGTCTATTATAGAAATGGAGGAATGGTCAGAAGTCAGGAAAAAGCTGAAGATCCTGAACGTTTTTCATGCAACTTCCCACAAGCTTCTAGGAAAATATAAAAAATACAACAAAGCTCAGAACTGAAAAAGAGAGATGGCTCCTTACCTGCCCCTGTGTGTTGCGTCTGGCATTGACTTCAACAGCAGGTAAAGAAAATCTAGAAACAGAGTTTTTGTCATCATCTTATCTTTTGCTTCAACTTTCAATCTTGGATTTACCTGAAATGATATTGGTTATTTTACAGTCTTTTTAAAGCCGGTTTCTCCTGTTTGCAAACATAAGGATGGAAGAGTAGCAATGAGCTTTGTTGGGGAACAGCCGGAGGGCACAGAGGAGGAGTGACAAGACCCCAGAGGACCCAGGGAAAGGAGCAGGCAGGTCGGCGGCCGCAGCTTCACCCGGGCCGGAAGTGGACGATGAGACTCAAGGGGTCAGAGCAAGAGGAAGACGGTTCACTGCTCGGGGCACAGGGAGACCAGAGGCCCCAGCATGCAATAGCCAGGTCCAGACAGTGGCTGCCATGGAGTGAGCTGTACCCAGGGGAGCAACCCGGGCCAAGGCGTCAGTCCCTCTGACAGCCACCCAGGCCACCTCCTGGGAATAAGTCGTCATGAGCTGTCAGTCTAGATTACTGAATGCTTGCGTGACGAGCTACAGGGAGGGCTCAGGGCTGGGGCAGCTGAGCCTGGAGATTTGGATCAATCATCAGGGGCCTGCAGGGCCACTTTCACCCTCCCACCCCGTGGTCCTACATGTCCTCAGCAGAACTCGGATTTTCACAGGGATGTCCTCTGATCAGGTCCTCAGCTTAGACCCAGCACTGGGTCTCATTTGATGAGGGTTTTTGTCAGCAGACTCACAGGCAGTAGCATGCAGCCAGCCTATGGTTCTGACCTGGGCTGTGCACCCAGGACCCATCCAAGGGAGCCCCCCACAGAGGGGATGGTCATCTTGTTCCTGGTCACCGTGTAGCTTCTTGCTTGTGGGATGTGAATTGTTCAGCCTTTCTGGTGGCATGAATCCAAACACAGCAGGAAGTGTTGTTGACAACACAGCCCATTCCCTGTTCAGCCAGCGGCACCGTCTTCTGCAGCCAACCGTCCAGTCTACCATGACTGTCCGAGGGAGAGTGGAGTGGCCTCTGCTGACCCGGGGCTTGTGCTGTCTTCTGGACTTCCTCAGCTCTCGCCTCTGGGGAATGGGCTTTGACTTCTGGGAACAGGACTCACTGTGGTGTGTAGCCCAGCGTTGCTGAGAGGCATGATTCCGTGCCATCTGGAGTCCCTGTATTGGCCTGAAGCATGGGGTCCGGAGTGAGGCAGACTGGGGGCTGCCATGTACCCTCTAAGCGCATAACTTTCTCCTTTTCTCATCCCGCAGATTCATCAGTCTCCCATTTGGTAGAGCCGAGAGATTCCTGGAGCTCTCTCATTGCGGGACCTCCCCTTGGTGCCCTCTGTAGGGGTGCACTGTCCTGCGAGATGGTGGGGTTTGTGGGGGTGAGGGGGGCTGCAGTCCTGTAGGACCTCCCCTTGGTGCCCTCTGCAGGGGCACGTCCTGCGGGACGGTGGGGTTTGTGGGGGTAAGGGGGCCGCAGTCCTGTAAGATCTCCCCTTGGTGCCCTCGGCAGGGGTGCACTGTCCTGTAGGATGGTGGGGTGTGGGTGAGGGTGGCTGCAGTCCCGCTGTTCTCCTTGAGTGGGATCCTGGGCTCTCTCCCAGCCCTTGCCACCCAGAAAACCAGACAGCAGCCTGGAGCCACTTGTTTGCTGGCTGTGGTCCGGCATCTTGGCAGTTCTGTTACCCACTCTGCTGCCTCAATCCTGCAGACATCACTTGACGTTTCTGGCATAAACTTTGCCTGAAAACATACATTTAAAGATGATGGCTTAACCTATTCTTGTGTTGTTTTTTTTTAAATTATACTTTAAGTTTTAGGGTACATGTGCACAATGTGCAGGTTTGTTGCATATGTATACATGTGCCATGTTGGTGTGCTGCACCCATTAACTCGTCATTTAGCATTAGATATATCTCCTAATGCTATCCCTCCCCCTACCCCCACCCCACAACAGGCCCCAGTGTGTGATGTTCCCTTTCCTGTGTCCATGTGTTCTCATTGTTCAATTCCTACCTATGGGTGAGAACATACAGTGTTTGGTTTTTTGTCCTTGCGATAGTTTGCTGAGAATGATGGTTTCCAGCTTCATCCATGTCCCTACAAAGGACATGAACTCATCCTTTTTTATGGCTGCATAGTATTCCATGGTGTATATGTGCCACATTTTCTTAATCTGGTCTATCATTGTTGGACATTTGGGTTGGTTCCAAGTCTTTGCTATTGTGAATAGTGCCGCAATAAACATACGTGTGCATGTGTCTTTACAGCAGCATGATTTTTAATCTTTTGGGTATATACCCAGTAATGGGATGGTTGGGTCAAATGGTATTTCTAATTCTAGATCCCTGAGGAATCGCCACACTGTCTTCCACAATGGTTGAAGTAGTTTACAGTCCCACCAACAGTGTAAAAGTGTTCCTATTTCTCCACATCCTCTCCAGCACCTGTTGTTTCCTGACTTTTTAATGATCGCCGTTCTAACTGGTGTGAGATGGTACCTCATTGTGGTTTTGATTTGCATTTCTCTGATGGCCAGTGATGATGAGCATTTTTTCATGTTCCTGTTGGCTGCATAAATGTCTTCTTTTGAGAAGTGTCTGTTCATATCCTTTGCCCACTTTTTGATGGGGTTGTTTGTTTTTTTTCTTGTAAATTTGTTTGAGTTCTTTGTAGATTCTGGATATTAGCCCTTTGTCAGATGAGTAGATTGCAAAAATTTTCTCCCATCTTGTGTTTTTTTAAAGAAAAAGTTTTATTGGGGTATAAGTGCTATATAAGAAACTCATATATAAAATCCAAAATTTGATACATTTTGGCATATGTGTATACCAGTAACCCATTCTTCTTTTTCTTTTTTCTTTTTTTTTTTTTATTTTTAGAGACAGATTTTCACTCCTGTCGCCCAGGCTGGAGTGCAATGGCGTGGTCTTGGCTCACTGCAACCTCCACCTCCTGGGTTCAAGCAATTCTCCTGCCTCAACCTCCCAAGTAGCTGGGATTACAGCTGGCACCCACCACCATGCCCGGCTAATTTTTGTATTTTTAGTAGAGACAGGGTTTCACCATGTTGGCCAGACTGATCTTGAACTCCTGACCTCAAGTGATCCACCCGCCTTGGCCTCCCAAAGTGCTGGGATTACAGGGGTGAGCCACTGTGTCCAGCCTCTTCTTTTTCTTTATGGAATGGGATTTTGGAAGCTTACAACGTGCCATCATTTTCCTTGATGTTTTTTCTATTTAATAGAATCATTTAAATATTTCATATTTATCATTATAGTTGAATTAATTGCTGCATTGTTTGTGGTTTCTCTGCTCCTTGGCTGTGATTTAGGAGCTACCAATATTGTTTCTAACTCAAATAAGAGGTCATCTTAAGTGAAAAAAGGATGCCTATTAAAGTCAACATTTCCAAATGTTATAATAAAAATGTGCGTGTGTATAAAATGCTTTATTTTATAGTTGTTCCCTCAGTACCGATGCTCATTAATACATTCCTGAGTTTACACTTCTGCATTTTTATTTGTTCTCATCCAGGAAAGCTTTCAGTTTTTAACTTGAAATCCAGTCGTTTTGTCAAGATGTGAGTGGTAGTTCATGTCTCAAAATAATTCACCTGGAGCATATTGAGCCTGTAGATCAGAATTTTTTTTGCCCCCAGCGGAAAGAGGTTTTTTTTTTGTTTCTGTTTTTTTTTTTTTCCATTTAGAATTTTGTTTCAGTTGTCTTGTTTCTGTTTCACTTTTAAAAAAATGTTTCCTTAAAGAGAAGATCAATGATTCCTGGGTTAGACTTCCTTTTACTTTCTCTTTATATATTTTTTTCTATAATTAAAGAAAATTACTTTGTGTTATTCCTTTGAATTTGTAAAAACTTGTCAAGTGTTTTCTCTGAATTATGTATTGAATATTTTAAATCTCTAGTACTTAATTTTAATTCTAGGATTTTGTTCTGGCTTCCTTGATCACTTTTCTTCTCCCATTCAGCTACTTTAAAAGTCCCAGACAATATTGAATATTTCATATGGATAACAGTAATAACAGCCAATACTTTCTGAGTGGGTATGAAGTGCCAGACACTGTTCTTAGTGCTTTTGTTTATTAACTCACTTTATATCCAAAACACCTTGCTAGACAGGAAGATTACTAGCCCTATTTTACAGATGAGGACATCAAGGCCTCGAGGAATTAAATAACTTGCCCAAGGTCATATCTTGTAAGTTTGGAAGCTTGTGTGACTCCAGGCAGCCAGGACACAAGGTCACACCGATGTGGCTGATCCACGTGCCTCTACCCTTCTTGGCTTCCTACTTGGAGGGTGGTCATTTGGTGTGTAATTGGAGGTGCTCAGCCGAATTTTTTTTCAATACTTGCTTTTTTCAATATTAAGTAATTTTCTAACTAATGCTTTTCTTCCATGCAATTTTCTCTCCTCTTCTGCTACGGAATGTTTTCATGGAGCTGATATTTCTCTGCGTTTTCTGTTTGTTTGCAATCTCTGATTTTTAAATTTTATTTGATCTCTGAAACAAAATATATTTATAGAGGTTTTTATAGCAGCTGTGGGACTGGATTTCCTTTGTTCTTTCTAGCTTTTTTTTTTTTTTTGAGATGGAGTTTCACTCTGTTGCACAGGCTGGAGCTCACTGCAACCTCCACCTCCCAGGTTCAAGCGATTCTCCTGCAGTAGCCTCCTGAGTAGCTGAGATTATAGGTGCCTGCCACCACGCCTGGCTAATTTTTGTATTTTTGGTAGAGATTTTTTTTTTTTTTTTGAGATGGAGTTTCACTCTTGTTGCCCAGGCTGGAGTGCAGTAGTGCGATCTCGGCTCACTGCAACCTCTGCCTTCCGGTTTCAAGCGAGTCTCCTGCCTCAGCCTCCAGAGTAGCTGGGATTACAGATGACCACCACCATGTCTGGCTAATTTTTTGTATTTTTAGTAGAGATGGAGTTTCACCATGTTGGCCAGGATGGTCTTGATCTCTTGACCTCATGATCTGCCCGCCTCAGACTCCCAAAGTGCTGGGATTACAGGCATGAACCACTGCGCCCGGCCTCTTTCTAGCATTTATTAAGGTGGTGAATAGACCTAAGAAAATGTTGCCGGCTGGTAGTTCAGTTGTTCTGGAAGTCCTCTAGCAATATTTGTATTGCCTATGGAATATTAATTAACCATTCACTGAGTACAGAGGTGGTGTACTGCTGCGTCTTTGGCCTGAGAGGATTCGCCTGACTACCTGAGGTCATTTGCATAGGGCAGCAGCTGGAGGGCACCCTGTAAAACAGTGGAAGAACAAGTGATTCCTCTGGTTAGAACCCGGCAAGAGCTTCTCACCAATAGGAACCATGTCCTCACTGTGGCCTGTGTGTCTCTCCATGCACAACTCCCCTCTTAGCCCCCTGCCCTGCCTTACACCCTGATCCAGCTGCCTCTGTGCTCCGCCGTGATAGTGATGGATCCCAGGGCAGCAAGATGGTCGGAGGTGGGAGGGCAGGAGGTGAGAGGCTGCCTTGGTGGCTTGCTGTGGACATCAGGGTGAAGAGAGGCTCACTGCAACGGAGGAGGGTTAGGTGGATCAGGAGGAGGGTCAGGTGGATCAGGAGGAGGGTCAGTTGGATCAGGAGGAGGGTCAGGTGGATCAGGAGGAGGGTCAGTTGGGTCAGGAGGAGGTGGATCAGGAGGAGGGTCAGGTGGATCAGGAGGAGGTGGATGAGGAGGAGGGTCAGGTGGATCAGGAGGAGGGTTAGGTAGATCAGGACCAGGAGTGACTCAGGTAGACGCACTCCATCGCAGGTGGATGCTGGATCTTCGAGAATGTTAGCAAAACGCTGACAGTCCAGCCCTAAGGGTGAGGAGCACGGTGGCTCAGTATCACCGTGTGTCAGGCGAGCCTGGAGTAACTATGGAGGCTTCTACTCCCTTACTTCTGCCAAGGATGTGAGGATGCACCTCCGATTTTGCCGTTGTTTTTAATAATCCAGTTCCTTGGTAATTACCCTGTGTGTGCCTCGCTCTGGAATCCATGTGCTTTAGGAGGGGTGGGTCCTGAGCAGCGTGTCTCCTGTGTGGTAGGTGCTCCTTAGAGACATGCCTGCCTGGGTGACTTTCTGGAATCACTGAGTTTCTTTATGAAGGAGATAATGTATACAGCGGTCCATTTCCAAGACAAAGTGCCTTAAGTGGGCTTAGGTCAGCAAAACTACAGAAAAAACAGGAGAGACTAGGCCTGTGCTTGCATCACCGATGCCTGCTTGTTGGCCTCCCTGCCTTCACCCGCTCTTAGTTGCCCTCACCCCAACCAAAGATGTTTAGTCTAAGATGAAAGTTTACTAGCCTGCAAAATAGCTCGTTTTGTTTGTTCTTATCAGCCTGCCCAGCTACTTAGGTCTTAAGTCAAATACTTGAAGAGCCCCTGAGCTGACTAGGATTGCAGTGAATTGTGGGCTGTGACAAAATGCAGCAGGACAACCCTACAGCCCCTGCCCAGCAACCAACAGGTGACATCTGGGAGGATTGTGACCCCATAGTACTCAGCCTATGAGGAACTGGGGGAGGGACCTGCACCCTTCAGCCCCTATCCAACAACCAATAGGTGACATCCAGGAAGATTGTGACCCTACAGTACTCAGCCTATGAGGAAGCGAGGGAGGGACCTGTGCCCAGCAGCCCCTACCCAACAACCAACAGGCGACATCCAGGAAGATTGTGACCCCACAGTACTCAGCCTATGAGGAACCGGGGGAGGGACCTGCACACTACCCCCCTTGCCCAGCAACCAATAGGTGATGTCTGGGAAGACTGTGACCCCACAGTACTCAGCCTGTGAGGAACCGGGGGAGGGACCTGCACACTACACCCCTTGCCGAGCAACCAATAGGTGATGTCTGGGAAGACTGTGACCCCGTAGTACTCAGCCTATGAGAAACCAGGGGAGGAGCCTGCACCCTACAGCCCCTACCCAACAACCAACAGGCGATGTCTGGGAGGATTGTGACCCCGTAGTACTCAGCCTATGAGGAACCGGGGAGGGATCTGCGCAGTAGGGGATAAATGGCTTGTTGTAACCGTGCTGGATGTGCCTGCCCACCAGACACCCGATCTTTCAAGGCTGTCGTTTAAAGTCTCACTTTTGCTCCTCTCCAGGTCTCTAGTCCATTCTTTGGGTTTGGAGGGGTGAGTTTGTTTACCACATTTAAAATACACTTTTTTCAATTCCTAAGCAAACTCCTTACACTATAGCTATGGGGGAATAGAAAACTTTAGGCACAGCGCCTGAATACAGGCCATCTGTTTGGTAAGAACACAGTTTATGATCACAGCATAAGATGACACCTCACTGCGTCCACAGCACTGGGAACAACAGCAGGGTGTTCACATGGCAAAGAGGCTGAGAATTCCTAATATCAGCTATTGGTTTGCATAATTTACCTGCTTTCATATACCGTTATTGTTATTATCGCTACCATTTTGCCATAATGTGGTTTTAACTTTGCCATCAACTGAAGGGAGAAGCTGGAGCTTTGGTTTCAGCCATGTGCGTTGCCCTGTGTTCCTCATTTCTACCGTGACTTTCCCTTGGCTTCTGCCGCCTACTTCTAAATTCATGGTTTAGAGCATTAACCACATTCCCTGCTCACTGCTCTTTGGGGGGCCAGCTGAGGCTGGGGGATCCACTTCTGATATGATCCCACCCACAGGGCTGCTGTGTTGGCGCTGGCTGTGGGCGAGGAGCTGAGTCCTTCTCCAGGAGGCAGTTCCAGGGCAGTGGGATTCTTCAGTGGCAATGGGCTTCCCCCAGATGGCTAAGGTAGGAGCTGCCCGGCCCTCCTAGGGCTTACGTACGTCCAGACCCAGCCCAGGGTTGCTTTGGCCTTGTTCTCTTTGTTGAGGCAGAACTCAGGGACACATCAGGGTCAAAGGTAAGCTGGAGTCTTGGTTCACTGGGGACCCTGGGATAGCAACACACCATTTAACTCACCCAATAGCAACACACCCTTTAACCCTTTGTCCCTGAGCGAGCCAGCTTCCCTCGACCCTAACTGCCCTCCTGCATTCAGCAGGCATCCTAAAAACACAGCTCAAGTGCCAAGGTCTTCGTGAAGACTTCCAGGTCCCTACAGGAGGTTTCTGTGTGCCTTGCTTTCACATCAGGTTGGATAATTACGGTCGCAAGCGTGCTTGCAGTCCATTCACACATTTAGACACAGGGACCTCCCCACCAGGCTGAACTCCTCGAGGAGAACACAAGCCCTGTCAGATGTCTCCTTCTGCCCTCGCCGATGGGGGGAGCGGCCGTTACGGCTGAGCGGTGTCCCTCTCAAACCAGTGTTGAAGCCTCTCATGTGACTGTGTGACTGTCTTTGGAGACGGGGCCTTTAAAGAGTTGAGTAAGGCTAAGTGAGGTCATATGGGTGGCCCTGATTCAATCTGACCCACCACCTTATATGAAGAGGAGTTTAGGACACAGACACGAAGAGACGGAGGCTGTGAGGACACAGGGACAACACAGCATCACAAGCCGAGGAGAGAGGCCTCAGGAGGAACCAGCCCTGTCCACAACTGGATCTGGGACTTCCAGCCTCCGGGACTGCGAGGAAAGGAATTCCTGTGGTTTGAGCCGCTCAGCCTGGGACACCGTGTCACGGCAGCCCAGGCAGGACACAGCGGCCCCCAGGAAGGAGGGGTCCCGTGTGGAGTGTGTGGACATCAGGCATGAGGCCAGGCCAGGTGGTAGACGGAGCCTTCACAATACAAGAAGAGGAACGTTTCTTTTAGGTTTCTCACTGCTTGTGACGTAAGCAGTTAGACCGAGACCCGTATCCATTTAACAAATATTTTTGTACAACTTTCCCAAGTTGAGTTTAATTATCAAAGCAAAATGCATAGGTAATGTGGGACTCTAAACTTAGGACTCTTCGTGCATTACTGGTGAGGGTGAAAGGATTACGAAGGGCAGAGATGAAATGACAAAACACTCTACTCATCTTTTAATCTTGTGAGGAGTTCAGAACAGATGGCCCGTTTGAACAGAAATGTTATATTTCTTATGAAAATAAATGATACCCCAGGCAAGCATCTTGGCAGCTGAGATTCACTCACTATTCTGATTAACACCACAGCCGTTGCATAGGCACATTAAAATGTAGAGCTTAACGACAATAAGCTATTTGAACAGATTTTTAAACACATATTTATTCATTAAAAAGGGATGAAAGCATTTGCATCGGTAAGTTGTTTAACTAGAAACAGAATATTTGTGAGATGTAGCATTTCTCAAACACTATTTTAAATGGAAATTTAAGTTCTTTAATTCCAAGCTTTCTGACTTATTGATGAGTGTTGCCATGATATAACTTACTAAACTTTATGTCTTTAGCTCTAGTTCATGCTACTTATGGAAGACATTTTGAAAATTACAAATTTGGAATGTAGATTTAATAGCCAGGATTCGGTGACCATATCTATAATTATATTGACAGCTGGAGTTGGCTAAACATTTGCTGAAATAAACTTTACATAAAATAGAATCTATTCTCCTGATTTAATTATTGGTTAGTATTTCCTATTGTAGATGATACATTCCTAAATCACATCCTCCTCCCTTGACTTCCCCCTACACACACAGGCATACACACACACACACACATACACTATACACACATATACATACACACACGTGCATACACACACATACACACATACTATACACACATATACATACACACATATATACACACACACTATACACACATATACATACACACATGCATACACACACATACACACTATACACACATATACATATATACACACATACACACATGCACACACATACTATACACACACACATACATATATACACACACATACACATGCATACACACACATATACTATACACACATACACACACATATATACACATACATGCATACACACATACACACATACTATACACACATATACACATATACACACATACACACACTATACACACATACATATACATATATACACACATACATGCATACACACACAGTATACACACATACATACACACATATATACACACATATACACATGCATACACACACATATACTATACACACATATGCATACACATATATATACATACACATATATACACACAAATACACACACATATACTATACACACATATACATACACACACAATTTTATGCATACTTTTCTGGGAAACTGTTTTATTTAAGATATTTTATGTTTTCTCCTTTCCAATAATTCATTTGAAGTTTTTTTTAAGGCAGGACTTGCAGAAATAACATGCCGATGATGTTTCTTCCTTTTCGAGGTTAGAAAAAATTTTTTTTATGTTATTAGGTCACACTTGACCAAAAGTCTGCCTTTTTCTTCCCAACACAGACTAATAGCTCAGCGCATTAAAACAAAAAAATGGTTTTCAGAGCAAACACTTGTGTCTTCTGATTTTCATTCAGTCCGAATGGCATATGGAACCTGCTGATTTGAATGGAATCATGCAGATCCCAGGCATTGCTCATGGCTTATTTCCTTGTCAATAGCCAAGAATGGCTCATTCATCTTACATTCATAGAATATTTATTGCGTATTACTGTATTCCAGGTATGCTGGAAGGTCCTGGAGATTCAAGTGTGGGAAGGCAGTCCCGGCCCCCATTGCTCGCCGAACAGCTTCCAGTCTGCACGGAAGTAAGTACTCTCGGGTGGTTTGAGGAACAGCAATGCACAGCTGATATAGAAATTGGTCTGCTAAAGTTGGTTACTGTCATCACAAAACCTAAAACACCTGCTGTTGATGGGCCGTGGACAGGGTGGTGGGTGGCAAATGAAATGGCAGCGAGCGGGGACTGGCACCCTTCAGAGAAGCTGTTGTGGACCCCAGGCAGGGTAGATGCCTGCAGGGTAGACCCACGACAACCGCAGAACTGTCAGGGGAGATAGAGTGAAGCTGAGGAGCTTCATCTGGCAAAGGCGAGCTCCAGCAGTCAGCGTTTCGGCCGAGTTCTCCTGGTGGTGCAGGACAGGGGAGGACATGAGCGCCGCCGTCGGCAGCAGAATCGAGAGGGGACACCCAGAGGCCAGTGCTTGTAGGGTTGTATGAGAAAACTCATTTCAGTCTCCTCATCCAGTAAAATATCCTAAAAAATCCAAACCAGAAAACCAGAAAGCAAGTGGGGAACACAGATCAAATCAAGGGCACAGCTCCAAGGCTGGTTTCAGACCTCTAAGGTAGCAAAGCAAAAGTGCGATTCAGCCTCTCAGCCAGAAAGAAGAGCTTCCAGCACCCTAAGGGTGGTATCCCAAAACCATCCGAAATGCCTGAAACAGACCCAAATCTAGAATTAAAGGCATTTTTCAAAAATGCCTGTGGTGTGTGTGTGTGTGGCCTTTGCCAAATGGAGTAGATTCCAAACAAATGCATAGATAGCTGCCAGTGTTATTTTTCTATCAAGCATCTTCTAAAACAGTAAGGTATAATTTTCATACAGTAAAATATATAGATTAGAATTGTACAGTCTGATACATTTTGACAAATTTATGTTTATATCCTCATCACTCTAATCCAGAGACATTGCATTTCTACAAGTCCAGAAAGTTATCCTCATCCCCTTGCTCATGACTCGGCCCCTGCCTTTGAGGCAGCCACCCCTCGGCATTTCTCGTCATTGGTTAGTTTTGCCTGTCCTGAAGCTTCGTATAAATGGAGTCAGTGAGCGCCTTGCCGCCTGCTCGTGGCCTTCGAGGCTCATTGTGTTTCCCGCTTCCACATGTCCATGCTATTTGCATTCTTACCATCAAAAGTCCAAGTCTGTTTCTCCAGCCCCGAGTCAAGGCTGGCCCTGAGATTTACTCTGTTCAACAGAAAGAGGTGGAGTTGACTTTGTGCCTGTCCAAACACTGGCCCTGAAGGGCATGTGTATGGCTTTGCTCTCTTTTATGAGGCTGCCGTGATCACGTGCACAGGCCAGACTAGCTTGTTGGGTGTTAAGTCATGTGACCTAGTTACCGCATTGCCCAGGCAGGCTCCAGGCTACCCTCTGACACGTGGGTGAGGCCATCCTGAACCCCTCAGTCCCAACGCCACCTGTCAGCTGACCACAGAGGCATGAACCAGCCCAGCCTGACTGATTGGCTGAACCACCCCCATTGACTGATTGGCTGAACCACCCCCATTGCCTTATTGGCTGAACCACCCCCATTGACTCGAGTTGTGATGAAGGTCAGTCGTTTTGGGGTGGTTTATGACACGGCAGTAAACCGCAGACCGTAGTTCAACGGAAATCTGATGCTCTTTCTGAGTTGGGCAATGCATGTCCATACATACTGGAGTATGCATATTAATGTATAAAACAGATGCTAATTTGTAAGGGGAGAAGTTGCATTCTGTTCAAACTAATATCAGGAAGTGAGGATTCTGCATAAAATGCAATACTGATTTCTAAGTATTAGGGAGAAAAATCAACCTATAAAAAAGATAAATAAGTGAAGAGTTAACCAAAAAAAAACCAAAAAACTTTCGTAAGGTCTTTGTGATGTAATGTTATAATTTGCTCTTTGAAATGCCTTTATAATGGACTGGGAGAGAAAAGATCATCCCCAGTTGGGGTGGGCACCATCCAATCGCCGCCAGCGCGGCTAGAAAAAGCAGGCAGAAGAAGGTGGAAGGAGCTGGCTTGCTGAGTCTTCCCACCTTTGTCTTTCTCCCGTGCCAGAAGCTTCCTGCCTTTGCACATCAGACTCCAAGTTCTTCAACTCCTTTTCCCAGAGCTGGCGACACCCCACTTGGCCCTTCTTGTATTCCGTAATGAATATTTTGGTAACGTGCTCCTCAAAGCCACTGGGTTGCTGGGTCATTGTCCCCTCCTTAGCAGCCAGTGAGTGGAGATTCAGGGAGGTCTCTCTGCACCCCCAGAGTGTGGAGCTGCCCTTTAACCACCAAGGGAAGCTCCCTCAGCCACGTGCTTCCCAGGACCTGGTGCTTGAGAAACGCTTGGATTAATTAGAGGGACCCAGAGCTGACGCTGCCGGCGCTCCGTGTGTGGGGCTGGGTGGCTCCACCGGAGCTGTGGCCACTGCGAGACCCCGACCCCTTGCTGCGTCCACTGCCGGCCTCACCCCCGTGCCTGAGGAGGCTCCCCAGTGTCTCCCTGGATCCCTAGGTCTGTGTCTTCCAGCACCGTGGGCCACGTGTGTCAGGCCCTGGGGCCAGCCTTGGACACGCTCCTCTGTCCTTGCCGCCCAGCCTGGCTTTGTCAGGTGTGACCTCTGTGAGAGCCTCTGTGAGACCACCCACACCTGCCAGCGCTGCTCCTACTCTCCCGCGCCTGCGTTCCAGCCTCTGTGGGCTCAGTGGGGATGGTTTCTTATGTGGCCCTGTCGAAAGGGTGTCTGTGTCCCTCGTCCCCTTGGACCGGGTGGGCTTCCCACCCAGAGGGCCGTCAAAGTGACCGTGGGGGCTTAGAAACCGCCTCACTTTGTGTTGTTGGCTGGAACCTGCACTCCCTCAGTGCTGAGCGCCGTTGAGGAACTCTGACTGCCCGAGGCCTCCTGCAGGCACCTGCAGGCCCCATCTGGGCCCGTGCACCTTGCAGCCTCCTTCCCCACAGGGCACCAGACATGTGAATGACGCTGTCCCGAACCCTCCAGTCCAGCCCCTGCAGCGGCTGAGCATCACCCACTGCTTTAGGGGAAACAGAGACCTCACCAGGTGAGTCCGCCTGAGTTCCTACCTAGAAACCGGGACAGGTGATAAAATGGCTGCTATTGAGCCACTGCGTCCTGGGGTAACGTGCAGTGAGGTGTGCCCGGGGCTTTCTAAATGCCCTTCCTCTTCTTCCCTTCCTTGAACACACACACGCCCGCCCTGCACCCTGCACCCTCAGACCCGTCCGTGTTCTGTGTGAACCTGCCTGTGAAAAATCCATCCCTCCGGGCATCCCTTCCTCCTCCGGCCGACCCGTTTACCCCACACAAGAGAACTCACTTTCCAGCGTGGAGCCTCATTTATGGCCTGAACCACTTCTGAAAAAAATTAGGCAAGCCAGGCACGCTGGCTCATGCCTGTAATCCCAGCACTTTGGGAGGCCGAGGAGGGCGGATCATCTGAGGTTAGGAGTTCAAGACCCCGTCTCTACTGAAAATACAAAATTAGTCGGATGTGGTGGTGCACGACTGTAATCCCAGCTACTCAGGAGGCCGAGGCAGGAAAATCGCTTGAACCTGTGAGGCAGAGGTTGCAGTGAGCCGAGATCACGCCACTGCACTGCAGCCTGGGCGACAAGAGCAAAACTCCATCTCAAAAAAAAAAAAAAAAAAAAAAAAAAAAGAAATTAGGCAAATCCCTCAGGGTCAGTTTGTAGGAAAGCGTTTTTACTCATCAGCAGACAGGCTGCTTAGAGACAGTGCAGACCCTATAAACATCCTCCTGGAAATGAAACCCCGACAGGAAAGCCTAAGCCAGGGCAGAGAGGGAAGGAAAAGACACCGTCTCCTGTCGACGGCGAGTGCCGCCTCTGCTACTAGCTTTAAAAAGGCATTTATTTCCACAGACGGTTTCAATCCATCTTGATGGAATTAAACATTACAAAACAAAGTAAAAGTGATTAAAGCCTATCTCAGAACATAAAGGACAGCTTATTTCAAGGAATTGGATTCCTGGGAATTGAGTTAAGGGAAATGGAGAATCGAATTACGTGGAAGGCACCGCAGTGCCCCGCTTCCCTTCTTGACATCAGCCCATCCCTGGCAGGACGCAGAGCCACCAGAGCCAGAGCCACCGGCCCGAGCAGAACGATCATGTCCTAGTTATTCTCCTGAGCAGATTCAATCATTTTGGTCATTTCATAAGTTACCTACTGAGCAATGTCATACGCAGACAAATTGATTTCTCTTCGCATGTTAGAGCCACGGATTTGAGAAAATACAACCTGCTCCCCAGCGTAAGGTGATCTGCCCGCGTGGGGAGAGACAGCGTGTGGAAGGAGGTTCCCATGAATGCTGATCACAGAGTCTGTGTGCTTCCTCTGGAGCCAGTTTCCTCCTCAGCCTCCCTAAATCGAGTCCAGGAAAACCTGCCAGCTGTGGAACACTTTCATTAACACGAGATCCTGGCACTGCCGTATTTGACTAAACTGTGTAGGTTATGGTATAATTAGGGCATTATTCTTCCCTAATAACTGAGGCCACTTCAATTAAACTCTACATGGATAAAATATAAAAGAAGTCAGGAAACGCAGGCTGCAGTTGTGATTCTAGGCACTTAGCTCGCCTCTGTGGCTGCCGTTTTTATTGTGCTAATTAGCAACGGACCTTACACCTTAGACTGGGAAGTTCAGAGAATGAATGCGTGTGTACACTCCTGTTCCCAGGGCGTATTTCAGATATTTATGAAATACGTGAGTATTTTAACTAACAAATAATAGGACATTAGAAGATCTAGGGCCGGGCGCGGTGGCTCACGCCTGTAATCCCAGCACTTTGGGAGGCCGAGGCGGGTGGATCATGAGGTCAGGAGATGGAGACCATCCTGGCTAACAAGGTGAAACCCCGTCTCTACTAAAAATACAAAAAATTAGCCGGGCGCGGTGGCGGGCGCCTGTAGTCCCAGCTACTCGGGAGGCTGAGGCAGGAGAATGGCGTGAACCCGGGAAGCGGAGCTTGCAGTGAGCCGAGATTGCGCCACTGCAGTCCGCAGTCCGGCCTGGGCGACAGAGCGAGACTCCGTCTCAAAAAAAAAAAAAAAAAAAAAAAAAGAAGATCTAAAGCAGGCAGTGAAGACATCGACTCTTTAGATAAAGGAGTGTTTGTGTGATTTCCTTCACAAGTGGAGAGTGTGTTACATGCTAAAGAGACATAAGGAAAAGTTGAAAAATACGTAGAATGTGTATGTCAGATGCTACAACCTGACCCTAAGATCCGACTTCTCTGCATGGTCATCAAGCTGGAATCAAGACTTTTAAAACCAAGTGCCCATTCCCCCTGTCACTGACTCTATGGCACATCTTAAAATCTTAAAATGTAAGTGGTGTCCTAGAACTAAATACATGTAATTTCCTTTGACCATACCTACAACACGGACATCTAGCAAAGCACATTTAGAGGAGGAAGCAGATCCGAAAATGAGTTTGTGACGTGGGGCCTTTGAGGGAATTGAAAATCCTGGAAGCTTGAAAATCGTGTGGGTCTGTTTTGCTTCCCTGTGCTAAGTTTAAAGCTGCCATTCTCTAATGTCCATCCACTGGTCCTGTTCTGTCTTCTAGAATAACAAACAATTACAATAGCCACTCTTCTGTTTGAATTGTTGGAATTAGGCATGCTGGGCGGAGCACACAGTGGTGGAGTCCAGGGTGGAGGCTGATGGCCTGATGGAAACCCCACTCCTGCGTCATCGTCAGAAGAATGTATTTTCCTTTGGCAAGTCAAGGTTTTTAAGGCTGGGTGTGTATTCCAGGAAGAGAAAACCAAGCACTGCACGCTATTACTTGTAAGTGGGTGCTGAACAATGAGATCACATGGACACAGGGAGGGGAACAGCACACATTGGGGCCTGTGTAGGGGGGTCAGCATGCGGAGGGAAAGCATCAAGATAAATAGCTAATTCATGCTGGGGTTAATACCTAGGTGATGGATTGACAGGTGCAGCAAACCACCATGGCACATGTTTACCTGTGTAACAAACCTGCACATCCTGCACATGTATCCCAGAACTTAAATAAAATAAAAAGGCTGGGTGCATATTTATAATAATTGTGCTTGAAGCAAAAGATTCAAGGAGGATGCTGTGCGGAAGGGGCTGGATCAGGCCAAGAGTGAAGGGGTCGGGGCCATCTTGGGTCTGCAGACCTCCTGCATGTCCTGAATTGGGCCAGGTCACCTAATCTCTCAGCCTTCCTTCCTCATCTGTACAATGGGGAGGAAACTCCAAAACTCACGTCTGGAATTTATCATGAGGATGAACTGGAAAAATAGAGGCAAAACGCTCACAGAGGCCACATCCTATGTGTTGATGGTGGTGATTAATAGTTGGCTCTGCATGCCAGGGATAAAGCAGTGAACCGAGCAGGCAGAAGATCTCGAGTCTTCAGAGAGCTCATGTCAGCTCAGGGAAGGTGGACAGCCATCAGATGGGCTTGCCGTTACAGTGCTCAGTGGGTGCAAGAGCTATGTGCAAAATTAGGGCAGAAGAAGAGGGTCTGGGAGGGCTGGGGTGGGTGAGAGATCTAAGGCCATGCCCAGGAGAGACCTCGGTGAGAAGGGCCTTTGGAGAATGGACTGGAAAGAAGGGAGGGAGCCTGGTGGGTGTTTGGAGGATGGAGAGGCAGGTGCCGCTGGGGCAGGAGTGGCCTGGTGTGTCTGGAGAAGCACACAGCCACCGCAGTGGGTGGAGAGAGGAGAGCAGGCAGGCAAAGGAAGGAGCGCTCATGCAGAGCACACAGGCCAGGCAGGGACAGGAGAGAGGAGTGTCGCATGCAGAGCACACAGGCCGGGCGTGGACAGGAGAGAAGAGTGTCACATGCAGAGCACACAGGCCGGGCACGGACAGGAGAGAAGAGTGTCACATGCAGAGCACACAGGCCGGGCGTGGACAGGAGAGAGGAGTGTCACATGCAGAGCACACAGGCCGGGCACGGACAGGAGAGAGGAGTGTCACATGCAGAGCACCCAGGCCGGGCACGGACAGGAGAGAGGAGTGTCACATGCAGAGCACACAGGCCGGGCACGGACAGGAGAGAGGAGTGTCACATGCAGCCAATGTTTCCTCGGCCTCTTGTTTGCAGGAGGATCAGGCGGGTAGAGGGAGGAAGGGAGAACGGGACCAGCGAAGGGGCTCCTTAGCCACCCAGAAGCAGGAGGTGGGTGAAGGGAGAGCTGGTGAGAGCTGACCGACCTGGCCATATTCTGGAGTTAGAGGCAGCCGGGGTTTCTGGCAGATGGACAGTGAGATGCTGAGGAAAGAGGAACCTGGGCAGCCAAGAAGGGGAACTCACCAAGCACAGGGCGGGGACTGAGGTGGGGCAGGGCTGGGGAGCAGGAGGATCCCAGCAGGGTGCCCCGAGGCAGATGTGGAGAGGTGGGAGTCCCTTAGGTGATATGCTACTGTCTGTGTTAATCACTCAGGTGTGTGGTGAGAACACCCAGACCAGGCTACTTAGAAGTGGATGTCGATATCAGTCAAATCTGTTGCCAGGGCTAGGAGACCTGAATGTTGGGAGAACCACAGAAGACCCTGGGAAAGGGACAGGAAATTCTCTTTGAAAAGTGAGTTTGTAGGCCTGGTGAGCTTCACTTTTGCTCACTTGGGGCTTTGGAAACAGGTGAGATGTCTGAGCATGTGCTCTTTGAGGGCAGGAACCCTTGTTTCTCATCCTGGCTTCCAAAAAGCACGACAGACACACTGGTAGAGACAGTCTTAAATATCTGTGGGCCTTTCCTCGCCCACGTGAAGATGAGTTTTCCTGTAAGGAAGGAAACATTTCGAGTGGACAGGGCTGAGAGCTGCCTGGTGGGAGGTGCAGAGTCCTGCAACAGCCGCACCAGGGGAGCAGAGGGACGGTGTCACCTCTGTCACCTCTCGGAGGGGGGTGACACCGATGGCTCCAGAAGAGAGTCTGCAAATGAGGACACATGAGGCTAAGCCTGGAAGCTCAGGCAGGCGTGCTAGGTTGCGACTCTGCAAATGAGGACACAGGAGGCTAAGCCTGGAAGCGTGGGAAGCTCAGGCGGGGGTGCTGGGTCGCGGGCCGAGGAGTCTGTTTGCTTCCCTGAACTCCTCCGTGCTTTGAATCCAAACACCTGGGCGGCTTTCACTTTCGTGGGGAGTTGATGTCACTCCCCACGGCAATTTGAATGACTGGTTCTAGGACTTGATGAGGACTGGAAGGTATTTCTGGTGGTTGTCATTGCAGCCAAGTGTGGAGACCCTGTCTCCGGGAATAAAATTAGGTTGAGAAAAGCTATGGTGTGGACGTGTTTATTCCCCGAATATCACTGGGGTCTTTGCCTTGCTAATTCCCAGCTCTATGTTGCTGAGCTGTTGCTAGAGGGCGGTTCATTGAAGGCATCATTTAAACGCCTGGCCGCGAGATTTTATACCACAACATTTTCCCCCTAAAAAAGCGTTCATATTACAATGCCAGGCCAGACATGGTGTCTTACAGCTGTAATTCCAGCGATTCTGGAGTCCGAGGTAGGAGGATCACTTGAGCCTTGGAGTTAAAAACTTTGTCTCTACAAACAAACAAAGAAACAAACAAAAAATTACAATGCTATTATATTAATTTATTGTTTTAAAACTAATTATTGAGTTTGAAACTTTATTATTGACAACCATTATTCTAAATAATGACTTACTGCATCTTATAAAAGTCATATAAAGTCTTATAAAGACTGAATCAATTGCTCAACTCTGAAATCATACGCTCTAAGCAACTTGTCTTTCTTAAATATTTCTTTAAAACGATGTGCTGTTCTCTATTTCATTCCTCTTTGCCTGGAATGTAATTTTATTTCTCTTCACCTGGCTCATCTCCTCTCATCCTGAGGCCTCAGATTGCAGGCCACTTCCTTCCAGAGCCGCTTCCTCCCAGAGGGCCGGCGCCTTCCTCCCTCTTCCCCTGGCTGTTAGCGTTCCATCTTCTCTCCCCTGGGGGGCTCACACGTCCTGTATTTTAGAGCTCTCCTCTCTGTTGTATTATTGACTGTGTAGACATCAAATTTCCTACTATGCAGTTAGTTGCAATAGAGAAAAAACAATCTTTTGTTATTATTTTATCCCCAAGGTCCAATGTGTTATTAGATATTCAATACTTATTGAATGAGTAAACAACTGCTGATACCGTGAAGGATATAAAAATGCAAAATGTGATTCTTTTCTTGAAGAACTTCCAATCTCTGGGTGAAAACCATGCACACAGGGAGAGTAAAGGACAGCATGAGATCGCCTATATGAGTTTATGTGTTTACTGCAACGTAAACTCAGAAAGTGCAGAATCCACAGCCATCGTGCTCCCGGTTGTGTGGCCTAAGCCCCGCATGCAGCAGGCGGCAGACAGTGAACTGTGCCTGAACAAACGAAGAGGGAGCGGTGGAGAGGGAAATCTGGGAGGTGATGGGGGATGAGAGGAGCTTGGGCGTATTCTTGAATCACAGTTGAGCAGGATGTGGTTTCTGGGGATGAAACGCATCCTGCTAAATGCCCAGTGGGAAATGGGGGTTTGATTGACAGGCAGGCAGGGACCACTGTTGCCTACAAGGAAGGGAGGACCCAAGAAAGCATCTGCAGCTAATGCTGAGTATCACCGTCATTGTGCTCACCTGTTACTCACAGCGTATGCAGCGCTTCGGGA
Source organism: Homo sapiens (assembly GCF_000001405.40). Classification (NCBI taxonomy): domain Eukaryota; kingdom Metazoa; phylum Chordata; class Mammalia; order Primates; family Hominidae; genus Homo; species Homo sapiens. The sequence goes on from NT_187576.1 coordinate 419,050, forward strand.
TATGTTGTCCAACTTAATCCTACAATGTAGTGTGAACTGAGCAGAATAAGCACCATTATTTCCACGATATGAAAGAGCAAATAGTCATGAGGGAACTGATGACTCTGTAGAGAAAATGCTGTGTTCTATGGGCTGGTTCCACGTTTAATTTTTCCATCATCCTTTGTCTGTTTTCTTTAAATGCATCTTTTGAAGGATATAAAAAATAGATAAAATTATGTATACAATGTCCGTAATAGTAGTGCTATATATCTTATTAAAGGGTTATGAAAGCCGTGTTATTTGTGACATACACATGCTCATTAACAGTAACATATAAGCATGCATCAACACACACATGTATAAACATACACATTCACATACAATGTACACCCTTACATACACACATTCACACACTCACACAGGCACACACATGCATGAATGCACACACATGCACGAATCCACACGTGCACACTCACATACACACACGCACACTCACATACGAACACCTGTGCCCATACACACATGCACATGTTCACACATATGCAACACTGAAATGCACACAATACTCACATTCACATACACACGCATGCACTGTCATGCACGAACATATGCACACACGTGCACATACAATACACACTCACATGAACATCTGTGCACATGCACGCATGCACATATTCAAACATATGGAACACTCGCATGCACACAATACTCACATTCACATACGCACACACAGGCACATTCTCACATGTACACATGCACTGTCACGCAGGCACACGTGCGCAAACATACATGCACACATCCACAGATATGCACACATGCATAAGCACACACAATCACATGCACACACAGACATAGTCACACATACACACACATGCACAGACACACGCACATGCACAGTCTCACATGAGTGCACAGACATGCTCACACATACGCATACTTGCACACTCACACACGCATCAGTTCTTGCTAGGAATTTTCAAAGTTTCTACACAGAAATCAGTGCAGGAAGACAAACACCAGCCCAGAGCAGGGCAGCTGCAATGGGAAGCTCGCCTGAGAGGAGCGGGCATTGCCGCAGGTCACCAGGAAGCCCTCCTTGGGCGCTCGCCTCAGAGCCCGCCAGGAAGCTGTGCGTCTCTAGGAGGATCCCACTCAGCTGCAGCAAAGCCCTGCGCCGGGAAGGGAGCTCCATGCCCGCATGACTGTCCCTGAGAGCCGCGCTGCCCTGCCATAGGGTGGCTCAGCTGCTCCTCACTCACATTCATAATTCCAGAAAACAAGATATGTTTGTTTTCAACATATTTGATAAGGTGGGATGGTGAATTTTATTTCTTTGGGTTACATAAATATGAGTATAAGTAGTATAAGTAGTATAAGACAAAACAAAAAAGGAATGACCAGATATATGTCCTAACACAAAAATGTACTAAACATTAGGTTGCAATTCTCCTTGACTTTAAAAATGAGGTGAGCACCTTTCTTTACATTGTCAGATGATGTATCTAAGTATGGCTGCAAGCTTTGCATTGAGACCTGTTGGCTGCGGGGTTCATGCTGTCTGTGATTTGTTGTGTGGATTCAAAACACAATAAACATGTAATAGAAATAATTACATGAAGATACATTGATGTGGGTCATCTTTCAGCAACATCAAGCTCTTTAATACGTTTTTCAATTTTATATGAAATGAAAACAAATTATTCCACCATAGATAATTTCTTACATCCTAATATTGGGGCATTAAAAGAATAAGTTGTGGTATAAGAATCAGGAACGTGATTTTACAATGGTGATGAGGAAGCACTCAAGGAGGCCGTAGCCTGAATGCCGCGTGGCCGCACCTCCTGCGTGGACTCCCCAGGGACTGTCTTGACTCCGACTGGAGCACCGCAGCCGTGCGCCCTCTCCCAGGAGAGCAAGGTGCACCTTTAAAGATTCCAGATGATTTTCTTCACATATCTTTTTTTTTTTTTTTTTTTTAACATGGAGTCTCACTCTATCACCCAGGCTGGAGTGCAGTGGTGTGATCTCGGCTCACTGTAACCTCTGCCCCCCAGGTTCAAGCGATTCTCCTGCCTCAGCCTCCCGAGAAGGTGGGATTACAGGTGCCTGCCACCACACCCGGCTAATTTTTTTTTATTTTTAGTAGAGATGGGGTTTCGCCGCATTGGCCAAGCTGGTCTTGAACTCGTGACCTCAGGTGAGCCACCTGCCTTGGCCTCCCAAAGTGCTGGGATTATAGGCTTGAGCCACCACGCCCGACCTCTTCACATATATTTGATTAAAAAAAAATCTTGGAGACAGGGAAAGAAAAGAGGAGACGAGGAACAAAAAGAGAAAGGACTCAGATCAACATCCCCAAACGCCGCAGCCGCGACAATCGCTGTGGCCACTAGGTGGCGGGCTTGGTCCGCATTTCAGGCTGTGCGGCTCCTGCCCGGTGGGCGAGGCCTGGTCTGCAGGATTTCCAGGCTTTCTGTCCTGAGCCTCCTGCTTGAATTACGCCTGTGACTTTCAACACACGCAACGCCGTCCGGGGAGGTGAAGAGCGAAGAGGGTATTTTGCTTTGCTGAGTAGCCCGACGTTCCTTAGGAATGAAACCCACATATTCGTCGTCCATTTATTTTGAAGTACTTGGGTGTTTGAGGAGGGGAGACATGTAATATTTAATATACGTATTTTTTGCTTTCTGCGTAATTAGTAATGAACACTTCCCCCCACGCCCTTTATGTAGTTATTTAATTGAGTTTTCATGAAAGAACCTTTTCTCTGATGAAATTTAAACCCAATTAAGTATTTCAAAGTGTTGTGGGTAACCAGTGCTTCCAAGGTATTTTTCCCACAGGATGCCAGCATCGCATTGACAGTATTTGGAATGGTCAGCCTTTAGCAGCGTGTGGGAAAGGTGCGGTGGCTTCATTCTGTTATTGTCTATAACTCCTCAGTGAAAACAGGTGACTTGTTCTTAATGAATGTTTCTTTCCCTTTTGTCAGACAATAAAAATGAAAGAAAATGTTGTTGACTTCATATTTGTGAAAGCAGAAGGTTACCAAAATCATCGGCAGGACACATGGAAGGGGAGTGTGAATTAGGGTAAAATTACTACACCAAATTATACTTCTTTCATTGCTTTTATACATATGCTGTAAGCCGGTTGGCTCAGGAAAAAACCCACACAATCAGTAAGTCTTAAGAAAGTTGTACCTTTAGCCCCCTCTGCCTTTGTTCTGGAACCCTCTGGTCAGGATCTGCCCCAGGCCCCAATTTGTGGTCTGTGGTCACATTCAGGACCCCTGCCTCAGTGGCCCCTCGACATCACCATCACCTGGCAGGAGCTGCCAGGAATGCCAATGAGTCATCGGTGCTGGAAGGCTTTTCTCCAGAGCCGACTTGCCTGACTTCTGTTTATATTTCCTTGGCCACAGGAAGTGACATGGCCAAGTCCAACCTCCAGCTGGTGGTAGGTGCAGCTCTACCAGATTCCCAGGTCAGGAAAACCTAGAAGGCTGGTGGGTTGCAGTGAAGACCCGATCTCGGGCGTTAGAGACCAGTGTCCCATTTCCTTCTGTAATACACAGCAGCAGGGACCGCCTGCCACCCTCCCCTCTCTGGGGCACAGCAGCTGCGTCTGGGAAGGGTGTGAGACTGTCCTATGCCAGCTGCCACCAACAACGGCAGTGCAGGCTGAGGCAGTTCCCCATGGCCAGCGGCTCCCCGGGATCAAGGCTGGGGGGTCCCCAAATGTCTTGCAGAGCTCTCTGACTTAAGCAGCTGCCTTAAGTGTTGTTTTTCAAGCTGTAAGTAGCCAAGCGCTAGTGGGTGGTGAGGTCTGTTGAGTGGGTCACGACCGGCCTCAAAGACACCAGGTGGCATTCTGTGTGGGAGGAGTGAGTGCTGTTCTGCCGCGCAGTATTCTGATGTACAAGATCACCAAAGGAAATGCATTTCCTACCAGGGATTGAGGTCAACACAATTGAAAGACCCTGGCCAGCTACAGCTCAGCAATACTCGGCGACACTCAGAGTTGTTTTTGAAATGCAACATGTAATTCCTTCTCTGCAGAGCCTGGTAAGTCTTAGGAATGTTACCTGGTTCTGCCAATAAAGAGCTTTTCGTAGGAACCTTTCAAAGTCCCCAGAATTACATTAGGAAAGAGTATTACACGGATGACATCCCATGTGCCTCCTTGAAAGATACCAACTTAATTACGCTTTTCTCCCTGAGCTTACCACAGCAGTAACGATAATAGTAAACAACATTCACTTATTTAGCGTTTACTATATATTAGGCATTTTGCTAAGTGCCAGACCCTATATTAAACGCTAATAAACACTGTTGTATTAACCTCCACAACCCTAAGAGGCAGAAAAGGAGCATATTTTGAGGGGTCCAGTGAAGAATGGAAATGAGGGTCCCCTTGTTCAAAAATTATTAAGAATTTCTAGATGGGGAAAGCAGAACATTAAATCAAGTATGGGTCTTTCCCAGTGAGTAGGGGGCCCTATGAGATGGCACAGATTTCAGGCTCATGAAGCCAGTCAGCCCAGCCAGTAGGAGTAAACTACATTTTGCAGTGATGAAGTGGAGCTGTTCAAGGTCAGCTGCTGGTTGGAGGTCGCACGTCTAACTTTTGTGGAACAGAGACCTGAACCCTGGCCACCTCACTCATCAACTCTCTTCTGTTATATCCACCAGAAGCATCTGGTGTCGCAGCAGGTCACTCGCTGGGAGCCCCACGTTCCGTGGGCACCTTCACATTTTTATAATCAGCTCTTGGTCTATTTGAACTCACCATCCCAGGGGTTTTGCACATCAGATGTGGTTGGATTGCCATTATACATAATGGTTAGTGTTCTCCTTGTCTCATTGTGAAATTGTGCTGAAATGGAGTAATTACGTTAGCCTTGACTTCAACTCTTCAGTAGAGAGAACAATTTTTACTTATCTCTATCCAAGCACTTTTCTTATAGTAGGAGTTTGTTAAGTGTTTGTTGAATTATTCTGTAAATGTCCACTTTGTGTTAATTCTAGGGCAAAAGTTCCTCTCAGAAGCCCGTACCTCTTTGAGCCTCACTACTTGAGTATTCAAAGCTGGAGGACAGAAATGTTGGTGTTTGATACGTCTCTGCGAGCAACAACTTCTCCGCAGCCTTGTGATGAGGAAGAAACAATTTAGAGCCTCCTCTACCCACTGATCCTTGCCTGCTGAAGACATCAAGTCTCTAAGGGCCTCATTGACACTATCGGCAAGTAGCCAGCATTTACCATGTTTCTTTAAACTGATTGTGTAGTGATGTGGCTAAATTAATATGTTCTACAAGGAGGCCTGGCACAGTGGCTCACAACTGTAATCCCAGCACTTTGGGAGGCCGAGGCGGGTGGATCACGAGGTCAAGAGATCGAGACCATCCTGGCCAACATGGTGAAACCCCATCTCTATTAAAAATACAAAAATTAGCTGGGCATGGTGATGGGTGCCTGTAGTCCCAGCTACTCTGGAGGCTGAGGCAGAAGAACCTCTTGAATCCAGGAGGCAGAGGTTGCAGTGAGCCGAGATTGCGTCACTGCACTCCAGCCTGGCAACAGAGCAAGACTCCATCTCAAAAATAAATAAATAAATACATAAAAATAAAAAAACCAAACTCTTCTATAAAGAAACAGAAAACAGAAACCAGCTACAGCAGAAACGTTCAGAGTCTCAAGCAGATCTCTGGTGTTAGGATTCATGACTTGTACAATTGCCACAGAGGAACTGTCTCTCCTCTGAAACAGTGGAAATGACAATAAATGCATCATAATTCTAACACGCTTAAATGATGATGTGCAAAGAAACGCTATTAGAATACCAATGTTTCTGACATTTGAATCATTGCCATTCTGAGTGGTGTGAGATGGTATCTCATTGTAGTTTGGATTTGCGCTTCTCTAATGATCATTGATCTTGAGCTTTTTTTCATGTTTGTTGGCTGCACAAATGTCTTCTTTTGAGAAGACTCTGTTCATGTCCTTTGCTCACTTTTTGATGGGGTTGTTTGTTTTTTTCTTGTAAATTTGTTTAAGTTCCTTGTAGATTCTGGATATTAGACTTTGTCAGATGGCTAGATTGCAAGATTTTTCTCCCATTCTGTAGGTTGCCTGCTCTCTCATAAGTGGGAGTTGAACAATCAGAACACATGGACACAGGGAGGGGAACACCACACACTAGGGCCTGTTGGAGGTGGGGGACAAGGGGAGGCAGAGCATTAGGACAAATACCTGATGCATGTGGGGCTTAAAACCTAGATGACAGGTTGGTAGGTGCAGCAAACCACCACGGCACATGTATACCTATGGAACAAACCTGCACGTTCTGCACACGTATCCTGGAATTTAAAGTAAAAAAAAAAATTTAAAGAATACCATTGTTCTTATCTAAATTAATTTTTATGCATCTGCCTCTGAGAGGATGCAGAGAGGCCACAAAGTATCCTTACCACTCGCCCCTCCCATCCTGCAACCAAGCCCCTGAACCAGTGGACTTGTCAGATTTAGGACTAAGGAAGGCTTTGGTTGACCTGTTATTTTATAAATAGGAAACAGGTTGAGGGCTCACAGCTAGTTAGTGAGCAGCAAATCAGGACGGAAACTCATGTGTCCTGCAGTCTAGTTTAGTAGATGAGTTTCTTGATTGAAGTGGCTCACATTTGGTCTCTGATACAAATAAATAAATAACATTAAACGCCAAGGACAGTGGGAGAATGTGATAAGCTGTTTACATGCTATTTACTAAAGTATTTTGTCCAAACCATAATCAGTTTACTTATTGATACGATTTGGCTCTGTGTCCCCACCCAGGTCTCATGTTGTACTGTAAACACCAACACTGATGGGGGACCTGGTGGGAGGTGATTGGGTCATGGGGTGGATTTCCCCCTTGCTGTTCTCGTGATAGTGAGTGAGTTCTCCTGAGATCTGGTTGTTTAAAAGTGTGTAGTTGGCCAGGCAAGGTGGCTCATGTCTGTAATCCCACCACTTTGGGAAGCCAAGGCAGGTGGATCAGTTTAGGCTAGGAGTTCAAGACCAGCTCGGCCAACATGGCAAAACTCTGTCTCTACTAAAAATACAAAAAAAAAAAAAAATTAGCGAGGCATGGTGGCATGCACCTGTGATCCCAAGCTACTCAGGGGGCTGAGGCACGAGAATCACTTGAACCCGGGGGGCAGAGGTTGCAGTGAGCCAAGGTGGCATCACTGCACTCCAGCCTGGGCGAAAGAGTGAGACTCTGTCTCCAATAATAATAATAATATTAATAAATAAATGCAAGTGTGTACCATGTCCCCCTTCGCTCTCTCTCCTGCTCCATGAAGGGAAGACGTACCTGCTTCCTCTCTACCTTCTGCCATGGCTGAACATTTCCTAAGGCCTCCCCAGCCATGCTGGCTGTGGGGAACTATGAGTCAATTAAACTTGTTTTTTTTTTTTTTTCATAAACTCCTCAGTCTCCGGTGGTTCTTTATTGCAGTGTGAGAATGGACTAATACTCTTAACAGGGACATTTATAAACAGGCCATGTGAGGACACAGCACCCCATTCCTGGGCTGTGTCATCTTAGAGCAGGGTGGTCTCTCTGAAGGCCGGGCTGTCTGCAGAGTGCGTGACATCCATCTGCACCCATCTCCTTCCCAGGGACAGCCTTTGGTTCAGTTCTTCATGTGGTCACCAAGGAGCAAAGCTCAGAGACAAAAGGCATTCTGCCCAGACAGCCCCAGGCCTTATCATCCATCTCCTGCAGACCAGAAACCAGTGCTTGTTAGCCTGGCCACCCCAGACAGCAGACAGGGTATCCCACAGGTGCTTCTGCACGTGGCCAGAGACTCTGCCTCCCCTGCTCACCTGTTGGTTCTGAGGAGAAGATGGGAACCAGGCTGGTTTTTCCCACGGCAGGATCGATGTGTGAATCCCCCACCGGGTGGTGAAAGCCACAAGCTCTCTGTCCCGTTTGCTTTCTAAACTGAAGTAAATAACTCAGGTCCTTAATTTTTCATTTTTGTGGTTAATCCTGTTTTCAGACATATCACAGACATGGATGAAAGGTCATGTTTCTCAGACATCAAGTTAAAAACCAATAGTGACCACAGTCATGAAAGAACATTCAGCCTGAGACAAAAGGGGTTAACGCACAGGGAAGATAACGACGGTGAGACCCGCCAGCTGCAGTCCAGGTAGGAGAGGGGTGGTGACAGGGGGGGAGGGGGTGGTGATGGGGTGGGAGGGGTGGTGACGGGGTGGGAGGTGGTGGTGACGGGGGTGGGAGGGGTGGTGACGGGGGGGAGGGGGTCGTGATAGGGTGGGAGGGGTGTTGATAGGGGTGGGAGGGGTGGTGATGGGGTGGGAGGGGTGGTGATGGGGTGGGAGATGGTGATAGGGGTGGGAGGGGGTGGTGATGGGGTGGGAGGGGTGGTGATGGGGGGGAGGGGGTCGTGATAGGGGTGGGAGGGGTGGTGATGGGGGTGGGAGAGGGGTGGGAGATGGTGATAGGGGTGGGAGGGGGTGGTGATGGGGGTGGGAGACACTTGGTGATGGGGTGGGAGAGGGGTGATGATACACGCAGGCCCAGTGCTGAGGCTTAGGGAATGTCCGGGGCCTGAGGAACTGAGGGCAAAACCACTGTGCTGTCAACGAGGAGGTTTCCTGTTGGAAGCCTTGGCTTTGAATACGGACTGTTTTGTTAATAGTCTAGTGAACCAGGCAGGTGTATCCAATATCTGTAAAACTCAGCCTCCTCGTTTGTAAAAGGAAGACAGTATTTCTGACAGAGTAGTTGAGAAGATTGAGAACCACGCACACGTGGTACCGGGCGACGTGCTTGCTGCTCCACCTGAGCGTGGCGGTTTGCTCTCATCTGGTCTGGGCACCCGTGTGCTTCCTGGATCAGCCACTCTTGCCCATGTCCCTGTCTGCTCAGTAGCCAAGGAGCACTGTCCTCGGGTGTGGGGCAGAACCTCCCTTAGGGTGGGGTGGCGTGATTTATGGCAAACCCAAGATCCCAGGTAGAGCTGGCCCTGAGCCCCCGCTGCACAGGGAGCCCCCGCTGCACAGGGAGCAGGCGGCCTGTGGGAGAGCTCACTGCTGGGGAGGGCGTCTGTGCAGGATGAATGGGAGCTTCTGAGGCTCAGGCCCCTGGAGCAGAAGTCAGGACCCGAAGACATCGGTAAATACCTCTGACGCTAACCCCAGTCAGCCCCAACTTTTCGGTGGATGCTTCCATGGGGATTCCTTTTATGTTTACAGCACGTTACGTTTTCTGTTGTGGACACTGATAAGGTTCTGACAGCGCAGAGGCACTGGTTGCATTATTTTCGCCAAGCGTGGGCAGTAGATGTTCGTAGACGGTGGCAACAAGGGCTGTTTCAATGGGCATCTTGCTGCTGAGAGACTCATTTTATTTACTGTAAGGGATAAAAATTACACTTCTAATCTCACACACTACTCAGATTTCTGTAGGCCCCAGTAGCAAGGTGATGTGGGGCCTTGGGAAAGTCTCCCAAAAAGAACAAAACATCACATTCCATGGGTGTGGTTTCTCGGGTACACAGAGCCCTGATGCCAGGACACTCCCTCTGAGTCCCAGCGTGCAAAGAGAACCCTCCCGTGGGTGGGTACCAGCTCTCCCTCTCTTCCTCTTCTGTACAAAACAGGGGGCCTCAGGCACCTGCCACTGGGTTCTAGGTCATCCCAGAACAGGCCTGTGGGCCCAGACGTGCTGTCCAAATGTTGCTCAGGGCCGTTCTCTGCTGGTTCCGCTCCTAAGCCGAATGTTGGTTGTGGGCTACTGTGCTCTCCTGGTTACATCCTGAACCCAGGACAACCTGCCCCCCAAATCCCCCACCACTGGATTCTACTTCCTTGTAGGCTGGTTTGCATGTCTCATTAGGAATAAGACCACTCCGTGCTATTAATTTTACTTGCTTTTCCCGGCAGAGCCTTTGACACAGGAGTTGGTCGTGAGTCAGTGGAAATTATGGAATTTGATTGACAAAGCTGAAGTCTACTCAGACTATGCTTTCCTTCCCCAAATTCCCTTGTTGTTTAACCAAGCCTCAACTCTAGTTTTTAGCTGGACCACACTGAGGCTTCTCTTGTTTCCTCAAGTCTTATAAATACATCCCTGAGATCAGGAGTTCTCAAATGAGAATCCTCAGACTCTCTGCAAAATAAAAATTAACAACAAAGATTTTCTTTCAAAATTTTGTGTTTTCATTTCAGTGAGAGTCCAATAAAATTGCTTTCACCAGACATGAAGGCTAATCACTTTGCAAGAGGTAATTTGCAATGCAAATGCACCTATTTTCCCCCTCTGGATGTATTTTTAGTTTCTCAGGTCAGTGTTCCTCAAACTGGAACCTAAAAATATATTCTCAGAATAACATATTTTCCATCAAAGTGGCTTCTGCATTGCTCAGGTTTGAGAGACTGGACTTCTGAGAGGGGCTGGCATTGCCAGTTCATAGGTATTGCCTGACGTGGGGATTTAGAACATGTAGGGAGCCAGGCCCTCCCTGCAGGGTGTCCCCACGTACCTCCCCTCTGCTTTAGTGGCACTGGGAGGCTCTTGAGGGGAAGGTGCCAGGGTTGCTCTGCATCTCCCTTGGAGTGTGGCCTCAGCCCTGAGAGATGGTTCTCCTGGTTCTCTGGATGCGGTCGAAGGTCTGGTTGTTTATTCTCAAAGTCTGGCATGTTTGAATCACATCATTCTTCCCCAGTTCCACTCTCAGACGGTGAAGTGCTTCTTCCAGTGTGTGTGGGCCAAGGTGCAAATGCCAATTGTGTGACTGCAACACAGAGTCCTGTGGACTGGGCTATGATAGACAGAGATGGCAACCTTAGGTTGATGAGTGTCCTTCTGGTAGCCTCTGGTGTTATAAAGTGTCATCAGGAAGGGATGGTGAGTCCTGGTGACTGTCACCTTGGGTGACTACCCATATTTGGCCTTCTCTCCTGGCTCACTCCTGCTCACCTCTTGGGGCACAATAGGGTTATAATTTCCTCCAGGAAGCTAGGCTAGGAGGGATAGATGTACTAGTCAGGGTTTTCCAGAGAAATAGAGCCATTAGGACAAATACTGAGACATAGAAGGAGGTTTATTATGGGAATTGGCTTATGCGATCACCGTGGCTGAGAAGTCCCACAGTCTGTACGGTGGGGACCCTGGAATGTCGCTGGTATAATTCCCCAAACTGCAGACCTGAGCACTAGGGGCCAGTGTCCACGATCAGGGGAAGGTGGATACCCCAACTCCAGGAGGAGGAGCCAGGGGAAGATGGATACCCCAACTCCAGGAGGAGGAACCAGGGGAAGATGGATGTCCCAACTCCAGCAGGAGGAACCAGGGGAAGATGGATGTCCCAACTCCAGGAGGAGGAACCAGGGGAAGGCGGATGTCCCAATTCCAAGAGGAGGAACCAGGGGAAGGTGGATGCCCCAACTCCAGGAGGAGGAGCCAGGGGAAGGCAGATGCCCCAACTCCAGGAGGAGGAACCAGGGGAAGGTGGATGCCCCAACTCCAGGAGGAGGAGCCAGGGGAAGGTAGATGCCCCAACTCCAGGATGACGAACCAGGGGAAGGTGGATGCCCCAACTCCAGGAGGAGGAGCCAGGGGAAGGTGGATGCCCCAACTCCAGGAGGAGGAGCCGGGGAAGGTGGATGCCCCAACTCCAGGAGGAGGAGCCAGGGGAAGGTGGATGCCCCAACTCCAGGAGGAGGAGCCAAGGGAAGGTGGATGCCCCAACTCCAGGAGGAGGAACCAGGGGAAGGTGGATGTTGCAACTCCAGGAGGAGGAGCCAGGGGAAGGTGGATGCCCCAACTCCAGGAGGAGGAACAAGTTTACTCTTTCGGTACCTTTTTGTCCCATCTGAGTCCTCAATGAATTGGATGGAGTCGGCCCACTCTGGGGAGGGGGATTGTCCTTACTCCGTCCACTGAATCTAATGCTCACCTCTTCCAGAAACTCCTTCACAGACACTCACAGAAATTCAGGTGTGCCAGCAACCTGGGCCTCTCTTAGCCCAGTCCTGTGGACAGGTTGAAATTAACCATCTCAGCAGGTGTGGCCTCTTCTGCATCACGGGGTGCACCTCCATCACCGTGCGAAAAACAGATGCTTCGTGGAAGGCAGTGTCCATTCCTTTGGGTGCGGAGAAAGCTCCTGTTCGCCTCTGAAACTTCATGCCAGGTCAGCGACTTCTGCAGGAGTCAGTCCCGGGCCTGGCATGGTGCTGGGTGCCAGGCTGTGATGATCCATGTGCTCACAGTAAATGTAATATCAAGGAGGATAAAATTAGCCAAGTAGGTTATGGCCAGAGGGAAATTACTTGTTTTTTGCTCAATTTTGATGGAGACTGACAATTATCAATGGTCAATTTTTCTGATTTTCTATGAGTTTCTTCCACAGACTCTTATGATGCCCTGCCCGCTTACCCAGTATCACTGCCGTCTCCCCAGTTTGCTGCCCTGAACTCAGGTGAGAGCGCACACTTGCCTTTATACCTGCTGGAGCCATTCTTCTCTTCTTTCTGTTTGGAGCATCCTGAGTGTGTTTCTGGATGTGTGCACGCACACACGCACACATACATGGGTGCCCATGAACAGGCCTCTCGCACCCCCAGACCCCGGCGTCAGGTGTCAGGGGGAGTGGCTGGTGCTGGGGCTCAGGGAAGGATCAATGAATGCAAATGAGGACGTAGGTGCCTCGATTCGGCTGTGACTGGAGCTATGGGGAACCGTCTGTCGAGTGTTTTCTCAACCTTGAGTGCAGTGGGGCTGCATTAACGATGGAAAGAAAGGGGCTGCCACAGGGTGAGGCGGGTCCATCCCTACCCGAGTGGCAGTGTCTGACCGCTACCTGGGGAACCTGCAGAAGGTTGGCACGCTGCTCTGGCCTCGTGAATCGGGAGCTGCCATCGGCTGAATCAGGTGCTTTAGGAAAAGGTCCGGTCTGCGAGGCCTGTGAAAACCGTGATGAACTACACCCGCAGCAAGCCAGTGTGTACTTGGTAAGGCAACTCATGCTTCTGTTTCCAAGTGCAAGCATCTGTAACGGAAGTGTCGTCTTCAAGATCACAGGGCGGAGAGAGCGCTGCCCTGATTTTCTTCGCCTTTGTGATCATCAGGCTCTGAAGTTGAGGATGAGTCTGGAGAGCAGTTCTGGGGTCTCTGCAGCTTTTCCAGGAGGGCTGTCTGCCCGGGTGAAGACACGCTGTCTCAGCTGTTGTTTTAGGACCATGGGCCCTGGGGCCCAGGACAGCAGGAAGGCGGGTCCCAGTCTCCTTCTGATGGCTCCATCTGCACTGGGTAATTATTTTTGACACGAGGACATTTATCAGTGAGGGTGAGCTGTTTGGAGTGCCTGGAGTGCTCCCAAAAAGGAGTATTAGAACAGCTCAATCCAACTAAAAACAAACAAACAAACAAACAAAAAAACACCAAAACTGCTAAGTGGGCTTTAGGACTAACAGCCAGATCCCAGCTACTGGAGTGAATTTAAAGAGTAATAATTAATCCTAACAATTAAGGGAATATATTTTGCCACCTTCTCCCTGAGTGGACGCAGTGAGTGGATTTGGTTGTGAAGAAGGCAGACGTTGCCTTTCTTATTGAAAAGATGGGTTCATGCAGCAGAGAAAGTAAGCTGGCAGGGATGGGTTTTTTCTGCTCAGGTAGCAGCGAGAGCGGCAAAGCGATCTGTTTAAACACTGACCTTCCGTGTTTTCCTTGAAACAGAAACAGAATTTTAACACTGGCCTAAAGGATGGTGAGAAATGAACTCCTGGTTGCCGACCAGACTTCCCCTTCTCATCCCGACGACGCGGGACATAGGGTAGACGGTCCCAATGCCGACGTAAGTTCCACAGTTCATTCCTTTCCACGAGGATGCAGTGCCAACCCGGGAAGCCTTTATGGAGTGCCTGGGAGGTGCCCGGCCCTGGGCTTGGTGCAGGGGTGGGCAGTGGTGACAGACAGGAAGGTCACTGTAAGGGGCACACAGGGCTTTATATCATGTGGAAAGACACACGCCCATGAGTCTCCCAGAAATAGCACATCAGGTACTGCAATGCATGACAGCTTGAACCCGCAAAGCTGCAGTGAGCCAGAGAAGCCGGGCAGAGGTGGTGTCGGTGAGACCCTCAGGGAAATGCAGAGCAAGCCCGGCCCTCAAGTGTGGGTAGCTGTGGAGAGGCAGAGAAGGAGAGGACCCGCTGTGAGCATTCCAAGGCCAGCACAGTCACGTCCAAAGCAGGAGGCAGAGGTGAAGTCACTCATGTCTCTGAGGGAGAGATACAGAATTTTCTTCACACGTCAAAGTTAGGTTCTAGTATCAGAGCCCTGCTCATCCCCCTCTTACTCTCATCCGGCCACATCTCCGGGGCTTCCGCCTCTTCTATGGTCCCCGTGTTCATCTGGGATGCTGCCCTCGTGGCAGAAGATCACTTGCTGGGCCCTCCCAGCCTGGGCTCTTTAAGATTCGAGGACACCCTTGGGACCCATGGGAAATGGGGCAGAGGCACACAGGGAGGCCCCCATGTATTTTGTCTAAATATTTTAGAGGTTATCGCTAAGTCAGTAACTGCTGCATGTGTTCCAGCCCCTCAGCTTGACAAACATACATGCAGGAATACAGACCACGGGTATTGGTGGGCAGCAGCTCACATCTGGGTCCTGTTTGTGCAGAGCCCATGCTCAGCCACGTACGTGCTGGCTGCTTTCATGCCACAAGTCCAAGTTAGGAGCTGAGACAGAGGCTGTGTGGCCCACAAACTGAACCTATCTACTATCGGGTGCTTTATGCAGAGTCTGCCAACCCCTGAACTAGATTGGTCTGCATTTAGAATCCTTATTTTCTTAGAGTTCCATGCCATGGGGCATGGGGAGGGCGGGCCCCCAGCAGGGACCTTCCCCTTTCCCATCCTGCCCATTACCAGGTCCCCAATCAGGGGCCCCCCCATCTATGTGTGTAGCCACCCAATCCAAGACCATGCACCCAAGCTCCATCACACCTTTCTATAGACTGCTGAGCCCAGCCAGCTCTTAGGCCTAACGCCTGCTGTGATGAAGCCAGGTTCATGGGAGAGGCCCAGGTGAGCCTGGGTCAGACGTGGGCCACCTGGGTGATAAGGGCTAGGGGCTGGTGTGTGTGTGAATAGCACACACAATCACACAGTGTACATGGAAGGGGCTCAGCTTCCAGGTGGGGGCTTGCCTTTGCCCTGTAGGAGCAGTAGGAGGACCAGCACAGGAGCTTGCAAGCAAGAGACCAGAGCAAGAGCCCCTCTCCCCTGGTGTCCAAGGATGGTTCTGCTGACCCAAGGGAGGAACACAAGAAGGGAAGCTTGAGATGCTACAAACAACAAAATGGCACCCTGTGTGCAAATCCTGGTGAGTGCACTTGTGGGTGCTGCAGCCACAGGCTCTGGAAGACACCCCTGCCTGGGCGAGCCATCCAGTCCTTCTCTTGCTGTTGGGGCCTGGATGCTCCAGCAGGGGCATTGGGCTGGGGTGACTCTTCTTTGCTCTGACTTGATGTGAGCCCAGTGGCTGCTTTGGAAGTGTCACCCTCAGGGGGTTTTGGTTGGCCTAAGAATCAATATTTATAGGGTGTCCTGCATTGTGTGTTTTCTATTTGTAATTCTCAAGCATGGCTCCCATTTCACTTAGTATCCAAAGGAGTAAGAAATCCTCACGTTGGATTCCATGAACCTAGGAACCCCAGTGTCTTCTGAACAGCCTTTTCCTCTTTGTGTTCCCAGCACACAAACTGTTAGAAAGATTTATGTTAGAATCCACCCAGCATCTGCTACCCAGAGCCTAATTTTGCCCTCCCTCTGAACTGAATTTTTAAGTTTTAAGTCAAATACTCGCTGATGTTTGCGCTTCCCCACTTCATGCATATTCTTCACCTGAGCCCCTGCACCTGGGGAGCAAACCCCTGTCCTGGAGGAAGCCTGATGCGCCACCTCCATTGTTAGAAAGCTCCCTCAGGCTGACGTAACCCTGTCCTGGACCTGGAGAAAGCGTGATTCGCCACCTCCATTGTTAGAAAGCTCTCTCAGGCTGACGTCACCCTGTCCTGGACCTGGAGGAAGCCTGATTCACCGCCTCGATTTTTAGAAAACTCCTTCAGGCTGTCCTAACCCCATCCTGGACCTGGAGGAAGCGTGATTCGCCACCTCCATTGTTAGAAAGCTCTCTCAGGCTGACATCACCCTGTCCTGGTCCTGGAGGAAGCCTGATTCGCAGCCTAGATTGCTGGAAAGCTCTCTCAGGCTGGCGTCACCCTGTCCTGGAGGGAGCGTGATTTGCCGCCTCCACTGTTAGAAAGCTCTCTCAGGCTGAGGTAACACTGTCCTGGTCCTGGAGGAAGCCTGATTCACCGCCTCCATTGTTAGAAAGCTCTCTCAGGCTGAGGTAAGATTGGCTTCCCCGCCGCTTCTCCCTGGAGACCCTAGTTCTGCTCTTTGAAGCCAAGCAAGATTACTCTTTATAGGGCAGCTTTGCCTTTATTTGTAGATAGCTTTTACACATATTTGCTCCCAAATCAACAAGGTTTTCCCCAGGTACCACCTGGACTATTCTTCTGTCAGCATTTCTCACGTGATACTGAGTCAGGAGCCTTTACTGTCCTCACCCTCGTGTGGGTGGGAGCCTGGTTTCTCATCACTCTGGTTAGACTGTGCCTAATGTGGGGTGCTGCTTTTTAAGGACAATCAGCTCTAAGTTGAGGCTCTGATTCTTGCACGTGCTTCCAAGCACGTCTCTTCTTGCCATCTCCATTGCCACCCCAAAGTCACTCCCCTCGGACAGGGACGGCAGCATCTCAGTCATCACTCTGTACCCCATTTGACCAGCTGGAGAGTCCTGTGTCTTCACACAACTGTGAGAATGATCATTGGAAGCTATGCATTCCATAATAGCTTTATGTTAAATTCATTTCTCATCTTTCATTGGCCCTTGGGAAGATGTCCAGATCCCTTAACATAGCTTACGAAACCCTCTCAAACTCAGGGCCCACCTTTCTCTCCAACTTCATTCCCCCAGCCCCGACGTCATCTGAGGTTCAAGTTCAGTAGCCCCTCTTGATAGCTGAGCACAGGAAGCTCAGGGCCCTGCGTTTTGGGCATTTGAAGGGTTCCGCTGGTCGTGGCTTTCCCCACCATCTCCTCCGTTTCCACACGACTTGCTCCTGCATACCTCAGCTTCAGTGCCGCTCCGAGAGGTCTTTCCTAATGTCTGAACCAGGAGAGGCTTCCCACCACAAGCTCCTCTATGGGATTCTGGTTAATTACCAGTGAAACGTCCACCTTTCCAGCCCGCCTGTAAGCTAGGCCATAATAGGGGCCGTAGCCCTCCTTACAGCCGCGTTCTTGTCACCTGCGCGGTGTCCAGCGCACACTCGCCTCCTACGTATTTGCCTTGTGAGGGATCAATCGGTGTCGTAGAGCCGTTCAGAGCTATTCCTCTATTAAGTGATTTGGATACCATGGTGACTAAGAAGCATGCTGTGATCGCTGGGGTTTATGGAAATATTGTGTGCTCCTGAGCGTTCAAACAGGTGGAATATCAACTTTATTAAGCCCAGGTGGTGGTGCAGTTTAAATGCGATTTCATCTTTTCTTATTTTAATTTACGAATTGCTCAGTTGATCATATTAGAAAAGAGTACCCACATTGTGCCTGCTGGAGCCATATCTTTGTAAAAATTCTGAAAGCAAGGGGAAATGTTGGAGTAAAATTATCACATTTCCTAACAATGTCTGTTTTGACTGGAAGCTCTAATGCATAATTTTGTGTCAACCAGAATAAAAGTAATCTTTTTTTTTCCTGGTGGTGCTTTATAGTTAGATTGTAGGGAATCTTCATAAAATATGCCAGCCATGCACCTTTGATTCAATATTCATGTATTCTCCCACATACGGAATTTCAAGGCCATGTTTAAGGGGAATGAAACGAGGCCTCATAAAGAATGGCAGCTTATGCAGCTTACTTTTAAAAAGAGGCTCTGAGAAACCTTTAGCTTTTTCAAACTTCCAAATTTTAACCCCAAATCCACTAGAGCCCAAATACCCACATTTGTCTCTGAATAATCGTTTGCTTTTGGTTAAGGATGGTTACACTAGCACAATTTGTTTTTTTTTTTGAGATGAAGTCTTGCTCTGTTGCCCAGGCTGGAGTGCGGTGGCATGATCTCGGCTCACCACAACCTCCACCTCCTGGGTTCAACAATTCTTGTGCCTCAGCCTCCTGAGTAGCTGGGACTACAGGCGAGCACCATCACGCCCAGCTAATTTTTGTATTTTTGTTACAGATGAGGTTTCACCATATTGGCCAGGATGGTCTTGATCTCTTGACCTCATGATCTGCCCGCCTCGGCCCAGTCACACATGTTTCCCTACGCAAGCTCCCTATTGATTGGAATGATGAATATTTCCAATGGATCGATTTTCAATGGTGGAAGAAATTTGTCACTTGCATAGGTTTGTCATTTGCCTAGGCGAAAGGTTGCTTGATCTTAGAAGCGTCATTGCCTCTTTTTGAGAGGAAATTGAATTTCAGAAAAGGCTGTTACTAGATGAAGTGAGAACTGATTGAAATTATCAGTCACTCCTAATACATTTTGGGTGGACAGAGCCATGTGGAGGAGCTTCTAGGCTGCACATGAGATGGACATATTCCAAAGGCCCATGTGAATATACACATCTGTATTATGGGAGGAGAAACATATGCATGCCTTAGTAAAAACCAGCCAGTAGCATAGAAGAGCCAGCTTTCAATGAGCAGAGAGCAGGGTGGGAAGCAGGAGACAGGCCCACTCTGGTTGGGTGGTTAGGAGTTGGTAAGTCCATAGGGAGGATACATGCGGAACACCATTGAGTGCTATTAGCTTGGTGGCCTTGGGCGGCCAGAGTTGGCGTGGATGGGTAGATGACGTCAACAGAAGGAATGAATAATCCTGCTGGGAGATACTTTCTCCTCTCACGACTTTGCTCAGAGCTTGACACGAGGATTCGTGTTTGATATGAAACACCATTCAAGAGTTTTACTCACAATTTATGCCACATATGCAAAAACAAGCAGAAGAAGAAATGAAAATATGTAACATACGATCTTCAAGAATAATTCAGATATTTAAATAAATGGGAGAGAGAATTTTGCAAGCTTCTTAATTACAAATAATAAAACCGTTTTAAGAGAAGTTTGTTTCCTGTTTTCCCTAAGCATAGTGTATGCAAGCATAAAAATTCCATGTGCCTGTCTTGCTATCTGTCGGTGAGAAAGATATCAAGTTCCTTTCCTTTAACAGGTGGATATCAATATGTTTTTATTTATGAGTGGATTCATTTAATTCCTGGATATGATAGTTCTCATATATTTCTATAAGCTGATTTCTGTGTTATCATAAATTCTAAGTCAGCATTTCTATACCCAAAAGAGCATTTAAAAGGTATCACAACTAATCATTCAGCTAAAACCAGGGCTTTATCTGAGCTCCTGCAGACACAAACACATTGATCCTACAGAGATGCTGATTTCTCTGGTGCTGTAGGAAGCACCAATGGGAAAAAACTGACTTTAAAAGTCAGTTAAGGAAGTTTAAGAGTATTATCTGGTGTGTCTGAAGTTGGAGTTATTTAGGTTTTATTTTTTCAGACACCAAATGACTCACCTACTTAGTGTAAATTTATGTTTAAAAAAATAACAATTTTCATCTCTAATTAATGCTTCACTTAACCCAAGCTGGACATAAAGGAAGATCATCAAATAATATGTGATTTAGCTCTTGTGATACAAACATGTGAAGGTCTGGGTCATTTTGATTCTGTTAAAATGAGCTAAGCTTTTCATTTCTTTTTCCTATCAAGAAAGGCTCTCGAGCGACTGTGTGGTCAGGGTAGGAGAGGCTGAGGAAGGTTGGGGGCCATAACCTCGGGTTCGGTGTGAGGTCCGGGATGGCCTGGGCCTCAGGGACAGCTGCAGCCAGGTCAGGAACACGTGCGGCTCTCCTGCTTGGCCATTTTGTCATTGTCGTTCTGTGTTTTTTGTTGTCTGTGTGTTTTCTTGTTTGCATTGGGCTCTATGAATATTTTTATTTTGACTTGAGTGAAACCTTGGATTCACCAAAATGTCTGACAAATCGTTCCCCATCCTCCACCCCCCACCCCCCACCATCCCACCTGATTTGGTCAATCATCAAACATTAATTGAACATTTACTGTCTTCCTCGCCTGCTAGTACGTGCAGTCATGCCTCACTTAATGACAGAGCAATGTGTTGTTAGGCATCTTAGAATCTGTGAAATTTCTTAAGTAAAATTGGAATATTGTTACGTTTGGATTAAGTATGACTGTGCTCAAGACAAACTCATCTGCTTTTCTGTCTCCATGTAGATTTTAATCTACATCCTTTGGCATGCATCGGCATATATGTACCATGCTTGAGTTTGTGTGTGTATGGGTCACCGTAGTATATGGGGCTACTGTAGAATATGTGGTTTGTTGTTGACTCAAGCATTGTTATGGGGTGCATGACTGTATTTGTGGGATGTATGGTAAAGGTAGATCAAAAAAATCTACTTTGACTTTAAGACATTTAAAATATGCCTTTCTTGAATTTGTCCACAATGCAAATTTAATTTCTGAAACCTGAAGATAGATAAAACTCATTTTAATTGAGATGAAAACACAATCTGAAACCTCCCTAAATTTCTTCAGGGGTAGTTTAGGCTATGATTGATGAAGATTGTCATAACTGTACCACTTTCTTGATGTGAGAATGAGTTAACCCTGAAGCCATAAGTCTTAGTCCATCCAGAATTTTGTAACAAAAATTCCACCACTGGGGCCTGTGAAACAGTAGACGCGCCTTTCCCACAGTTCTGAGGCTGGAAGCTGGAGATCCGGGTGCTGTAGGCTCTGTGTCTGCTGAGGGTTTCCTGACTCAGATGGAGCCTGTTTGCTGCATCCTCCCATGGCGGAAGGGGTGAATGAGCCCCCTTAGGCCTCATTTACGGGGGTACTAAACCCATCTGAGAGGGCTCCACCCCCGTGGCCTAATCACTTCCCAAAGGCCCCACCCCTTAACACCCCCTCATACCATCCCTTTTCAGGTAGGAATTTCTACATAGGAATTTTAGAAGGACACAGACATCAGACTTCACTCTATTAAATCCAGTATTTTATTCCATTAAATCTAAAAGCCGTTGATGGGGAGATACACCACAGCTGTACGCACGACTGAAAAATGCTGCTGAAACAGTTATGACCATGCTTGATTTGTACATTTTAAAAAACTCTTTAAGACATACACAAATGTAGATTCTAATGTAACTCTGTTGGCATGTATCTGCATACATATGTTCCATATGAGTGTATGTGTGTGTATATATATATATCTTATAATACATTGATAAAGGAATTCCTAAAACTTCACAGAATCTGCCTTTTCTTACACATTTTTAAATCTCGGACTCACGAATATTCATAATTTTCCGCCTGTCATTATTTCCTGCCATCAAGAGTATTGAAAATGCAGCGTTTGTACAAGCCTGCACGCCGGTAGTCAGTTCCAACCCCGACACTGGCTCTGCACGCTTAGTGCTGATGTTCTCTGGAATTCTTGATTTTACCAGAAGGTGTCAAGAAAAGATCCTCAGACAGCATTCCTTCTTTCTCCCAGGGCCCTTGCATGCTGTGGGGCCAGAAGCGTCCGGGCTGTACAAATAGTACCACCATCTTCCTGGAGTGACTGGGAGAGACACCTGGGATCTTGCTGGGTCAATAGTGACTGTGCAAGGCCATCCATGATAAAATGCGTTCCAACCTCAGACACATGAAAAGTGAAAAAAAGAAAAGGCATCTTAGAATCTGTGAAATGTTGTAAGTAAAATTGGAACACGGTGGTTATGTTTGGATTAAGTACGGCTGTGCTCAAGACAAGCTCACCTGCCTTCTGCCTCCCGCTTCTGCCTCCTTCGTGTGGTCTCCAGCCTGGAGCTGGATGTTGGAGTGAACATGAGTGTAAACACAGAAAGCGTCGGCATGTTTTCAACAAGGAAATTCGTTTCTTTGCTCTGTGTGTTTGTGTGCCTGTCTAGGACAGTGTTGTAACTTCAGGAAAGATTAGAATCAGTGAACTCCTTCAGGGCTAGGACCGGGAATTCTATCTGTACTCTTTTTACCTTCTTGCCATCTTTCCTCAATTATTAATACATTACTCTCGCACAAGGAGGCAAAGCTCAGAGGTGTTAGTGCTCTTTTTTTTAAAAAAAGCAACAAGTATTATAGATCTTTATTTTAGTAAAAGAAAATTGAATCTTCTGACAAGAGTTCCTACAGATTCTCATTTAGTCCAAATTGTTAGCCCAGAAGCCCCAGTGAACACAACCTGAATTTCGGGCTTTATACCACACGATACAAGAACCTGCAAATAAAAGAAAAATTCAAGGACTTTAGGATTCTTCTTGCTTCTCTTTTGCATCTGAGACTTCAAGAATACAATTCAAAAATTTCTCAGCTTAAACATTACATTGATTTAAAGTTTCGGATATTTCAAAGCCCTTTCTCTGGAATTGCCTTATTTGGTCTAAACCCAAGTCAAAACACCCTACAAGGGAAGAGCAGAGAGGGCTTGTTACACCCATTTCTCAGACGAGAAGACTGAGGAACAGAAGAGCCGAGAAGGCACTACTGGTGCTCTGTCCTGAGTCCTGGAACTGTCCCAAGAATACCCGCCTGATGTTAGCAAGCACCTTTCCCACGACCTGGCACTACCTACCTTTCATTGCGGTGTGGACCAGAGTCCGAGGAAGTGTGAGGCCCAGAGAGCGTGCGGGTGAGTGCGCCTGGACCCTCTGTCAGTCAAGATGTCCTTGGCTTTTCTCCTTGCTGCCCTGTTCCTTGTACAGCCACACCTATCTCCAAACCAGCTGCATCGACACCTTTGTTATTATGAGGATTTGATTGTAAGTTTTCTATCAGGCTATAGAGAGCTTAATTTAATGCAATGGAGAAATCTCCAAAAATAAAGCCCTTAAGTTTTTTTTTTTTCTTTGGCTTTGGACTTACAAAACCTCTCTCATCTTGATTGCCCTTTCTTGGCATAATAAATCAGATGTCCTCTTGTCCAAAAGGTGCAGTCATGGAATTGGCTACCCTAGATCTTAGCATGCTCTCATGGAATCAGCTGCCATAGATCTTAGCATTCTCTCCTGAAATTGGCTACGCTAGATCTTAGCATCCTTTAAGTCTCAATTTGATTTTCTTCCTCAGCTCCTCCAGGCAGTTGTGCGGGCTCAGCCACTGCACTTTCAGTCCCCTGCATGCATTTTCAAGGTGAAGTATTTGGTGGGGTTTTAGAATTCTACTCTGACTGCAGAGAGAAGTGTGGCCCATTTTGCTACAGGGCGCTAATAGACCTTTGTGATCTTTCCATGGTTTAGCCACCTAGGATGTGCAGCTTTTACTGTGATCAATGGCCTCTGAGAGTATGGAGTGGAGGTCAGAAGAAAATGCAAAGCAACTGGACGTTCCAGATGAGGAGCTGTTCCAAAATGAGGAGCCATTTCAGACAGAATGAGCTGTTCCAGAACGGGGAGCCATTCCAGAATGAGGAGATGTTCCAGAGTGTGTAGCCATTTCAGAATGAAGAGCTGTTCCAGGATGAGGAGCTGTTTCAGAATGAGGAACCATTCCAGAACGGGGAGCTATTCCAGAATGGGGAGCCCTTCCAGAATGGGGAGCCATTCCAGAATGAGAAGCTGTTACAGAATGAGGAGCTGTTCCAGAATGAGAAGCCGTTCAAGCATGGGGAACTTTTCCAGAATGAGAAGCTGTTCCAGAATGAGGAGCTGTTCCAGAGTGGGAAGCTGTTCCAGAATGGGGAGCTGTTCCAGAGTGGGAAGCCATTCCAGAATGGGGAATCGTTTCAGAATGAGAAGCCATTCCAGGATGAGGAGCTGTTCCAGAATGGGGAGCTGTTCCAGACTGATGAGCTGCACCTTGTACCTGCCTCACACCTGATCACATAGCCTTGATGCCAGAAACCTAGAGTGCTCTATTTAGGAACGTTAGGCTGGCAGCAGGAACCCCTGAAGAAACTCAGGACACTAGGTGCTTGAGCGCGCAGCTAACCCGCAGGAGAAACATCTCCCTTCTGCTGACCTGAGGCTTGACTCCTCTCCCACAGGAGGGGAAAAGAGGCCTCCACCCACAGTCCACTGTTATCCTAGGAGAAATCCTCTGCCCTCCTGCCCAGGAAGTGACAGAGAGAGAGAGAAGCTGAAGCTGCTTTAACCTTCAAGATGAACCTATTTCTTCCATGAGGTTTTCTCTTGCCTGTACACGTATCTTTATGTCCACGAGACACATCCACACTCTGCTCGCACAGCGTTGCCAGGGCCAGTGCCTTCTCTCCCATCCTGTGTTTGCATTTGCCATTTGGTGGGCCTGTCCTGCTGACCAGCAAGTCTCTGTACTGAATTTGGTGACTTTGATCTTATGATTCATGTTTCCCAGCGAGGTACTCTGTGTCTTTGCTATTAATAATGTGTTATTCAAGGGCTAGTTGGAAGATTGCATATTTAAATTGAAAACATTTTGTCTAAAAAGGGGTGTACAGAGAGAAAGAAAATTTCAGCCAGAGAGAATTCTTTTTTCTTCTTGAGACAGGGTCTTGCTCTGGAGTGCAGCGGTGCTATCATAGCTAACTGCAACCTTGACCTCTCAGGCTCAAGCAATCCTCCCGCCTCAGCCTCCCGAGTAACTGAGACTACAGGTGTGCACCACCATGCCCATAAATTTTTTGTAAGGAGAGGGTCTTGCTTAGTTGCCCAGGCTGATCTCAAACTCCTGGGCTCAAGCAGTCCTCCCTCCTCAGCCTCCCGAAGTACTGGAATTACAGGCCAGAGCCACCGTACCTGGCCTTCAGAAAGAAATTGTTTAAAAACCTCCTTAGGGCAAGTGCACAACACAAAGGAATTCAAAGAGCACCAACATGGGATTAGTGAGGGCCGGGAGCTAGGCCTGTGCCATGTATCACTGCATGTTGTGCTGTGTGAGATGACAAATCTGTCTTCCATTACTTTGTTGAGCAGTTACCCCTGAGAAGAATTATTTCCTTTAAAATAAAAAACATACTCTGTACTGGCTGCTGCATTATAGGGCATATCTTGCCTGGAAAATGGAAGTCAGGCAACATGGCTATTCTATGGAAATGTCTGAGCACAAAGAAGAGGCAAAAGGGAATGTGGAGGCCTGCGATGTCTTGGAAATGAGCAGGAGGATGACTGCAATGGCCCTTCAGTTAGGTTCAGGCTTCTGCGGGAAGGCGGCACCCAGGAGCCCAGAGCAGGGAGACAAACCTGCGTGGAAGTCCAGGTGTGCTGTGATGGAGAGGCCTCCATGTGGCCTTCCATATCCTGACAGCCCAGATGGGGCGAAGGCAGACCTCCACAGGAGTAGACACCCAGAGGCTGCAGTGAACCCTGCAGGGGACATGGCCTCTGTCCCCGGCTGCAGGGAGGAGCCCAGGCTCTGGAGTGCAAGACGGTGCCAAAGGCAGCAACCTGCAGCGCAGGGCTCCTCTCCCAGGGAGCCTCGTTTGCAAGATGCACGAGTAGTTCACAGGGCTGCTCTGACTGTGCCCACAAGGCTCTGCCCAGGCTTGGGAGGTCTTCCATGAAGGTGAGGACCAGGGCTTCCTTCTGTGCTCACATAACCTTTCCAGTCCTCAGAAAACTCAGCTGGGAGAGCGTTAGCCCTGGGGTTCTCTCTGGTCCTAGAAGCTCTTCTACAGGACTCCTCGAAACGCCCAGAGACCCTATAGACCCTGCAGCCTCTGCCCGGCATATCCATTGGATTCAATTAGGCACAACCCAACTCGGCTCCAGTCAGCACCATTTCTTGGGATGTGCAGCATTTCTGTGCCTCTTGTGAAGACAAAGATAAATTAGACACAGACGGCATTCGAGACACTTGCCATGTTGAAGAGGAGAGGAGCACAGAAACAGCTAGCAATGGTGCCAGACAGAAAGTTGTGTGCCTGACAGGGATGAGAAACTGGGGGGATTTGAAGAGGAGACACGATTAATTCTGACCAGAGTAACAGAGAAGGCTTCATGGATGACACAGAACTTCAGAGGGAGGATTAAAGCACAAGTAAAGCAGGATTTTTTATTTTAGCAAAAGAAACAGATGTGAATTGGAGGCAGTGGCTGAGTTGTTCCCATCGATGTCTGGAAGTCCGAGAAGCTCCACTGGGGCTGCTAGCTGACGGCTGACCCACCTGTTATCAGGGGCATTTGGACGGCGCATGTGCCACACCAGGGACGTAGCGTGTGGCACCTGCCCCCTCTGTGTTTTCCTCTCACATGGGCCAGGGGCTCTGTCCCATTAAATAACCAGAAGATTAAATGCAGACTTTACAAAGTTCCTCATCCGGATCACTCTATGCCCACATCCTAGAAACATCTATGGAACTTAATTTTCCCACTGAAAGAAATGGCATGATTAAAAACTTTTTAGATTATATGAATAAAATGATAGGCAAGCAATCATCTTGAAAAGAAGGACACTTTGGGGAAACCTCCCCATTCTATTTTCCTCTGTAAAACAAACTGAACTCCGGTGGTTTTCAGCATTATAACATTCCTGTCCCACTGGAAATGCAGAAGACCGGGTTAAAAAACCCTAAGCGGACCAAGCCCATTATAACATTCCTGTCCCACTGGAAATGCAGAAGGCAGGGTTAAAAAACCCTAAGTGGAACAAGCAGAACAAACACTACAACCCCTTTCTAAAAGCAGCCTTCATTTAGACACCAAAAGACGGGAGATACTATTTCTTTATTTTTATTTATTTATTTATTTATTTGAGACGGAGTCTTGCTCTATCACCCAGCCTGGAGAACAGGGGCATGATCTCGGCTCACTGCATTGCAGCCTCTGCCTCCCAGGTTCCAGTGATTTTCCTGCCTCAGCCTCACGGGTAGCTGGGATGACAGGCACACTCCACCATGTCCTGCTGACTTTTATATTTTTAGTAGAGACAGGGTTTCACCATGTTGGCCAGGCTGGTCTTGAACTCCTGACCTCGGGTAATCTGCCCACCTCAGTTTCCCAAAGTGCTAGGATTACAGGTGTGAGCCATGGCGCCCAGCTGGGAGATACTGTTTCTAAAGCTTACACTTTTCTGATTCCTCTCTCTATGTGTAGATCTAGATGTAGAAATAGATTGGTTGAGAGACAGAGAGGTGAACATACATAGATGATAGATGAATAAATAATAGCTATATTGATTAGATAGGAAGATAGATGGATAGAGGATAGATAAGAACAGATGATAGGCTGGGCATGGTGGCTCATGCCTGTAATCCTAACACTTTGGGAGGCCGAGGCAGGCGGATCACAAGGTCAGGAGTTTGAGACCAGCCTGAGCAACATGGTGAAACCCCGTCTCTACTAAAAATACAAAAATTAGCTGGGCATGATGCCATGCCTGTAATCCCAGCTACCCAGGAGGCTGAGTCAGGAGAATCACTTGAACCCGGGAGGTAGAGGTTGCAGTGAGCCGGGATCGCGCCATTGCTCTCCAGCCTGGGCAACAGAGTGAGACTCCAACTCAAAATATATATATATATGATCCATAGATAGATAACAGACAGAAGATAGATGATAGGTTGATGATAAATGAATGATAGGCAGAGATAGATGACTGATAGATGATAGATAGGTGATATAAAGATCCACACAGAACACTTTTGCAAATTTATGAATAAGGACTGTTTTCTCGAAAGTTCATAAGGGATCTAAGATATTTTCTCTTCAAAATAATAAGTTTCGCAGCACGAAGCTAACATGAAAACTTAAAAATGAATGTCCTTGTGAGGATGCACACGGACACAGAAGTGACAAGCAGACAGCCTCCAGGCAGACGGGCTTTCGGAAGGCCCTCCCCTCCTCAGCTGCTGGCACCCCCAGCCTCAAGTACAGAGTCCCCAAGAATTTGAAACAGGAAGACCCAGTGAGCTGTCCCTCAGCAGCGCAGGGAACACACATGCGATGTGACGGTGGAGCCTGGAGGGCACCGCTGGGCTGTGGAAGTGGTGGGGGGTGAAGCCAGCCCAGAAAGCAGGTCCTGGCTGCGGAGGACCACGGGCGGCTGGAGCAGGCAGGCTTGGGCCTTGCCTGGGGCTGAGGTGGTCCCAGTGGCCCGCTGATGACATTGTCCTCCATCTAGACATAGAGAACGTTCTTGGTGCTATATTCTGTGGAAATCTACAGGCAAGAACCCTAACTTTGGGTTTAGTGAAGGATTAAGGGATGTCGCGTGTCCCCTCCCTTGTACTGAGTCATATGAAAAATCACGCCTGTAGCAAAGGCGGACGTTCCCACACATGTGAGAGGCTTCCAAGGCCTGGCTGTTCGTTTCCGGACTCACTGCTTCTTACAGTTACACTTGGCTGTGACGCGAGGGGAGTGCGAAGGTCTCAGCGTTCCTGGGCCGGAAACGGTCGCACCTCGGGGGTGGAAACCACTGGCTTCAGCTCCAGGAAGCCTCAGACGCGGGGACAGCGCCCTCACCCGGCTCTCGGAGGCTCTGCACGTCCGCCGCCGTCTCCCCTTTGATTTTGCAGATTGTGGGTAGCTCCGGACCTAGCAAAAGGGTGAAAAATATGTAGTCTACAACACTGCTTCTTAAATAGTAATGCCCACGAAAATCCTCTGCGGGCCTTGCCAAATGCGTGCTCGGATTCAGCAAGTTTGGGTGGGGCTTGAGAATCTGTATTTCCAACTCACCTGCTCCTAGGTGATGCTGCTGCTGCTGCTGCATGCTCTGCCTTGGGTAGCAAGAGTCTAGGGGTGAGGTGTGGAGGGAGGGAGACAGAGTGAGAAAGAGTGAGGGGGACACAGGAAGACAGAGGGATCGCCATGGAGAATTAGCACGCTGCAGTTTACGTGTATGAATTGATTAACTCTTGGGAGGCTTAAAGTTCTTTTCTCTCAGAGAGAAATAATTTTTAAAAATCTGATCATGCATTGTGAGTCAATACAATATATCCTATTTAAAAATGTTTAACGTATAATTATTATTGTCCCCAAAGAATGAAACGTTCCCTGTTCTATGCCTCAACATAGAGACAAAAGATTAACTTGAACTCTACTTAATGATTCTACAGCTTAATGGGAATGACTTAATTGTGGAATTTAACATCTTTCCTTAGGAAAAGAGGATTCAAAGAAGAAGTGTACCTAGGGGTGGGGATAAGGAGCAAACGTGGAGATTGTGATTTTCTAAGACTTTGCTATGGCCACTCTCCTGCACGCTCGCCCTTGATCAGAGCCACACATAGGGTGTAATTGTACACATTCTGCATGCTGCTTATAAGTATTTTACAAATCTCATGGTGAATATAAATTTCTGAGAATTAGGCTGAATAAAAAAGTTCAAGTAGATGAATTCTTATCCCAATGGCTTCCTTTTAAATGTGTGGTGAAGTCGTGGTGTACTCCACCCTGAAGCTTCTGAAGGCATTTGTATTGATCAGCTCCTTGAAGAGTTTGCAGTGGTCAGAGATAATTGAGAAAGAATAAAACGGTCTCAGTAAGAGGATACTTGGAGTCTTCCAGGTAGGAAGACATTTGGAATCTTCTGGGTAAGAGGACATTTGGAGTCTTCTGGGTAGGAGGACATTTGGAGTCTTCTGGGTAAGAGGCCATTTGGAGTCTTTTGTGTAGGAGGACATTTGAAGTCTTCTGGGTAAGAGGACATTTGGAATAGCTTCTCTCCCTTTGCCTGTCTCCTGCAGATAACCCTGATATTTAATATTGAGCCCTCAGCCAAGCTCTCTTCTTAATATTTCCATAGTGCTAGCCACTTTAAGAATCAGATGCAATATTCTTAAACATAAAATACACTTAATTTTGCATATCATTACTTGCCTTAAATTGTCATCATAGCCATCACAGAAACATACTTACATGCAATTTTACAAAGAAAAGTGTCTCACATTTTTCAGAAAATAGAGGGGTGGCCACTTCTTGAAACATGAACTCAAATGAAGAAATTCCAGTGAAACTCGCCTTTGGTTTTGCCTCACAGTGGATTCTGAGGTAGAGTGGTGGCCTCTGAGCTCGCATGCATGTGTAGCCTTCGGCATTGAGACCACGTCAGGGTTTTGTTCTGATGGCAGTCGATGCTGAAGATGTAGCTTTACCACAGTTGGTGGTAGCCATCAGGATCAGAGTGTCTATCGGTTGTATTTTCTTAATCGGGATAGGAGGATTCATCAATAAACTCCAGAACTATACAGGACTCCCCCAAGTTAGTTCACACCACACCTTGTCCTTTATTCTTCAGCCTCAGAGCTCCTGCTTCCATCCACTGCTCCTTTATCTTGTCTAAGTTAGTAAGAAAAACAACACGTGTTTCTGCTTCAATTTTGAGGTCGTTTGTTCCAAAACAACTTTTGAAAGAATTTTGCGGGCCAGGCGTGGTGGCTCACGCCTGTAATCCCAGCACTTTGGGAGGCCAAGACTGGTGGATCACTTGAAGTTAGGAGTTTGAGACCAGCCTGGCCAAGACAGTGAAACCCCGTCTCTACTAAACATACAAAAAATTAGCAGGGTGTGGTGGTGGGTGCCTGTAATCCCAGCTACTCGGGAGGCTGAGGCAGGAAATCGCTGGAACCTGGGAGGCGGAGGTTGCAGTGAGCTGAGCTGGCACCACTGCACTCCAGCCTGAGTGACAGAGCAAGACTCTGCCTTAAAAAAAAAAAAAAATTTTGCTTTTTTATGTAACGTGTTTGAAGAATTCTAATTGCAGGGGAAAGACGAACTCCAACCTCAGCCACCACTTCTTCAAACGAAGAGTGATCTTGCCTGGTACAACCTTCTGCATCCATTGAGTTGCATCATATCTTGACTAAAAGAAGAGACACTTTAAATAGCATTAAACTAGATGGCACCTGTAGGTGTAGACCTGAGTGAATAATTAGCCTCAGATGTTCTCATCATGAATAGCTCCCTCTGCTCTTATTGTTTTCAGGTATCCTCGTCTTAAAAATTTTTTTAAGTGACTTTTTTTTTAAGAGATATTTCCCCCCCTTTCTCCTCTTGGCAAAACTTCTTCAAAAGTTGATGCCTTGAGACCGTGACCTATCCCCGACCAATCATCTCAGAGGTGTCTGGGTTTATTTCATGGTTCTTGGACCCTTCTCTGATTGCGTGGTTCTTGAAGATGTCTTCTGGGAACTTCAATTTTGATTTAAATCCTGATTTCTTTGCTTTGGGGAAGAGACTTTAAGCCTCAATTTAGCCTGCTGTAGGACTAGGGGAGTCACGTGACCTCACTCACGAGCTCTCGAGAGGATTTACCAGGCAAAGAGCCTCCAAAATGCGACAGAGCACTTGCTGTAAGACTGGGGGAGAAATGTGACCCCATTCACAAGGTGTGACGAGGATTTACCAGGTAAAGCGCCTCCAGAAGGCAGCCGAGGGCTTGCTGTAGGTCTGGGGGAGCAATGTGACCTCGTGGGGTGTTGGGAGGATCTACCAGGCAAAGCGCCTCCAGAAGGCAGCAGAGGGCTTGCTGTAGGTCTGGGGGAGTAATGTGACCTCGTGGGGTGTTGGTAGGATCTACCAGGTAAAGCGCCTCCAGAAGGCAGCAGAGGGCTTGCTGTAGGTCTGGGGGAGTAATGTGACCTCGTGGGGTGTTGGGAGGATCTACCAGGCAAAGCGCCTCCAGAAGGCAGCAGAGGGCTTTCTGTAGGTCTGGGGGAGTAATGTGACCTCGTGGGGTGTTGGGAGGATCTACCAGGCAAAGCGCCTCCAGAAGGCAGCAGAGGGCTTGCTTTAGGTCTGGGGGAGCAATGTGACCTCGTGGGGTGTTGGGAGGATCTACCAGGCAAAGCGCCTCCAGAAGGCAGCAGAGGGCTTGCTGTAGGTCTGGGGGAGTAATGCGACCTCGTGGGGTGTTGGGAGGATCTACCAGGTAAAGCGCCTCCAGAAGGCAGCAGAGGGCTTTCTGTAGGTCTGGGGGAGTAATGTGACCTCGTGGGGTGTTGGGAGGATCTACCAGGCAAAGCGCCTCCAGAAGGCAGCAGAGGGCTTTCTGTAGGTCTGGGGGAGTAATGTGACCTCGTGGGGTGTTGGGAGGATCTACCAGGCAAAGCGCCTCCAGAAGGCAGCAGAGGGCTTGCTGTAGGTCTGGGGGAGTAATGCGACCTTGTGGGGTGTTGGGAGGATCTACCAGGCAAAGCGCCTCCAGAATGCAGCAGAGGGCTTGCTGTAGGTCTGGGGGAGTAATGCGATCTAACTCATGGGGTACTGGGAGGATTTACCAGCATCTCCGGAATACAGCTAAGTGCTTCCTCTATGGGTGGAAAAGTAATGTGACCTCATTCATAAGTTATTGCAAAAATTTATCAGGCAAAGCGCCTCCAGAAGGCAGCAGAGGGCTTGCTGTAGGACTGGGGGAGTAAAGTGACCTCTCTCATGAGGTATGTTGAGGATTTACCAGGTAAAGCGCCTCCAGCACGCAGCAGAGAGCTTGGTGGAGGCACTGAAGGCGTGCTGGCTGTTTTTCATTATGAATCAACGCCGTCAGATGCAGAATTCAATAATTAAAAAACCTGTGGGTCTTCATCCCTGAACAACACAACCGAACCAGACGGGTTAAAGCATCAGCAGCAGGTGTTCTGGGCCAGGCCTCCCCTAGCCTTTGAGTCAGGGATGCTCTCGGCAGGGTCGCTTCGCCATGTGGATGGTAACAGCCTAGCAGTTTCCACAAATGGTTAACAGGGTTGGGATGCCTCGGTGGTGTCGCCTTGCTGCCCTGAGACAGCCTGTGTTTCACTGAATTTCATGTTGATGGGGAGCGTCGCAACTGCCAGTTTCTTCGTATTAAAGGACATATCCTAAATTCTAGAAGGGGTGTTGCCAATTTGCAGAGATACGCCTTCAATTTTCTTTCTCTATTCTAAGCTGCAAATGAGCTTGAACTTTTGTAGGGCACATGGCTTCACAATGGCATTCTGAATCTTGTGTGCCTAGTTTTGCTTATTAATTGAGCAGACAACTTCAAAGGGATCCATCAAGACCTAGATTTTGAGGTGACACAAATACAAACTTTGGTAAATTTATCACCCTTGTTAATTAAGTCATCATTCTTTTGCAGAGAAAGATCTGTGTGTCCAATGTAAAGTGCAAATGCTATGTAGCTGGGACATTTCCAGTGGTAACAACTCTACTATGTACAAAGCTACAGTAAAATCTAGGAATATATATGTTTTGTTGTAATTTCTTTTCTTCAGCCTTTTTCAGTGTAAGACAGTTCCTCAATGCAAATAAAGCAGATGCCCATTCCAGCAACGTACATGAGTGTGTGTGAATGTGGCGTGTGTTTTCACATATCTGTGTGTATGAGTGTGCATATGAGCATGTGTCTGTGTGTGTCCATGGCAATCTCAGATTCCCAGACATCACACTGATAATTGCATTAAACCAATTTTCTTAAAAACCATGTTTGGGCCGGGCACTGTGGCTCACGCCTGTAATCCCAGCACTTTGGGAGGCCGAGGTGGGCAGATCACGAGGTCAGGAGATCGAGACCATCCTGGCTAACACTGTGAAACCCCGTCTCTACTAAAAATACAAGAAATTAGCTGGGCGTGGGGGCGGGCGCCCGTAGTCCCAGCTACTTGGGAGGCTGAGGCAGGAGAATGGGGTGAACCTGGGAGGTGGAGCTTGCAGTGAGCTGAGATTGCATCACTGCACTCCAGCCTGGGCGACAGAGTGAGACACTGTCTCAAAAAAAAACAAAAAAAACCCAAAAAAAACCAAAAGCAAACATATTTGAAGATAAGGAAATATTTTTTGGAAACCTCAGATGCTTTTCTCTCCTTGGTACGAACCATTTGGAGTCCCATCCATACACTTCTGCAAGCTGCTGACACAAGCTGGGCATTGTATTGGGTCTGGGATGTGACAGAGCTGCCGGCTGTCATTTGATGCGTGAGGCTCGTCTTCCAGGCAGCTTTCCTAAACTTGGAGATGTTTTATATATTCTGTTATGGGCGGGGCAGGGTGCTCTCTATTTGGTCCGACCTTTCCCGTACACTAGGTATCAAGGGCTGAAGCATTCAGGACACAGCAGCCCCTGGACCCATCGGAAGATCTGAGATTCTCTCCGTAAGCAACCACTCAGTAAGGTGGCAGGACCTTTCCTGGCTTCAGTTTCTTCACCCCTAAAACAAACATGGCACTTCACGGATGACAGTGGGAGGACAGGTGTCTTAGTATTTCCATGGGAAGTGGAGGAGGATCCTTTAAGGAGCCCATTGGGTGATAGCATCTCCTTGTTGTCTGTTGGTCTTGGTCCCCATGTTTAAAGTATTTTGGAGCTTTGACTAGCGTGCGCAAGGGATGCTGCCCATGTCTCTAACGAGGGCATGGGGTTTGTCCGTTTCTCTAATGAGGGCATGGGGTTTGTGGCATGGAGGGGCTTCTCTGCTTCTGAGGTCCTGCATTGCTCAGGCAGGCCCTGGCTTGAATGGGGAGGCTGGCGTGAAGTGAGAAGGCCCCAGGGAAACCCTTCTTAGAAACATCATCCATCCTGGGTCCTTCCAGTGAGGAGGCTTACCTCTCTAAAAATTCAGATTTGCCGAAAAAGTCATGATTCTTCTTCCTTAACTAACTTTAAAATGGAAAACTCTCTCCCTACCATCGCGCTGGGCCTCACTTGCAGTGAATGCCACGGGGTGACGTAGGTTTTCTGATTCTCCTAATCTGTAAGGGCGGCTTTCGCACAGGCTCCCTCTCCATCCTTTCTCGTTAAAGGCGCTCCATAAAGCAGCTTGCACACATGTTTAAACAGTTCATTGTCAATAACTTTAACCTCCCGCAAAAGCCAAATACAATGGTAATGTGGCTGTGCCTGCCTATTACAAAAGAAACCCAAGACTTAATTTCTAATCTGCAGAGGAAAATCTTTCCAGCCGTCCTCATTTGGCGGGCTTGTGGGTCTCTGTACGCGTGAAAACAGCGAGAAAATGGCAGTGGAGACATTTGTCATCTGCAGAGTAAAAATATATTGCTTTTTGTCAGGAATGTACTGGTGATGTCTGCGGGGGTGGAGAGAGAATGCATCAGTTGTGGCAGCAGGCCTTTGGGGTGGTGCAGAGGGAGAATGCCATGACCTCAGACATCTGCTCTTCCATGCCACTGGGCACGTGGTTGTGGAATGCGTCCTCAACTGGCCTTTTGCTGTTTTCTCCCAAATTTCATACCATGAGTCTTCATCTCAGGCTCCTCTTCGTTGATTTGAAGCCCCTAGTCCGTCTCCAGTTTTATTTCATTACAAGACAACATCAGCCTCTGGATCTGCTGTGATGTCCTCCCTCTGCTCCCTACATCTGTCTATCCTGCTCCCTGGAGGGGACGTCCCTCACATTTCCCAAAGTCTTACTCCACACCACCAGCTCAGGCTGAACTAGCTTAGAGAGTTTATTCCATTTGCCCCAAATACTGCCCTTTGGAACCCGCCAACGATCCATGTGTGCTTCAGATAGCCTCGTCCAGGCAGGAGTAGCTTTCTGAAATTTAAATTTTTATCTATTTACAAACATTTTTATGTGTAACAAAAAGTAAAAATGTGCCTAACAAGTATAATTAACCCTGAAATGGAAAAAAAAAAAAAAGAATATAAAGTATATCAAGGGTATCCACAGAGGAGGTAGTACTTTGGGTGGAAAGAGCATGGTTTTGAGGTTTGGATACATTTTGTCTGAGAATTTTGTTATATTGTTGAAATATGACATTTAACATTTGGTGTGGGTAATACTGACTTTAGAGGGTGCGTTGAAGCTTGATTAATGTGATCAGTGTCACTGGACCCTAGCATGTCCTTGTGTGTGTATCTATGTACAGGAATACACCATGCTTAATATAATCAGTGTAACTAGATTCTAGCATGTCCTTGTGTTTGTATCTATGTACAGGAATACACCATGGTTAATATAATCAGTGTAACTAGATTCTAGTTTGTCCTTGTGTGTGTATATATATGTACAGGCATACACCATGGTTAATATAATCAGTGTAATTAGACTCTAGCATGTCCTTGTGTATGTATATATGTACACGCGTACACCCATGGTCAATGTAATCAGTGTAACTGGACTCTAGCATGTCATAGTGTGTGTATATATACATATATATATATATGTATATATACACACACACGCATACACCCGTGATTAATGTATTAATGTAATCAGTGTAGCTGGACTCTAGCATGTCTGTGCATGTGTGTGTGTGTGTGTGTGTGTGTGTGTGTGTGTCTATGTACTCACATATACCCAT
The DNA here is from genome assembly GCF_000001405.40 of Homo sapiens. NCBI lineage: Eukaryota > Metazoa > Chordata > Mammalia > Primates > Hominidae > Homo > Homo sapiens. The sequence continues at coordinate 455,419 of NT_187576.1, forward strand.
TGATATGGTTTAGCTCTGTGGCCCACTCAAATTTCATCTTGAATTGCAATCCCCACATGCCGAGGGAGGGAGGTGATTGGATCGTGGAGGTGGTTTCCGCCATGCTGTTCTTGTGATGATGAGTGAGTCTCATGAGATCTGGTGATTTCATGAGCGTCTAGCATTTCCCCTGCTTGCATTTCTCTCTCCTGCCACCCTGTGAGTAAGGTGCCTTGCTTCCCTTTCACCTTCTGCCATGATTGTAAGTTTCCTGAGGCCTCCCCAGCCATGTGGAACTATGAGTCAAATAAACCATCTTCCTTTATAAATTACCGAGTCTCGGGCATTTTTTATAGCAGTGTGGAAACGGACTAATACACCCATGATTAATGTAATCAGCATAAGTGGATTCTAGCATGTACTTATGTGTGCATGTATGTACATGCATGTACCCATGATTAATGTAGTTCAACTAGACTTTATCATGTATACGTCCTTGTGTGTATACCTGCACAGGTGTGTTTATGTATATGTGTATATGTGCATTTGTGTATATAAATCTGTGTATAAGTGATTTGAAGATTAAATGTAAGCAGACATGGAGAAAAAGCACAGCTATCCAGCAACATGCCCCTGGCGTGTGTAGTCAGGCAGTCAGTGCTATCTGCTGTGAGGTACTTGTGTAGCAGGCGGGATAATATGATACAGAATATGGATGGATGCTCGGCTGTGTGTTGCCAAGCTAATCTCCTCTGCCTTGACTTTTTCCTTTCCTCCTCCCTCCTTCCCCTTGGAGTCATCTTGTTGACTATGGACTACAGAGTTATGTGTAAGTGGCTTCAGTGGGGAGCAAACAGGACAGCTCTGTTTGCCTTCGCCTCCCGAGGAGAACCTTTTCTGCACATCTGGTTTCCCCTTCACTATGTGATGCAGGGAAATTCCGGAAAATGCAGATGGAGAAAGTGCATCCACGAAGCTTCCACAGCTATGTGTATGTGTGTGCCCTACACATGTGCTTGCGTTTGAACCATGGGGTCTCTCGGGCTTACGATCAACTTGCCAAAAACTTTAGATCTCATTGAAAGCATGTGCCCTTTCACCCGTGAGCTAAACCTTGGGGAATCACACAGACTTTAACTAACCTAAGTGATTGAATACCTCTCGTTCATTTGGTTAGTGGACATGCTCATAGGGTGCAGGCCACTACCCTGGAGACACTTTCCGAATGGGAAACAGAAAACAGATGTGAGTCACACACACACAAAAGTTACCTCTGGAAAAATAGGATGGATTCTGTTTCCTCTCCTTCTAAAAGACTGTATTTAAACTGGTTCTGGTTAGTAAAGACAACATAAATATCTTTTCCTAAAATCTGTACCAAATTACTTCACTGAGAAGTCTCTGAGGATGTGCAGCCAGGACCGCAGGTCATATATTTTAGCCGCGTTGGGTCACTCACCTGGAGAGCCTGTCCTCAGCCCCCGGCCTCGCCCCACAGAGGCTGATTCGCTGGGCGGGTGGATCCGCTCGTTCTGTTTCTGATTAACTCGCGGGTCATGAGGCTGCTGTTGCAGGGAGATCCAGAGCTGGAAAACACCGCTATAGACCAGCACAACTTCACATTTTGGTCTACATGGATCATTTTGAGAGTATGATTAAACATCTAATCTCCAATTAAAAAGAAATCCATGTGTATACCTCTTTCCAAAATATCCCATATATATTCAGAAATAAGGGCTTTTTAATACAAAATCACTTAATTCTTCCAAACGTCGTTATCTGTGCCACCTACAGTTGCAACCACGTTCAAGGTAGAGACTGACTAGCTTGATACAATGGATGTTTAGGATTATCTCTTGCAGGGAAAATGGAGAAAATAAGCTTTTTTAATATTGCTCTTTAAACCTAGATATGTTGGCCATTTTAGGGTTTACTTACATGATGTAAAAAGTACCTACCAGGGCAATAGTTTTAAAACCCTTATTTCCAAAGCTTATAAATGCTTCTGTGGGTTCTACCTTAATTGTTATAAACAGCCTTTTCTCCATCTCTCATTCACTCTGCTTCAGGCCTGCCCATGTCTCAGCTCTGTCCAGCTTGAATTAAACTGTTGTTTAGGTTGGGAAGTGTTAATGAGTCCCTAACACTTCTCAGCTGTCCAGTCTCAGCTCAAAATAGCTTCCTCACCAGACATCTCTTTAGGGGCTGACCGTCTGCAGGCCTCATCTGGCCCAAATATGTATTGTCAGCCCACAGAGGCGTGTGGTTTAGGTGCTGGCTGGTTTGAGAAGTAACCTGAACATGATGTTGGCTAGGCATACACTTGGTTTTGCCACAGTCTTCGCTATCCCCTACTGGCCAGCCTGGCCGATTCATCCCTTTATGTTAGTGCTGGGCCTTTCCTGAGTAGCTCCGGTTGACTTCTAAAAGTAATGTTAATTCAATCTCCCTTTCTGTCTTTACCTACCTATCTGGTGACTATTTATACACACTACATCTAGTAAATATACTAAATAACTATGTATAGTGCACCAAATGTTTTGGATTAATATTAGCTCCTTTTCCCTTGGAACGTGATTCTTCCTTCTTAATACCCGGATTTATTTCTAGGGTGTTTACATCATTCGAATAATTTTGTTTAAATCATTTAATTTAAATAATTAATTGTAAAACATTTAAATTACGTATACTGGCTGGGAGCAGTGGTTCACGCCTGTAATCCTAGGACATTGGGAGACTGAGGCTGGCAGTTTGCTCGAACCCAGGGGTTCAAGGCCAGCCTGGGCATCATGGAAATGGCCTGTCTGGCCGGGCGTGTTGGCTCATGGGTGTAACCCCAGCACTGTGGGAGGCCGAGGCGGATGGATCACCTGAGATCAGGAGTTTTGACCAGCCTGACCAACATGGTTAAACCCCATCTCTACTAAAAGTACAAAAACCAGCTGCGTGTGGTGGCACACACCTGTAATCCCAGCTACTCGGGAAGCTGAGGCATGATAATCGTTTGAACCCAGGAGGCGAAGGTTGTGGTGAGCCAAGATTGCACCCCTGCACTCCAGCCTTGGTGACAAGCAACACTCTGTCAAAAAAAAAAAAAAAAAAAACACACTTCACCTTTACAAAAAATACAAAAATTAGCTGGGCGTGGTGGCACTCGCCCGTAGTCTCAGCTACTCAGGAGGCTGAGGAGGAAGGATAGCTTGAGCCCACGAGGTTGAGGCTTCAGTGAGGTGTGATGGTGCCACTACACTCCAGCCTGGGCAACAGAGCGAGACCCTGTCTCAAAAAACAAAAATAAGAAAATAAATGATATGTACTGAATACCACTCCATCCTAACAATGAAGCACATCTTACTCACCGCTGTATAACATAACGTGAGGGTGTCATCCCCACTCTAAGAAATAAGGGAAAAGAGGCAGTAAACTTTTGGAGAATTCTCAGGTGAAATCCCAGGTAAAATTTCATTATTGTCATTGTACTTGTAAAAAATACTTAAGGCCGGGCATGGTGGCTCACGCCTATAATCTCAGCACTTTGGGAGGCCCAGGCAGGTGGATTACTTGAGGCCAGGAGTTCAGGATCCACCTGGGCAACATAGTAAGACCCTGTCTCTACTAAAAAAAAATACAAAAATTAACCAGTCATGGTGGCCGGTGCCTGTAGTCCCAGCTACTTGGGAGACTGAGGCAGGAGAATTGCTTGAACCCAGGAGGTGGAGGTTGCAGTGAGCCGAGATCAGGCATCTGCACTCCAGCCTGGGCAACAGAGCAAGACTCCACCTCAAAAAAGACAAAAAAAAAAAAAAAACTATAACAAATCATGAGCTCTAAACAATTTTAGAGTAAGTAACATAAATCTGTATCCATATGAAAAGCACTTGTTCAGTTTGGCCTAGGGTCTATAGTGGGGGTCTTGTCCTCGAAGAGGGCATGCGCTCTGGGGACAGCTGGATGACCTGAGCAGTAAAGGAGACGAGGACAGAGGGCGCTGTGAGTGCCGGGCCCAGGGACTGACTCCCCATTCTTGAGTCCAATGTGCTTTTGTTCTGCCCAGCTCTTGGAAGACTCGGCCCCCCAGAGTCTTGGCAGTGTGGATGTGACAGGGTCCCCAGCGGGACATGGGCACAGGAAGAGCTGGGGGAGGGTCCCCAAGCATGGGCTTTCCCATCAGGGAGCCAACAGAGCAAAATGTTTGGAGCGTGACAAAATGTTAACATTTAAAATACATTAATAAGATGGCGACAACTTGCTATGGTCTGAGGGTTTGTGTCACCCCCAGATTCCATGTTGAATCTTAATCACCAAAGTGATGGTACTAGGAGAGGGACTTGGGGGTGATTAGGTCGTGGGATTAGTGCCCTTATAGAAGGGACCCCAGAGGGCTGCTGTGATACAATAAGAAATCTATACTTGATCTCTGCCCCCCAGTTCCTGGCACAGAGCTCTACAACCCTCGGAATTTTCTGAGTGAGAGGAACGTCTTTTGTTCTCATGAAGCAACTCTTGGTGGCTCCTAGATGGGCCTGGTCACCAGAAAGACCAAGCCGTGATTAGAAGTTTGGAGTTTTCAAGCCTGGGCAATATGGAGAGACCCCATCTCTACAAACAAACAAACAAACAAAAATTAGCTGGATGTGGTGGCTCATGCCTTTAATACCAGCACTTTGGGAGGTTGAGGCAAGAGGATCGCTTGAGTCTAGGAGTTCAAGACCAGCCGGGGCAACATAGTGAGACCCCAGTTCTACAAAAACTTTAAAAAAAAAAAGCCACCTATTGCACACCTATAGTTCCAGAAGCTAAAGTGGGAGGGTCACTCGAGCCCAAGAGGTTGGCACTGCAGTGAGTTATGATCGTGTCACTACACTACATCCTGGGTGACACAGAAAGTCCCTGTCTCAAAAAATAAAGAAACAGAGAAAACCAAATAAAAACACTTAAGAAGCTGCTGAGCACAGCTGCATGGCAGGAGGGTGGAGCACCCCAACTCCATGGGGCCAGATGCTCCTGTGCTTGGGACCTTCAAGACCCCGCTCTCTCCATCGCTTCATCTGCCTGTTCTTCTGTGTCCTTTATTATAACCTTATTAACAAACCATCAAATGTAAGTATAGTGTTTTGCTGAGTTCTGTGAGCTGCTCTAGCAAATGAATTGACCTCAAGAAGGGGGTGCTGGGAGCCCGATTTGCGGCCATTCAGTCAGAAGCGTGGTGGCTGGTATCTGACGTGGGGACCGTCTTATGGGACAGGGTCCTTTAACCCGTGGGATCTGATCCTCTCTCTAGGTAGACAGGGTCAGAGTGAAGTTGAATTACAGGACACCCAGCTGGTGTCCTCTGGAGAATTGTTTGGTATGTTGGATTTAGTGAGACAAGATATAGGAAAGTGTTTTTTATTTTTTGGAGACAGGGTCTCATTCTGTCACTCAGGCTGGAATGTAGTGGCACAATCATTGCTCACTGCAGCCTCGAACTCCTAGGCTCAAGGAATCCTCTCACCTCAGCCTCCCAACAAACAGGGACCACAGGTGCACACCTCCAAGTCCTGCTAATTTTCATATGTTTTGTAGAGATGGGGTCTTACTATGTTGCCTAAGTGGATCCTCAACTCCTGGCCTTAAGTGATCCACCCGCCTGGGCCTCCCAAAGTGCTGAGATTACAGGTGTGAGTCACTGCGCCTGGCCCAGGAAAGTGTTTGACACAACGTCTGATACCTACTCAATGAGCAATTGGTTCAAACATAGTTTTGACTAAAATAACTCCTGTGGAAATAAATATTGCTTTCTCAAGGGTATTCCAACTATTCTGTCTTCAGTCAATTCTTCTTCCCCATTTCCCTCTCCTCCTCCACTTCCTTCTCCTCCATTTCTTTATTTAACAGTGGCTCCAATTGTGAAACTTCCATTTGTGCCCCCTTGAGAAATGAGGCAGAGAAAATCCCAAGGAGGTGCTCTTCTCCCACCCGGACACCCCTGATCCCAAGGAGATGCTCCACTCCCACCCAGCTTCTGGATTAAGGATTTAGGGCAGCATACTTTCATCAATGACTTCTGAAGGTCACGTTTGTTCAGGACGTTCTGAAGACATTTCTGATAGTGTACCATCTTTATAGACGTTGCTCCCTACTACGACAAATCTGTTGAGAAATTAAATGAAGGAGCCCCTTCTGTGCTCTTTAATTTCCCAATGCAATAGTAAATGTGAGAGTGCCTTACAACCATGAAGCAATTCAGCCTGACTTTTGGTGATTACAAGGAAAAGGTTGGAAAGAGCTCTTAGTGTTTAATATTTAAAAACAAATATGTGTTGTATATTGACGAATTATAGTTGTATGTACTTATGGGTAAAAAGTGGTGTTATGCGCTTTATAGACAATTTAGAATGTATTCAGCATGCTGTGCTATGGATCTAAAAAATATCAGACTTTTCCTCTGATCTCACTGAAGCTTTGTGTCTTTGACTGTCATGTCTGTGTTTTCCCAGGCGTCAGCCTCTGCAGCCACCATTCCCCTCTCTGCTGCTCCGAGTTCAATTGTTTTAATTCCACAAGTAAGTGAGGATATGCTGTGCTTGTCTTTCTGCGTTTGGCTTATTTCACTCAGCATAATGTTCTACAATTCCATCCATGTTGTCACAAATAACAGAATTTCTTTTCTTTTTAGGGGCTGGATAATACTCCATTGTGTGTATAAACTACAGTTTCCTTATCCATTTGTCCCTTAATGGACACTTAGACTGATTTCATAACTTGGCTATTGTGAATCATGCTGCAATGAACTTAGGAGTGCAGATATCTCTTGGACCCATTGATTTCAAATCTTTAACACCCAGAAGTGGGGTTGATGGATCTCTTACTTAATGTTTTTGTTCCATTTAACATGGATGTCCCTCTAACTCTTCTAAAGAATGTCACAGATGATCTCAGTTGGGCTAGAGTTTTTCTTGACTTCATACTTTGCATTCTTCTGGCCTTAATGCATTTTGGAAAGGAGCCAGTTGTTTAGAAATGTGCTCCTGCTTTTCTAACCTATGTTCAAAAAAGAGTAAGCTTCCCCTGCACCCATGGCTGTGAATCTGTGGGACTGTCGACAGTCAGGCACTGAGGATGAAGAACTGGAAGATTCTGCACATCCCAGGCCATTCTTGATGTTAGCTTTTCCCATATGTGATGCTGTAGCGTGGGAAGGAACGGGAAATTTCTCCTACTTGCTTCCAGTTACAGGAGAATTCCTTTTCAGCAGCTCAACAAAGGCCTGCTACTGATGGCCTCCTGGATGTGACGTCACGCTCTGGGGCTGCAAGTCCAGTTTAATTCATCAGCTTTTTCCAGCTGTATAATAGGACATAAAACAGACGTAGGAGGAATGTGGAAGAAAGAGGTACAGTCCCTGCTCTTTTCTGATTTATACCCATTGTACCTTGCCCCAATGTGGTCTTCGGTTGGTAATTCAACATCTCTTGTATATATTATCTTTGTATATACCTTAATATATTAATAATTTAAAGCCCCAGTATAATTCCCTGCATAAAGTAAGACTGAACTAAGTCCCCTTTTTATAATGGTGAACCTGATTATGCACTGTTAACAGACAGTGCAGTAATTTTCAGAGATCATAGCACAACCACACTCTTCTGAGCTGGTTTCTCTGTCTACAGCAGCCATCTGTATTTAAACAAACCTCAAAGGTGGGGTGTGTGTGTAGAATTCTAGGTATTTAGAAAAGCCAGAAATTCAGTTTATAAACAACTGTTCAAAGCCAAAGATTATGACATCAATTAGCATTTCTAAAATCGCTAGGTGAGTGGTATTTTGCTTCATCATTTCTGTGACACATTCCAAGCAAGCATCATTGTATATGGTATTTATCACGATCGAAGGTTCGCATTCATTTGAAGTTCCGGTCATTCTCTTTTTTACGACACCACCCAGCATATCAGTTGGTTGTGCAAATGGACCTCCAGCACTCTCCTAGATGTAGAAGACCTCTGTTGGCAAATGTCCACCTCCCCAACTCTCTTTGTATGAAAGCCCTCTTGTGACTGCTGGTGTTTTCAGATGGACAGAGTGGTGGGGGGAGGGGGGGAAGTGCATGGTAATCAATGACCTCTAACACAACGGGGGGAGGATTTAAATGAGTAAACATGCACACATGTACATGCACCTACACATGCACACACAGTCACACACACTCACCAGCCGACCTTCATAAAAAAGCACTTCGTAGTTAATGGAGTAACTGTCATTTTATATTCACTCTATTGCTACAAAAATTACAATGGCTGTAATAGTGTTTAATGCAATATTAATATCCACTCTAAAGACGAATTTGTTGCATAGAACATATTCCAAGTAAGAGGCTGTGCCTTGTGCTGGCCACTTCATTTTCAATATGGACAAGAACTGTCTCATGAGGCCAGTTGCAAGGAATTCCATGTGGGCATGATTCTCTCCTCAGCAAATATCTCTGGCAGAAGTGTTTTGTAGCAGAATTCTCAGGAGTTGCATGGGATTCTAAACATGAGTTCAGTGATGAAATCCAGATTTACGATCTCCTTTTCACCATGTTCTGCAAAAATGAATGCAACACAACAGGCACAGCCTTTGAGCTGTGTTATTGTCATTTGTATCCAAAATGCCTCAGCTCAATTCTAAGTTTCTTGAAAAACAGGAAGAGAGTAGGCATCCATCAGAAAATCTAATGATAGCAGTGGCCCAAGATTGTTTCCTTTGCCTTATGAAGTGTTACCCTTATCAGCATCAGCATGAAATATTATTTATTAAGCCTCCTCTTGGGCCTGGTGCCATGCAGGGTAGTATTTCTCTCTGCAGTTACCTCATTGTGCTAGTTTTTCAAATATACCTGACCAATTTTGTTGTAAAATCAGTTTCTTTCTTGTTAACAAAATAGGTTATTTTTGTACTAATTAAAATCACAAGATAATTGAGTTTGTTTGCAATTTCAATGAAAGTGGTTCAAAAGCTCTAAAGGGCCGGGGTGTTAAGTGTCACTGCAGCAACGATGAATGTACCACAGGGTTCCTTAGTCATCAACCGTGGACTCGTTTGGAAAACGAGGATGAATTTGGGCATTCACAGCAGATGACACTTCCATTATCAGGACATAAATAAGCACTATGAATATGCATGGTACTTAGAAACAGGCACTTAATTTCCACAAAGACAGTCATTCTCCTTGATATGAGTTAGCTGTCTTTTGTAATTGTTCATTTTGCATTCTTTTTCTCCTAAAGTTTCCCCAAACAGTGGGAGCAGGGGGTGGGGGAAGAAAAATAAAACTACTAAACAGATAAAATGTTAATTGTAATTTATGGAAATAGAACAAAGCATTGAGAACTTTGCACAGCCTTGTGCAAGCAATAGTTATTTTGTACAACTAGGAAGACTCTATGCAGTGTGGATTTAAGTTGGAGGTAAAGCCCAGAATGTGGAGGAGGTGGAGTGGCCTCCTAGCACAAGAAAACCACATGGTTAATTGATTTTTGAAGCCCTTGGGCTCACACGCATTGCGTGCCCAACCTGGACGTCTCCAGGTGAATGGGTGCAGGGCTGCATTTCACGTTCATCTGGTGTCTCTCCTGTGGGCAGCTCTGATGTTGGTCTTCTCCTGCTGAACTTATTTTCTTTGTTATGACGGAATTAGCAAGAATTAAAGGGAGGGGGTGTTGAAGATCATTAGCACCTACTTGTAACTTTCTTCCTGACATAATTCTAAGATTGAAAAGTATCAGCCAGACCACTACGGAGAAAAAAAGTGTTATTTGCTACAACATTGCGTGTGAAGACAAATACCTCATGATTTCATCTGTTGCAGAAATCTCAAAAGTTTATCACAGCAAATGAGAAAGCCATTCTGGTCTTTATTTATAAACTCCAACGGGTTTATCTCTCCTTCCTGAACATTAAAATCTGAAAGGCAGTTTGCCTCTTAACCAAGCATCTGTCTCTGGGAGTCATCAGCAGAAGTCTGCACAGGGGAAAAAGGCGGTCTCGCCTTCGTCAGTGCATGGGCCCCGTCCAGCCACTGTCAGTGATGGCGTCCTCTGTGTCAAATAGCTATGCCCAATTTAAAAGAAAACAACAGCAACAGGCTTCTGTTGTCTTCAAGTAGCTGCAAAAATCCCTTAGGGAAAACGAAAAACATCTTATCCAGTTCGGCAATCAAGAGGATCAGCGTGTTGTAACCTCCGTGTTTTCAGCAGCACCCACAGTGGAGGCAGAAGTGGTTTTGATTTCTCCCTGTGGTTGGGGTCTCACTTCTCATGTCCACCGCTCTATTGCTCAGTATTATGCTAATGAGCGCTCCTGTAACTGCACTTACATCACAACTGAGTAGATCCCAACGGGATTTGCTTTGCTGGTTCAGCGGCTGCTCCTGTGGCGCCTCCTTGTGGACTGTTTTCCCCCGTGACTGCCCCAGCCTTGTCCGCCATGACACTCTTCCAGGCCTGGTGACGAGCGAGCTTCTGCCCGCTTCTCACACTGCCTTATATGTAATGATGTATTAAAAATCTTGGCCTTTTATCAAATGCTTGATCTATGTGTCAGATTTCTCCGCTTGCTTTATGCAGGTGTTGGGAGCATCGCCATTCTTCTTTGATACCATTTTTTAGAATTTTAATGCAAAGACTTGGGATCTTTTCAAAAGTTTCATGCAAAGTTTGGGTATTTGGTGTAAGCCAGAAATAAAATTCTAAAGCCCCAGTTGGCTGAATGGAGCCCTGCTCTTGGCCAAGGGGATCTGAAAGAAACCTGAAAAATGATTTCAGGCCGTGCCGGGAAAGTGGGGTCAGACACACCTCCTTATACCCTCTCCCATTGCAATTCAGGTGCAAATGACCAGCATTTACATGAAACAACAGAGAACCCAAGACTGACAAAACAGATTCTTGGTAGCAATAAGATACTCAGTTCCAGCCTGACTCTGGTATAGCATCACATAATAGATAGCAAGCCCTGAAGAAATCGGAGTATTTTATCCCCAAAATATATTTATTTGGCATATTTTGAAACAGCCCCACAAAGCTATTTCTTGTGGAGGAAACTTGGCTTCTATAGAGAATCTCCATCCCTTTCTAGGTCATTTTCTGATCCAGGAGAGACTTGACTGAGTCTGACACCCTTTAGGGTCCTATAAGAGACATTTACCATTTATTCTCTCTGAAGCTGCTACCTGGAGGCTTCATCTACACACCAAGAACCTTGGCTTCCACAACACCCTTAATCTTAAAGCATTTCATTCTACCCATTGCAACTTTTTAGGCAAAGCTTAACTCTTTCAGTCTTTGAATCCACATGTGACCTGTAACCAACCCCTCCCACCCCTGTCAGCTTCAAGACATTTTTCCTTTCTGGACCAAACCAATGTATACCTTCCATTTATTGATTTATTCGTTTGTCTGTAACTTCTGTCTCCCTCAAATGTATAAAATCAAGTGGTAACTCAGCCACCTTGGACAGCAGTTCTCAGGACCTCCTGAGGCTGTGTCACAGGCTGTGGTCACTTAGATTAGGCTCAGAATAAACTTCTTCAAATATTTTACAGAATTTGGCTTTTTTTTAATCAAGATTGGAAGTGCAGTTTCTGGAGTTCTTTGTGTCTTTAAAGGGTTGTTTGATTTCAGGTATGACCTGCTGTCTTATCAATGACCCACCTCAGAGCCTGCATGCTCTTTTCGGGGTTCACAAAGAAGAAACACGTTTGTTGTTTTTGTTTCTCTTCTTATTCAAAATGACACAATCAGCAGAAGGTGTTGAGTGCTGACACTGCCTCAGAAGTGAGGTGAGGGGTGCGGCTACCCTGAGGTCAGAAAGGGCATTTGGTGTAGAAAGTTAACAGCAGGTGTTCAGAACCCTGCCTCAGAAGTGAGGTGAGGGGTGCGGCCGCCCTGAGGGACACTCCCAGCATTAGAAAGGGCATTTGGTGTAGAACGTTAACAGCAGGGGCTCAGAGATAACCCACCACATGTTTTCTTATAGGAGGGTGTCACTTTTCCTGGGTACATTTTGTCTGCCCATCTGCAATTCAGAGAATCAGGAACATTGTATTAATGAGGTAGAGGGAATCAAAAATTATTTGGGCAAACGGGAGTAGCTCTGCTTGAGTGCACTTGAGGAGGCGGTTGGGGAGGAGGGGAAGTGACAGTTCATCTCCTTGTGGCCACAGACTGCAGTCACTGGCGTAGAAGCCAAGAGGGGGGTGTCAAAGTTTCTGATCAGGCTTAATTAAAAAAAGAAAAAAAGGCCGGGCATGGTGGCCACTTTGGGAGGCCGAGGTGGGTGGATCACCTGAGGTCAGGAGTTTGAGACCAGCCTGGCCAACATAGTGAAACCCTGTCTCTAGTAAAAATACAAAAATTATTCGGGCGTGTTGGTGGGTGCCTGTAATCCCAGCTACTAGGGAGGCTGAGGCAGGAGAATTGCTTGAATCCAGAAGGTGGAGGTTGCAGTGAGCCAAAATTTCACCATTGCACTCCAGCCTGAGCAACAAGAGCACAAGTCCATCTCAAAAATCAAAAAAGAAAAAAAACAAAAGATACAATGTCCAAACAGTTTCATGAATTTAGATAAGTGAAAAAGCATAAAGCTTTCCTATATCATTGTCATTTTAATTATTTATTCATTGGTTTTCAATTTCTCAGTAAATTATTGGCTCTGTATTCAATTTTAACGAAAAGAAATATCACTTGCTAGAGCAGTGATCCTCAACTCTCAATACAATAAGAACCCCTAGGAGGTTCAGAAACATGTGGACAGATGCTGAGACCCTCACAGAGAAATCTCAGTGCAATTGGTTTGATGGGCAGCCTCTGCATAGGTAGTTCTTTTTATTTTTATTTTCATTTTATAGAGATGAGGGTTCTCCATGTTGCCCAGGCTGGTCTTGAACTCCTGGGCTCAAGCAATCCTCCCACCTCGGCCTCCCACAGTGCTGGGATTACAGGCATGAGCCACTGTGCCCAGCCAGACACAGGTAGTTCCTAAAATCTTCTCGAGTTTGAGGGTGTCTGCTACAGAGGTGACCCAAATCTTATGATTGGCGTTTCCAAAATTTAGTGGAAGCTTTAATTGGATCAAGGAGACATTTCCATTTTCAAGCTAAGAGAGTTAGTAAGCGCTCACCTTAATAACACACAATTTGTTGTATAGTTTGGTTTTAAAACCGGGCAAAAATCATCCATAGGAACATGAATTGGTGTAGGTATTTGCAATAAGTAATGACCATTTTTATGGTTTTTGTATCAAAAAAATGATGATTTGAAGACTGAGCTCTCAGCTCTACTAGCAGAAGGGTAAGTGTCAGTATCGAGGCTGGTTTTGAATTATAGCTGAGCCAAAAGCATCTGAAAGCAATGCGTTCTTTTTCTTCTCTTCTCTAACTTAAAACTGGACTGAATTTTTTCATAGTTGGTAAAATGAATGCTTGGAGTCTTCAACCCAGAGCTCCAAGCAGGAGTCCAGCCAGAGTGCGTTTTTAGAACTGATTTATTAGCCCCATAAGGCCACCTGAGATCTTTGTGGTTTGCAACGTCCTATTTTTTTTTCCTGAATTACTTTGTATCTGACTTAGACAGTTACGGGTTTTAGCATGGGATTTTGCATACAGATTGGCCACTGCTTTGAAAGCTCTTCTATGATGCATATTTCATGATGAGTATCCTCAAACCTCAAACCTCTCTGGAAAAAAAAAAAAAGTCCTGTACCTTTTCGGTTTGATTATTAAACTGGAGATAGACAAATTACAGGAGCTGTCCCTCAATTTAATGAGAAGCCCTTAAAAAACAAAACTTGGAATAATTGAAAATGGCATTGAACAATAAATAACTTAATAAAGTAGAAAATGTCTAATATTTAACTACAGCTATTTGATGAGAACATTTCAGAAAGAATGACTTTAAAAATTGAAATGAGAAATCACCTCATGTCGGGAGACACCATAGACGCACATTATTTTTCTTGATGTGGGAGACTGTGAGAACTCCTACAGGAGTTAAATCTGATGAGAACAATGTCTTTAGCTTAGCCCCGATCGTGGAAATAAGCTCTGCCCAGGAGCGAAGCGCTAAGGACCAAGCCACGTGGGTCAGGAAGGGGAGAATCTGGGGTCCAGACCTGAACCATTACTCTTAAACGCTGGCCCCTGTTTTATTGGTGGACAACTAATCCGTGTCCCATAAATCTGAGGACATTTAATCCCAATAATCCCTCTCCCAGTTCTATTTTTGCCTACGATCCCCAAAGCGGATATTCCTGTCCTTTCAGGGTACACCATGGAAAGGCTGATAGCTGCAGACTTTATCACCTTTCTGATCTTGTGTTCGTCTCTGCCTGGTACTCTCTGTCTAAGAGACGACATCACCAAGGGCCTAGTTTCTCTATTCACAAGCCAAAGGACCCCTGAAGCCCCCCTCCCCTTCATTTTCCCACATGAACTCATCAGCGAGGACTTGGATTCTCAAGAATGCTCCAAATGTGCATTTTTCTCTGTACAGCCAGCCTGGCCTCCATTATCCCTGACCTTGATTCCATCCCTGGTCTCCTAAGCTCTGCCCTCCTTACCGGCCTGCAAGCTTTTGGGATTCTCTACAGTGCAGACAGAAGGACATTTTTAAATTTAAATCTCATTCAGTCCTTGCCAGTGGTCCCACTGCCACCAGCGTGGAGGCCCATCTCCTCTATATGGCTCCCTACCCCTGCGGACCTCCTGTGTTTTCCTGCTGTCTCCTTCAACATCATCACCGTCCGCACCTTGCTCTCTCTCCTTAGCCATATTTAACTTGCAGGTTCTCTAATCTACTTCACTCTGTTTTATGGTTAGAGCTCTGGACTTTCCATTTCCATGTGAAATATTTGCTTTACTCTTTCTCTGGGTATCTCTTTCTCATCCTTCGGAACCCAGCTCAAAAACATCACCTCCTCCAGGAAGTCCTTCTTCTCTGAGTCAGATGTCCTCCCAAGACTGCACATCCCACCATCATATCTGGCACGATTTACACCTCATCCAGAAATATTTGCACCACTCCTGTCTCATCCAGATTGCAAACTTCTTGAGACGAGAGATGCATGTCCTTTTTGGACCCTCGCTGCCGCAGGATTCATCCGATCAGCCTGTGAAAAACCCACCCTCCTGTCTTGGTACACAAAGCTTGGTGCTACTGCAGTGAGATTGTGGAGAAGGTGTACCATAAGCAGTTAATTCTCCCCATAGCTTTTAGTGTGTTCACTGCGACTCATGAAACCACCTTTGCAAAGATGATGGCAGTGAAGAGAAGCCTAGTGTGTCCCACTCCACCTGGCTTCCGCCTCACAGGCTGGCTGGCCTTGCTCATTTGCGGACATAGGCCAAGCTAATTATGGGAGGAATGTAGTTTACCATTTCACTTGCAAACAAGGATGGCCATAGTCCCTCCCTAAAACAGATCCCTCCTTGGTCAGGGACGGAAACTAATGGAAGGCCACAAGATCAGGATTATGGGAGGGGCCTGGGCTCTGCTAAACGTGGGCATAGTTTCTAGAATCCCTTACTGCTCAGGAGTCATGTGGCCAGAGCTCACAAGATTTGTGACTTCTCCGGTTGCTCCTATAGATAACATCACTGTTGCAGGACCTAAGATTTGTCTTTGGAGATGTTTTTCAGACTTTTTCATTCTGGCAACCAATGGACCCCATCCACATCCATGACTCACGACTCAACCAGTCCTGTGGCCCCCACCCAGAGGCCGACTCAGCCCACGAGACCCTCTCTCCACCCCCTCACGACTGCATCCCTAAACAGTCAGCAGCACCCAGTTCCTAGCCCCTTGCCACCAAATTATCCATAAACACCCTAGCCTCTGAGCCCTCAAGGAGGCTGATGTCAGTAATAAATCCCGTCTCTTGAGTGGCTTGCCTAGCATTAATTACTCTTTCTTGACTGTAATACCAGGGTCTCAGTGAATTTGTCTGTGTGGTGGGCAGGAAGAACCTGTCGGACAATCACACCCAGCTTTCAATGTACATTAGATATTTTCTTCTTTTACCTGTTCCCTCTCAGAATCCCAAGGATTCAAGGGTTTGATTGGAAGCATTTCTGGGATAAATGTGTGTGTATGTGATTTCATGCTTCCAGATTCTTACAATAATCACGTGGTATACAGATGCAGACCAAGTATCAAATATCTTAAAAACTTAGGCTTGTTCATAGTAGCATTATTCACAATAACTAAAACATGGAAGCAATCCAGTGTCCACTGTTGGGTAAATGCATGAGTGAAATACAGTCTACGCATACAATGAATTTTTTTTAAACACAGGGTCTCACCCTGTTGCCCAGTTGCTGGAGTGAAGGGTGTCATCATGGCTCACTGAAGCCTTGACTTCCTGGGCTCAACCAACCCTCCCAGCTCAACCTGAATATCTGGGACATGAGGTGTGTACCACCATGCCCAGCTAATTTTTTTGCTTTTTGTAGAGTTGGCATCTTACTATGTTGCCCAGGATGGTCTTAAACTCCTGAGTTCAAGGGACTCTCTCACTTCAGCTTCCCAAAGTACTGAAATTACAGGCATGAGTCACCACCCCTAGCATAAGGGAATGTTATTCAGCTTCATAAAAAAAAAAAAGGAAATTCTGACCCATGTTACAACATGGCAGAACCTTGAAGACATTGTGTTAAGTCAAATAAGCCAGTCACAAATGGACAACTACTGTATGATCCCACTTATATTAGGTCCCTAAAGTCATCAGATTTATAGAGACAGGAAGCAGAATGGGAGTGACGTGTGGCAGGAGGTGGGGAGAACGGGGAGTTACTGTTTAATGGTAAGAGTTTGGTTTTGCAAAATGAAAAGGTTCTGTAGATGGATGTTGGTGATGGTTGCACAGCAATGTCTTTAGTGCCACTGAATTGTGCACTTACAGTGATTAAAACGGTATATTCTGTGTTCGTGTATTTTGTCACAATAAACAAATAAACCCTGGTTTGGACTCTCCCAGGTCTGCCTGGACATTCTTTGTAGCCAAGTCCTGAGGCTGATGCCAAGGAGGTGGTGACAACCATGAGTTTGCTGAGAAAAGTGTGGAATCCCTGGTTTCCACAGGCTTTTGCCAACACACCTGACTCTTTGTTTGAGAGCTACCATCATTCTGGAGGCAATTTCTTCTTTAATTTACTGTCTTTGGATAATTTTGAAAGGGTCACAGAGCTGCAGCATCTTTCAATCTAGCATTCTGTTTTCTCAGTGATTACTCGTGATAGCAGATTGGAGAGCTCGGCATTTCTCTGAACTCCTCATTGCGTCTCTAGCTCTGATTATGTCACCACTTGATGTAACTGCATTGCCTGAATTGAGTCAGAATTTAGATATATTGTTAGATTTCCTACGTCTGTTGTATTTTTGCATGAAAGTCTCTCTTTTCTGACCTATCACTGGACTCTGTTTTAAAACCAAACACTAATTCTGGGGAATCTAAAAAATTTGAACACATAAAACTAAGCAACCATTAGAATTCACTTTGAAGTATATATGGCACTGATTTTTTTTTCAACACAATTGTTAGCAACACTTGTTAAAAACACAAGAAAATATCTCATGAAAATGTAACTGAGTATTCAGTTGAAAAGAATACATTTTACTCAAAGAGTAATGGGATTAAATGTTGGGGTTTGGGAGATTAGAAGTGGAATCGAGTCATATTTTGGGAGAAATCTGGCAGCAGAGATAAATTAGTGCTGACAAGAAAGATAAAAGTGGAAAGGAAGACATTCCCTGTGGTGTTGAACACATGGAGAAGTCGGCCTGCTGTGCCCGCAAGTACAGCACAAATTTCACCCCATGTGTTTCCATGTGTTTTATTTTAGAGGAAACACAGAATTGAACTGTCTGTTGTTTAAAGCAATGAATGACATGCTAAATTATAGAATTGGGGCATTTTTATTAAAACTATTTCTGAGAAACCAAAACATTTGTTTCTGGAGATTTTCCACAAGCCTGTTATCTGTGTTACCGTAATATTTAGTGACACCGGGCCCCTCGATGGATGGCCAGTCTTCATGGTTGACAGCCTCCCTTCTATAGGTACTTTCTGTGGGACCGCATGGCTGCCAGTTACCACCTTCTCCTCCGAGGTCTCACTTGGAAAATCAGACCTGTTTTGTGAAAAAGGTCAAGTGGCTCCTTTGAACAGCTTTGTCTACGGTAGATGTTTCAGCTGAACGTGAGTTGAGATACGGCCTCTGTGACTCTTTAAAAACAACTGCACCAGCCTAGCAAGGTTGAAACTGACCGATTGTTCTTGGCAAGGTCTGCAGCCCAGGGTCTAAAGGAGTCAACGGGAAATGTCCTTCTCTTGCCATCCCCCAAAGTTTAACATCTCTCTTAAGACTTGATTTTGAATTTTGTGGTGTTACATTTTATTTCTCTAAAATGAACATTAGAGGCTAGGCACGGTGGCTCACACCTGTAATCCCAGCACTTTCAGAGGCCAAGGTGGACAGATGGCTTGAGGCCAGGAGTTTGAGACCAGACTGGCCAACGTGGCAAAACCCTGTCCCTACAAAAAATACAAAAATTAGCTGGGTGTGGTGGCACGTGCCTATAATCCCAGCTACTTGGGAGGCTGAGGCAGGAGAATTGCTTGAGCCTAGGATGCAAAGGTTGCAGTGAGCCAAGATTGCACCACTGCACTCCAGCCTGGGTGACAGAGGGAGACTCCATCTCAAAAATAAACAAACAAATAAATACATAAACAAATGGAATGAACATTAGAATCTCTTTCTTATCAGTTTATTCAATATAGTGCTCCTCCTGCATTTAGATCTTGAGCTTACAGCATATTTTAAATTTTTGCTATATTAATAAAAAACATCTTGGGACTACCTTTTACATTTTTCCTAGATGTGAAACTTTTCCTATGATTAATGTGTATTTTTTATTTAATTTTTCAACTTCATGGGATTCTGCAAAATTCTTATGAGGATCCCTATTTCCTAGAAGACCATACTAAACTGAGATTAAAGGCAGAATTTTCAGAACATAAACCGTGTGTTTTACAGAAACATTCTAGTATTATAGGAACTTCTTATTCCTGTTCTCATCACACAAATTAATGGTGTATATTGTCCTCATGATCTTTCTGCACATTTTATCTGCGTCATGTAACAGCCACGGGATGCCATTGTTCATGAAATAGGAAGTTCTTAACCTCAAAGCATCTTAATGAAAGGTTGGCAGAGGCTGCAAGGCCGCTACAACTGACCGACAATGTGCATCTCATTTTTATGTTTTGACTTTATGTGGGGAGCTTTCAGTTAACTGTGATGAGCTCCAACCTGCCTCAGAAGAAGTAACTACAAGGTAATTCAGCTCGGTACCATCTGCTTAGTTTCCGGCAGATTATCTTGGCCTAGGAAACTTTTACGTTTGCTGTTACAGAAGTTTTTTTCACAACGATACAATTGAAGTAATCATTCCTTTTTTCTGTTGCAATTTCAGTGTTTCTATTGTTCAATGTTTTGGGGTTCGTCCCATCTGCACAGGGTGGCCCATGGTGATGCTATGTGGATGTGCGTTGAGTAAGTTGATTAAGAGGTTTAGATACCAAAGTAGAATTTCATGTTTTTATATTTTTTCTTTAACTATAGTAATAGAAAGGCTAAATAGAAAGACACTTTAAACAGAACATGTGCCATGAACGTGCTATTTAAATAGAGCATTTAAATAGAACATTTCTTTAAATAGAATATTTAATATTCTAATTTACATATTTAATATTTAAGTAGAAAAATATTCTTTGAATGGAACATTTGTCATGAAAGGCTAAATAGAGACACTTTAGGTAGAACGTTTGTCATGAATGTGCCTTGTTTATGAAGCTGAGCTGAGAGGGGCTGTGCACTTGGCCAGAGACTCTTCTTCCAGTGATTAATAGAATCTTTCATACCTGGGAAAACCTGAGGTGTATTAAAGGAGTTCTTGTTCTTAAAGAGTGATCATATCGTACAGAGATATTTTAACACATAATTATGTTCACACAGGTACTTAAACATCAAAAGCAATCAGGAAATCTCTGCTGAAATGCAAAGGAAATGACATAAAGTTGCAAATAACACCATATGCAATAAAATGTTGTATATTTTATTCTGAGTCACCTAGACCATGCGAAGATTTAAAATGGATTAAAGACAGACATTGTGTCAAACCTGGTAAAGATTTCGTGACAGATGACCTTGAGCTTTACAACATTCACCTAGAATCGTCATTTATATAACGTGGGCAAAGACAGATCTCCTTAAATTCATTCTAAATCTTTTGCAACATCTTTGAAAATCTACTTCTAATAAAAACTCAGTTTAAAACTATGCCATTTTATGCTAAATTAATTGAGATTTTTTTTTTTTTTTTTTTTTTTTTTTTGAGACAGTGTCTTGCTTTGTCGCCCAGGCTGGAGTGCAGTGGCGCGATCTCGGTTCACTGCAAGCTGTGCTCCCCGGGTTCACGCCATTCTCCTGCCTCAGCTTCCCGAGTAGCTGGGACTACAGGTGCCTGCCACCACACCTGGCGAATTTTTTGTATTTTTG
This sequence comes from Homo sapiens, assembly GCF_000001405.40. NCBI lineage: Eukaryota > Metazoa > Chordata > Mammalia > Primates > Hominidae > Homo > Homo sapiens. Next base: position 475,970 of record NT_187576.1, read on the forward strand.
GTAGAGATGGGGTGTCACTGTGTTAGCCAGGATGGTCTCAGTCTCCTGACCTTGTGATCCACCCTCCTTGGCCTCCCAAAGTGCTGGGATTACAGGCCTGAGCCACCGTGCCCAGCCTAATTTTGATATTTCTTAAAACAAAGTTTTTAAGATACTAGAGTGCCCCATTGATAGTATTTATTTTTATTTTTTATTTTTTTTGAGAAACAGTTTTGGTCTGTCGCCCAGGCTGGAGTGCAGTGACATGATCTCGGTTCACTGCGACCCCTGCCTCCTGGGTTCAAGCGATTCTCTGGCATCAGCCTCCTGAGTAGTTGGGATTGCAGGTACCCACCACCATGCCGGGCTAATTTTTGTATTTTTAGTAGAGACAGGGTTTCACCATGTTGGCCAGGCTGGTCTCGAACTCCTGACCTCAGGTGATCTACCCACCCTGGCCTCTGAAAGTGCTGGGATTATAGGTGTGAGCCACCGCTTCCAGCCCAGTATTTTTAAAATATGAAGAAAAATGTCAAGTTCTATCTTTATGTGTTTTACAAAAGAGCAAAACAAAAATAAAAATTCTGAGTGTCTTTTCATGGTGACTTAGAAGAATTCTGTGAATGTCTGGCCTGTGCATATTTTTGTCCAACTAAAATTATAATCATTTAAAACATACAGATCATTATTTTCTTGAAAAAGGGTACACACGTGGAGGAAAAGTGCCTTCTGTATAACTTGATAGGGTGTTTTGTAATCTTCTAAATTTTCAAGGCTGTACATTTATGTCACGTTTCCATTAGGTGGCACTGTGCTAATAGTGATAGAGCAAGTTCTCTCAGAGCTCATATAAGCTTTTTTTTTTTTTTTCTCAAGTCTCACTTTATTTCATTAGTTTCTAAAATGCTGTTACTTAAGATATTTGGGTGGTTTTATGGCTCGGGGTGCCAGAGAAGCAGATGCTGTTTTCGCCGTTAGTCTTAGGATCCGGAATCAGCAGCCCCGGACACCTGAGACAGGGGGTGCGGGCCGTGTCCCCTCCACAGGTGGAGACAGTCAGGTTCGGCTTGAAAGAGGAATTCCCCGAGGGAGTGAGCCAAGAAGGACGATTGGCTGTCTTGTCACAGAGGCAGCAGGGCTTCAGGAAGGTCCTGAGGGAGAATGAAGGGTTCTGTGGTCTCTAACACAGCCCCTGGCTGAGATCGCCGTCCTCTCATTCCACCCTGGTCTGCTGGTTGGGACCACGGGCAGCGAGTCCACGGCAGGACTCCCGAGCAGTGGCTGTCGCCGGTCACCCCGGACGGCTCAGGGCAACACGGACCGTGGCGCCCCAGGAAAGGCGCCCACAGCCACAGCCAGCCTGGATGGGGCCCCTGGAGCGTGGGGTCTCGAACACCACCCGTCAGGGCTGAAGCCCACTTCCCTCAAAGGTGACAAGTGTGGCCGAGAGTCACAGAGCCTCAGGCCGAAGAGATGGTGCTGTCACTGGGGACGCACCGTACAAACACACATGGTAATCCACTGCGTTGAGCGCCTGTCTCAAAGGCGTGATAGAGTTTCCGCTTCGGCCTGCGGTGCTGTGGGATTAACCTGATTAATATCGTCCATTGCATGTGATTTTCGATGCAGGAGAAAATGTTATTTTGCCTAAAGATGTAAATATATAAAAATAGCCAAATCAGAGACAGGGACTTGAATTCTGGGTCATTTTAAATACTAGTTAAAAGCTTTAAATGGCTAAACGTATTTTTAATACTGGGTCTCATTTATGTATTTATTTATTGCATATGGAATGATCTTGCTTAGATATCTATTTGGCACTTATTTAAATAATCTATTTGTTCGTTAAATATATGTTCCATAATAGGAAGCTTATTAAAAGAGTTTACTATAGTCATTAGGTCTGCAAAAGACATAAAAATAATAGTTTGTCTATAGTAGATAAAATACTAAGAATAATTTCACCTTTCTCCTACAAAATAATCCATCTAAAACCCAAGTATAGGCCGGGCTCAGTGGCTCATGCCTGTAATCCCAGCACTTTGGGAGGCCGAGGTGGGCGGATCACCTGAGGTCAGGAGTTCGAGACCAGCTTGAGCAATATGGTGAAACCCCGTCTCTACTAAAATTACAAAAATTAGCTGGGCGTGGTGGTGGGCATCTGTAGTACCAGCTACTTGGGAGGCTGGGGCAGGAGAATCGCTTGAAGCCAGGAGGCGGAGGTTGCAGTGAGCCGAGATCGCGCCCTTACACTCCAGCCCGGGCGACAGTGCGAGACTCCGTCTCAAAACAAAAAACAAAAAACAAACAAAAAAACCCCCAAAAAATCAAAACCCCAGAATGGTAGCTATTTCATGTGAGTGAGCATGGGGAACCCCCGATGTCTCTGGGTCATGAAACCACAAGAATGAAAGGGCTGGGAAGGCCCCCGGCAGCCCCCATGTGCGTGAGTTAGGGCACCCAGCTCTTCCGGAAGGTAACTCAGGCTGTGAGAACCCAGGGAACAAGTCAGCATCGGGGTGAACCAGAAGCCCCCTTGGATCCAGAGTCATTTTGGAACGTGAGCCCTGCCCTTTGCCAGGGATGTAGAAGGAGTTCTGGGGTGTTTCGCGAGTGTGGTGTCGTCACACCCTGGGTGCTGGATGGGCATCCTCATTGTCAGCTCGGCAGTGACCAGGCAGATAGAGCCACACGTTCTCATCAGGAACCTCTTCATTGTCTTGGGCTGGGCTACAGGATTCCTCACAGAGAAGTCAAGTCGCCAGTGGCTCTCTTTCCAGTGACTGCCCATTTCTCCGTTCCATACATATTTTCCAGACATGGTGTGTGCACGGATGGGCTGGAAGCTGCAGGACTTTCAGTCTGGTTTGTCCTGCAGCTAAAAGACCACAGACATGTGGCAACTGGCCCCGTCCCCAACTCACTGCCTCGGAACCTGCATTTCTGTCGGTTCTCCTGGCCGCTCACATGCACGGTACAGCCTGAGGAGCCCTGTCTGGAGTGTGTTATTGCAACCTGCCAATCCTTAGTGCCAAGGAAGGGGCAAATGTCACTTGCAAAGCTGCAATTTTCTCTGCTTATCTCTTTTTGAGGATAAAATAGGTGAAGGCCATGGCAGCAGGGAGAAGGCTTATGGTTTATAGCTAATTCACCCGGGGAAAGTAAAAGTGCATTCTGTAATTAATCACATCTCCAGTTTGCCCATTATCCTGATCCTTCTCCTCAGATTCCTCTATAGCCCCTGGCCTGTCCATTTTGTGGCTCCTTAACTACCAGGTCAGAGGTAGATGAGATGAAGAAGGGAGATGAGAGGCATTCAGATCGACCCGTTTTATTATTTCCTTGGAGGCTCTTGGAGACTGCTTGATGAGTGAATGCTGAGAATAATGGGTGGAATGCATTAGCGGGTGGCTCGTGCCATGATTAATCTGATTCCTGTCCCATTAATGCTACTAATTGGCTACCCCAAGAAGAAAATGTCCCTCAGCTTCAGGGTGTGGGAAAGCGACGCTACCATGTTGTTAGTAGCCGAGATCATTAACTGTTGCCTTTTTTATTTGCCTTTTCTCGAACCAACCAGACCAACGACATTGCTGTGAACACCTCTGTAGAATTAGCTTCGGCTTGGGCTCTCGGAATCAGCCGTTACTCCCCCAACAATAATCTTTTGGAAATCCCCAAAGCCTCTGTAATTATGGAATTTGACGAAGGCTCTGTTGTGGATTTTGTTTCTTCTCTCTTCTCTCTCCCATTCCTATCCCTGTCAGTGCCCGGAAAAGCCGAAAGGATCCAGGAAAACACTGCAGGAGAACACTGGTAAAGTGGTCCTCAGTGAGGGCAGCTCAGGAGCTTGGAGCAGGAGGGAGAGCTCCCCTGACTCATCACAGCACAGGGCACTGGAACCCCAGGAACAGTGCTCAGTTCCTTCCACGGGAGCTCACGTGGAAAATAATCTCACCATGCCAGCTGCAGTTCTCAGACCCTCTGATCCATAACCCAGCACGGCGGGGCGTGGTAGCCTCACAGTGTTTGTTTTAAATTGTGCCATCCTTGGATTCCCCATTTTGGTCTCCGTCCTCCTACTCTCTCCCTGCTTCAGACAGAGGTGTCAGACAAAAGGGCTCAACTTGGTATCACTGGAAACCCGGCCAGTAGCTCATCAGCTCGTCTTCCAGGCAGGTTGCTGCGATCCTGGCAGGCCTGACGGTGAGGCCTGTGAGCTGGAATGAGCTGCGCTGAGAAACTGACCTCTCCAGTGGGCAGGATGGAGCCACCCATTGAGGCTGAAGACTCGTGTGTGTTCTCATGATCCGATGACCCAGGGAAAAAATAAAACCAAATCAAACCAACCAACCCTGTCTGCCAGGAGGACAGAAAGAATGCCCCAAATTTACTATTTTACTTTTATTTTTTGAGACATGGTCTCGCTCTGTCACCCAGGCTGGAGGGCAGTGGCACCGTCATGGCTCACTGCAGCCTCAACCTCCTGGGCTCAAGTGACCCTTTGCCTCAGTCCCCTGAGTAGCTGGGACTACAGGTGTGTGCCACCACACGCGGCTAATTTTTTGTATTTTTTGTACAGATGGGATTTTGTCTTGTTACCTAAGCTGGTCTTGATCTCCTGGCTTCGATCTGCCTGCCTCAGACTGCCAGAGTGCTGAGATTACAGGTATGAGCCACCGTGCCTGGTCAGAATGTCCCAAATTTATTTAAGGAAATAATCAGTTTGGCATTTTTTTAAAAAATTGGTGCAGGAAAATACACACGTTGGGTATGACACCTTTAAAGCTGGATATTTTTCTCTGTCTTGTCTCAGGTGTCTTTCAGATGTCCCTTTATTGTCTAAACTTCTGACGACTTGTGCTCAGTGTCTGGCAATCTTGAGAACTCTTCTCTGCGTGCAAAGTCGCATATTTTTAACACAAAGGAAATGAGCAATCTTTTGGGATGCTTTTATGGGTATCTAAAAAGTCCATTATTTTGCCTGTTTTGATGTCCTTATCAGGAACACAAAGCAGAAACAACTTCCTAAACAAATCTCAGCTACTTGAGACGTCGTATGTTCTATCTTTTCACACTTCTTTTTTGTTAGCTACATTATATCTTATAGCAAATTCATTTCTTGGCCCTTTGTTCACAGAGCAATGCAGAACATCTTAGTCCCTGTGATAATAATAGTAATTATCAGTTATGCAGAGCCTTGCCTCGCCAAAGCCCTTGGCAATCATCAATTAGCTAATTCAAACAGCATCCCTGTGAGAGGACTGCTCTTGAGAATATTATAATGCACAACCATTATGTGCTGACCTTTGACTTTGCTGTGAGAAGGACCAGGTTGACGGCTGAATTTAAAGGCTGGTATAATTTCCATTCATCCTAGTGGATGCTTCAGTGAGTGCATCTTTTCAAGTTAAATATAGTTAATAAATACACATTTTGAAGTGGTTTATATACATTTCTGTGCCTTCGTAACCAAACAGGTCTTATTTCTCCTGCATCAATGCACACTTTGTCTTACCCATTTTACGTTGCAAATGTATATTCCAGGAACATTTCCTAAGTGCCTATTTTGAGCCAGCACAATGCTGGCCTAGGACCTCTGAACACAAATATAGGAGAAACACAATTCTGTTTTCAAGAAATTCACGCGCTAGTTTTGAGACGCATAGACCAATGGTCATAATACAACCTATGCGATCCACACAAAAGTTAAGTAAAAAGCGCAGTGGGGACTCTGGGGTGTGATCAGTAGGACATCACATGTTCACGTCAAGAGGGTGGGTCGTGTTCACTGTGCCCTCTGATGCCACCAGAAGGCAACAGAAGTAAATAACACATCAAAACTCAGAGGCCCAATAGAGCAGGGCTTATATGAGAATTTTACGCATTAGAAACAAATATGAGAACAGAAAAAAGTTGAAAGTTAATGAGTGAAGTGCACACCTTCAGATGTAAGAAAAAGAGCAAGACCCAACCTCATAAAAGTTGGAAGAAGGCAACAGTAATGACAAAGGCCTTAAAGCTTCATCAATAGCAGAGATAAAGCAAAGCCTTAACAGAGCCAGAAGTTTTTAAAACGACCGACGAAAGGAGCATGATTTTGGCAACTTTGATCGAGATGAGAAAGGGAAAGGAAAATTGGTGATATTAGAGAATAACATGTTGGCATAATCGCAATTGTATGAGATATCAAAATTAGAAAATATGAAAAATTTTGTTAGTTTTTAGTAATCCAAGATAAAATGGAATACTCTATAAATCTCAGATAAAATGCAAATCTTATAAAAGTAGAAAAATTATTAAATAGTATATTTTGCCAAAAGTGAATTAAGAATGTAGAGGTCTGAATAATTTTCTCAAGGAAATTGAGTTAGTAGTTTAAAAGATTGCCACAGGGATTTTCCAGCCCCAGATAAGTTTACAGGTGAGTGCTAGCACTCAGATAATTACATGGATGACTTCTGCCAAGATTCTAAAGACAGTTTGTGTGAGTCTGTTCTCACATTGCTATAAAGAAATACCCGAAACTGGGTAATTCACAAAGAAAGGAGGTTTAACTGACTCACAGTTCCACCTGCCTGAGGAAGCCTCAGGAAACTTACAATCATGGTGAAAGGCACATCTTCACAGGGTGGCAGGAGAGAGAAGGAGTGCCAGCAGGGGAAATGCCAGATGCTTATAAAACCATCAGATCTCTTGAGAACTCACTCACTATCACGAGAACAGCATGGGGGAAACGGCCCCCAGGATTCAATTACCTCCCACCACGTCCTCCTATGACATGTGGGGTTTATGGGGAATACAATTCAAGATGAGATTTGGGTGGGGACACAGCCAAAGGATATCACAGTTCCAATTTTACACAAGTGGAAAAACAAAACAGAATAGAAGGAGGGGGCATTTTATTCACCTAATTTAATGAGCAGTGCAATCTCGATGCCAAAGTCACAGGACAGTAGTAGAAAAGAAAATGGCAGGACAATCTCAATGATATGTGCAATTCCAAAACCAAAAGCATAGTGTTAGCAAAGGGAAGTCAACATCATTTTACAGATATGCACATTTCCAAGTCAGTTTGGTTCTCTACTGCAAAGATGGAGGAGTAGTAGAAAACATTTAAATGTTATTCAGCTCAATAACAGATTAAAGAGAAAATGTGATTATCTCAATTGATTCAGCAGCTTTCACTTATTATATATAATTCTATAATTTCACTTATTAATTATTAATATAATTAATAAAAGAGAGCTCTTAGTACAAGAAGACTTTCTTTTTTTTAAATTTATTATTATTATACTTTAAGTTTTAGGGTACATGTGCACATTGTGCAGGTTAGTTACATATGTATACGTGTGCCATGCCGGTGCGCTGCACCAACTAACTCGTCATCTAGCATTAGGTATATCTCCCAATGCTATCTCTCCTCTCTCCCCCGACCCCACAACAGTCCCCAGAGTGTGATGTTCCCCTTCCTGTGTCCATGTGTTCTCATTGTTCAATTCCCACCTATGAGTGAGAATATGCGGTGTTTGGTTTTTTGTTCTTGCGATAGTTTACTGAGAATGATGATTTCCAATTTCATCCATGTCCCTACAAAGCACATGAACTCATCATTTTTTATGGCTGCATAGTATTCCATAGTGTATATGTGCCACATTTTCTTAATCCAGTCTATCATTGTTGGACATTTGGATTGGTTCCAAGTCTTGGCTATTGTGAATAATGCCGCAATAAACATACATGTGCATGTGTCTTTATAGCAGCATGATTTATAGTCCTTTGGGTATATACCCAGTAATGGGGTGGCTGGGTCAAATGGTATTTCTAGTTCTAGATCCCTGAGGAATCGCCACACTGACTTCCACAATGGTTGAACTAGTTTACAGTCCCACCAACAGTGTAAAAGTGTTCCTCTTTCTCCACATCCTCTCCAGCACCTGTTGTTTCCTGACTTTTTAATGATGGCCATTCTAACTGGTGTGAGATGGTATCTCATTGTGGTTTTGATTTGCATTTCTCTGATGGCCAGTGATGGTGAGCATTTCTTCATGTGATTTTTGGCTGCATAAATGTCTTCTTTTGAGAAGTGTCTGTTCATGTCCTTCGCCCTCTTTTTGATGGAGTTGTTTGTTTTTTTCTTGTAAATTTGTTTGAGTTCATTGTAGATTCTGAATATTAGTCCTTTGTCAGATGAGTAGATTACAAAAATTTTCTCCCATTTTGTAGGTTGCCTGTTCACTCTGATGGTAGTTTCTTTTGCTGTGCAGAAGCTCCTTAGTTTAATTAGATCCCATTTGTCAATTGTGGCTTTTGTTGCCATTGCTTTTTGTGTTTTAGACATGAAGTCCTTGCCCATGCCTATGTCCTGAATGGTAATGCCTAGGTTTTCTTCTAGGGTTTTTATGGTTTTAGGTCTAACGTTTAAGTCTTTAATCCATCTTGAATTGATTTTTGTATAAGGTGTAAGGAAGGGATCCAGTTTCAGCTTTCTACATATGGCTAGCCAGTTTTCCCAGCACCATTTATTAAATAGGGAATCCTTTCCCCATTGCTTGTTTTTCTCAGGTTTGTCAAAGATCAGATAGTTGTAGATATGCGGCGTTATTTCTGAAGGCTCTGTTCTGTTCCATTGATCTATATCTCTGTTTTGGTACCAGTACCATGCTGTTTTGGTTACTGTAGCCTTGTAGTATAGTTTGAAGTCAGGTAGTGTGATGCCTCCAGCTTTGTTCTTTTGGCTTAGGATTGACTTGGCTATGCGGGCTCTTTTTTGGTTCCATATGAACTTTAAAGTAGTTTTTTCCAATTCTGGGAAGAAAGGCATTGGTAGCTTGATGGGGATGGCATTGAATCTGTAAATTACCTTGGGCAGTATGGCCATTTTCACAAAACTGATTCTTCCTACCGATGAGCATGGAATGTTCTTCCATTTGTTTGTATCCTCTTTTATTTCCTTGAGCAGTGGTTTGTAGTTCTCCTTGAAGAGGTCCTTCACATCCCTTGTAAGTTGGATTCCTAGGTATTTTCTTCTCTTTGAAGCAATTGTGAATGGGAGTTCACTCATGATTTGGCTCTGTGTTTGTCTTTTGTTGGTGTATAAGAATGCTTGTGATTTTTGTACATTGATTTTGTATCCTGAGACTTTGCTGAAGTTGCTTATCAGCTTTAGGAGATTTTGGGCTGAGACAATGGGGTTTTCTAGATATACAATCATGTCATCTGCAAACAGGGACAATTTGACTTCCTCTTTTCCTAATTGAATACCCTTTATTTCCTTCTCCTGCCTAATTGCCCTGGCCAGAACTTCCAACACTATGTTGAATAGGAGTGGTGAGAGAGGGCATCCCTGTCTTGTGTCAGTTTTCAAAGGGAATGCTTCCAGTTTTTGCCCATTCAGTTTGATATTGTCTGTGGGTTTGTCATAGGTAGCTCTTATTATTTTGAGATATGTCCCATGAATACCTAATTTATTGAGAGTTTTTAGAATGAAGGGTTGTTGAATTTTGTCAAAGGCCTTTTCTGCATCTATTGAGATAATCATGTGGTTTTTGTCTTTGGTTCTGTTTATATGCTGGATTACATTTATTGATTTGCATATATTGAACCAGCATTGCATCCCAGGGATGAAGCCCACTTGATCATGGTGGATAAGCTTTTTGATGTGCTGCTGGACTCGGTGTGCCAGTATTTTATTGAGGATTTTTGCATCAATGTTCATCAAGGATATTGGTCTAAAATTCTCTTTTTTGGTTGTGTCTCTGCCCGCCTTTGGTATCAGGGTGATGCTGGCCTCATAAAATGAGTTAGGGAGGATTCCCTCTTTTTCTATTGATTGGAATAGTTTCAGAAGGAATGGTACCAGTTCCTCCTTGTACCTCTGGTAGAATTCGGCTGTGAATCCATTTGGTCCTGGACTCTTTTTGGTTGGTAAGCTATTGATTATTGCCACAATTTCAGATCCTGTTATTGGTCTATTCGGAGATTCAACTTCTTCCTGGTTTAGTCTTGGGAGAGTGCATGTGTCGAGGAATGTATCCATTTCTTCTAGATTTTCTAGTTTATTTGCGTAGAGGTGTTTGTAGTATTCTCTGATGGTAGTTTGTATTTCTGTGGGATCGGTGGTGATATCCCCTTTATCATTTTTTATTGCGTCTATTTGATTCTTCTCTCTTTTTTTCTTTATTAGTCTAGCTAGTGGTCTATCAATTTTGTTGATCCTTTCAAAAAACCAGCTCCTGGATTCATTAATTTTTTGAAAGGTTTTTTGTGTCTGTATTTCCTTCAGTTCTGCTCTGATTTTAGTTATTTCTTGACTTCTGCTAGCTTTTGAATGTGTTTGCTCTTGCTTTTCTAGTTCTTTTAATTGTGATGTTAGGGTGTCAATTTTGGATCTTTCCTGCTTTCTCTTGTGGGCATTTAGTGCTATAAATTTCCCTCTACACACTGCTTTGAATGCGTCCCAGAGATTCTGGTATGTTGTGTCTTTGTTCTCGTTGGTTTCAAAGAACATCTTTATTTCTGCCTTCATTTTGTTTTGTACCCCGTAGTCATTCAGGAGCAGGTTGTTTAGTTTCCATGTAGTTGAGCAGTTTTGAGTGAGATTCTTAATCCTGAGTTCTAGTTTCATTGCACTGTGGTCTGAGAGATAGTTTGTTATAATTTCTGTTCTTTTACATTTGCTGAGGAGAGCTTTACTTCCAAGTATGTGGTCAATTTTGGAATAGGTGTGGTGTGGTGCTGAAAAAAATGTATATTCTGTTGATTTGGGGTAGAGAGTTCTGTAGATGTCTATTAGGTCTGCTTGGTGCAGAGCTGAGTTCAATTCCTGGGTATTGTTGTTGACTTTCTGTCTCGTCGATCTGTCTAATGTTGACAGTGGGGTGTTAAAGTCTCCCATTATTAATGTGTGGGAGTCTAAGTCTCTTTGTAGGTCACTCAGGACTTGCTTTATGAATCTGGGTGCTCCTGTATTGGGTGCATATATATTTAGGATAGTTAGCTCTTCTTGTTGAATTGATCCCTTTACCATCATGTAATGGCCTTCTTTGTCTCTTTTGATCTTTGTTGGCTTAAAGTCTGTTTTATCAGAGACTAGGATTGCAACCCCTGCCTTTTTTTGTTTTCCATTTCCTTGGTAGATCTTCCTCCATCCTTTTACTTTGAGCCTATGTGTGTCTCTGCACGTGAGATGGGTTTCATGAATACAGCACACTGATGGGTCTTGACTCTTTATCCAATATGCCAGTCCGTGTCTTTTAATTGGAGCATTTAGTCCATTTACATTTAAAGTTAATATTGTTATGTGTGAATTTGATCCTGTCATTATGATGTTAGCTGGTTATTTTGCTCATTAGTTGATGCAGTTTCTTCCTAGTCTCGATGGTCTTTACATTTTGGCATGATTTTGCAGCGGCTGGTACCGGTTGTTCCTTTCCATGTTTAGCGCTTCCTTGAGGAGCTCTTTTAGGGCAGGCCTGGTGGTGACAAAATCTCTCAGCATATGCCTGTCTGTAAAGTATGTTATTTCTCCTTCACTTATGAAGCTTAGTTTGGCTGGATATGTAATTCTGGGTTGAAAACTTTTTTCTTTAAGAATGTTGAATATTGGCCCCCACTCTCTTCTGGCTTGTAGGGTTTCTGCCGAGAGATCCACTGTTAGTCTGATGGGCTTCCCTTTGTGGGTAACCCGACCTTTCTCTCTGGCTGCCCTTAACATTTTTTCCTTCCTTTCAACTTTGGTGAATCTGACAATTATGTGTCTTGGAGTTGCTCTTCTCGAGGAGTATGTTTGTGGCGTTCTCTGTATTTCCTGAATCTGAATGTTGGCCTGCCTTGCTAGATTGGGGAAGTTCTGCTGGATAATATCCTGCAGAATGTTTTCCAACTTGGTTCTATTCTCCCCATCACTTTCAGGTACACCAATCAGACGTAGATTTGGTCTTTTCACGTAGTCCCATATTTCTTGGAGGCTTTGCTCATTTCTTTTTATTCTTTTTTCTCTAAACTTCCCTTCTCACTTCATTTCATTCACTTCATCTTCCATCGCTGATACCCTTTCTACCAGTTGATAGCATCGGCTCCTGAGGCTTCTGCATTCTTTACGTAGTTCTCGAGCCTTTGTTTTCGGCTCCATCAGCTCCTTTAAGCAGTTCTCTGTATTGGTTATTCTAGTTATACATTCTTCTAAACTTTTTTCATAGTTTTCCACTTCTTTGCCTTTGGTTTGAATTTCCTCCCGTAGCTCGGAGTAATTTGATCGTCTGAAGCCTTCTTCTCTCAGCTCATCAAAGTCATTCTCCGTCCAGCTTTGTTCCGTTGCTGGTGAGGAACTGCGTTTCTTTGGAGGAGGAGAGGCGCTCTGCTTTTTAGAGTTTCCAGTTTTTCTGCTCTGTTTTTTCCCCATCTTTGTGGTTTTATCTACTTTTGGTCTTTGATGATGGTGATGTACAGATGGGTTTTGGTGTGGATGTCCTTTCTGTTTGTTAGTTTTCCTTCTAACAGACAGGACCCTCAGCTGCAGGTCTGTTGGAGTACCCTGCCGTGTGAGGTGTCAGTGTGCCCCTGCTGGGGGGTGACTCCCAGTTAGGCTGCTTGGGGGTCAGGGGTCAGAGACCCACTTGAGGAGGCAGTCTGCCGGTTCCCATATCTCCAGCTGCGTGCTGGGAGAACCACTGCTCTCTTCAAAGCTGTCAGACAGGGACATTTAAGTCTGCAGAGGTTACTGCTGTCTTTTTGTTTGTCTGTGCCCTGCCCCCAGAGGTGGAGCCTACAGAGGCAGGCAGGCCTCCTTGAGCTGTGGTGGGCTCCACCCAGTACGAGCTTCCCGGTTGCTTTGTTTACCTAAGCAAGCCTGGGCAATGGCACGCCCCCCCCACCCCCAGCCTCGCTGCCTCCTTGCAGTTTGATCTCAGACTGCTGTGCTAGCAATCAGCGACACTCCATGGGTCTAGGACCCTCCCAGCCATGTGTGAGATATAATCTCCTGGTGCGCTGTTTTTTAAGCCCATCGGAAAAGCGCAGTATTCGGGTGGGAGTGACCTGATTTTCCAGGGGCTGTCTGTCACCCCTTTCTTTGACTAGGAAAGGGAACTCCCTGACCCCTTGCACTTCCCGAGTAAGGCAATGACTCGCCCTGCTTCGGCTCGCGCACGGTGCATGCACTCACTGACTTGCGCCCACTCTCTGACACTCCCTAGTGAGATGATCCCGGTACCTCAGATGGAAATGCAGAAATCACCCGTCTTCTGCGTCGCTCACACTGGGAGGTGTAGACCGGAGCTGTTCCTATTCCGCCATCTTGGCTCCTCCCCACAAGAAGACTTTCTTAACCTCATAAGAGATAACTACAGAAGTCCCACAACAAAAAGAGTCTCAATAGAAAATATAGATGCATTTATTTAAGTAAGGAAGACAAACAAGAATGTCTCCTTTCATGGTACCCCTGTAACATTTTATTGGAGGGCCTAGCAAGTGTTTCTGCAAACAAACAGCAATCATAAGATATAATTTAAAAATCATATGAGCAACAATGTTATCAAGTATCTTGGCATAAAACTAATGATATATGTGCAAAACTGTACACAAATGTGCCAAACATTTATTAAAAAGCATTAACGATTATCTTAAGATATTCCACATCCACGGGTAGTACTCAATATTAAAGTGCTTTCAAGTGTACCCCCAATAATCTATAGATTAATTTTAATTCCAAAATCCAAGCAGTGTTTTTCATATAGATGTTGCACAGATTTTAGTATTTACAAGGAGTAAAAGGTTAAAAATAATCAAGATAATATTGATAAGGAGAATAAAGCAGAGAGAGTCGCAACACCCGTCATGAAGTTAAAATAGTCAAGTCAGTGAGGACTGATGCCGGGGACAGAGAGCCCCGCCATGTATGCAGGTGTTTGCAGCCCCCATGTGGTTAAATAAATGACTTACTCCTAGGTGTGTAGTCCAGAGACAGGAAACACAGGTTCATACAAAAACTTGTACAAACATGTTCATAAGCAGCAATATTTATAATAGCCAAATAGTGGAAATAACCCAAATTCTCAGCAGATAATGAATGGATAGATAAAGGAAATGTGGTATAACCTTAGGATGGAAGATGATTTGGCAATGAAAATAAAATACTGATCTGTGCTATGTTGGATAACCCTGAAAAGATCATGTTAGTGAAAAAGCCAGTGACAAAAGGCCTTGTATTGTGTGATTCCATTTATATGAAATGTCCAGTATCAGCAAATCTATAGGGACAGAAAGTAGATTAGTGGTTTCCTAGGACTAGAGTGGGGGATCCAGAGATTGAGCGGCCATGGCTGAGTACCATGTTTCTTTTCCAGGTAGTGAAAATGTTTTATAACTGGTAGTGGTGATGGATGCATAATTCTGTGAATATACTAGAAACCATTCAATTGTACACCTTACATGGGTGAATTCTACGGAATGTAAATTTCCTTCTTAATAAGACTGTGAAAACAGAACAAAACAAACCAACTCAACAAAACCAATGAACCAACCAACCAATAAACAAGGAGCTCATGAGGGGAAATCTAAGTAAAATCAAGGCCTTATGCACAAGATGGGTGGGGAAGGAAGAGTGCCTGTGTGAACTGTATTGTTGCAGGGGAGAAAGGGATGCTGATGGCCTCAAGTTTTCAGCTAAGGCTTTGTCAAAACAGCACCCATAGCTGATGTGAAAACAAACCCCAAAGTCATTATTTTGAGGGATTCAAATAGGAAATTTCTTCAAAGCACCTTGATAATTAAGAAACAAGCCTGATGGGATTATCTGAAATCTACAAACTCTGATGGGATTGTTGATTCCCATTGTTAGTATAATTTGTAAGAATAGTCCAACTTTCAAGGGTTTTGTTCGTTACGGTTTTCCTCATTTCTAGTTAGAATAAATTACATTGCTATATTATTCTCCTTAAATCTTGGCTTTTTAACAGAATAGCAGCTGCAAGGAAAGTTAATTTTGGCTTGTTTCAGAGCTCCTAGACAGCAATCCTTCTTACTCCTTTGCCTCTTATCTGCACCAATTTCCGGGTAAAATACAGGCCAGCAAATCCTAGAATTTGCATTCATCTGAAGAAGTAGAATGGGTTTAATGTAAATTAACACATGGATAAATTTGAACATAATGCAATTTTGCACTGATAAAATCTCCTCATAGTGCCATATCTCACTGTAATGATAAGAGAACATAATATGATATCACATTTTGTAGTAATATGTGTATGATAATTGTGCTTTCCAGAAATATTCTACCTAATTGGATATATTATGGCAATTTAGAAATAAGCATGCTTGATATGCCAACAAGTGATACGGATCAAATTTTAAACATGAATGTTTGGAGAACAAATTTCTGTACACAAAACCCCATCTTCTCCTTCTCTCACAATGTAGAAATACAGCAACAAGGTGGTTGTAGTGCTATTAAAAAGAAAGTTTTGGCTTTTTCTGGAACAAATTTTTGTGTAACGTGTAGTTGTCTTCTGTAAGAGAGGTTTATTAGAAATTTGTGCTTGTATCTGTAGATCGAATGAGAAACATCCTTAAGCAAAATTATCATTGTTATTATTTCTGATAGCCAAGAGAAATCAAATATCCAAGCAGGGTAATTGTCCAAAATTACTCTACGCACATGTTTTCTTAGCACTGGACTGAAAGCCCGCCCCAGTTGCAGGCCAGGATAAAAGAGCACTCCCATTCCACATCCAGGGCTGTCGATTGGTGTCTTCTCAGTGTTTGAAATCATCCACTGTGCATCCATTAATAAACTGTAAACTCTTTCAGGGCCGACGTTTTAGATTTTTAAAATCAATGCTGTCCTCCACACTAGAGTCTTTCCTGGCACAGGACTGAGAACCCCACAGAGCTCAAGATTGTGGACTCTGGAGCCCTGCTGCCTGAGATGCAGGTGTCGCTGGCTGGCTTTTGCTCAAGGGGTCATTTGTAGGATTAAATGGGAAAATGTATGAAAACACTTAGAACAGCACCTGGCCTGAGGTAAGAAATATACAAGGCTTGGGTATTTACAAATGCTAGTAACTTTTGTGTGTGTTGCTCCTATATCCTGCAAGCTTTATAAGCTCTCCCATCAACCTCTTTTGCTTCCATCTCACTCGCTGACTCATCTGCTTAGGTCCTGCCATTCCACCATGTGGGCCATCATCCTGACTCTCAAAGTATCCTCATGTGCATCTCTGGAATTCCCTTTAAGCTACTTCCTGTTAAATTTTTTTTTATTTTAAAATATTGAATTGTCAAATTAACATTGAATATTTTTAAGGTGTACAGTGTGATGATTTGATATGCATATACATTGTGTAGTGATTACCACAAACAAGTTAATTAAAACACCCATCACAAATTCCAATGCCATTCTTTACAAAAATAGAAAACATATTCTAAAATTTGCATGGAACCACAGAAGACCCTATATAGCCAAAGCAATTTTGAGAAAGAAGAATAAAGCTGGAGCCATCACATTTCCTGATTTCAAAGCATATCATGAAGCTACAGTATTCAAAACAGTGTGGCACTGGCATAAAAACAGATGCACAGACCAACGGAATAGAATAGAGTCTAGAAACAAACTCAGGTGTATGCTGTCCATTAATCTTTGACAAGGGCACCAAGAACACACAGTGTAGAAAAGAAAGTCTCTTCAACAAACAGTGTGACAGGAACTGGATGTCCACATGCAGAAGAAAAAAACTGGACTCTTATCTTGCATCATACACAAAAATCCACTGGAAATGGATAAAGGCTTAAGTATGAGATCTGAGACCACAAACCTTCTTGAAGAAAACTTAAGGGAAAGCTTCTTGGCATTAGTCTTGGCAATGGTTTTTTAGAGAAGACGCCAAAAGCACAGGTAATAAAAATGAAAACAAACAAGTGGAACTACATCAAACTAAAAAGCTCCTGCACAGCAGAACACTTTAACGTACTTGCTTTAACAGGAACCGGGCTCTCCCAGGCATTCAAGTCTTTCCCTGAAATCCTCCCAAGTCCTGGATTTCTTTTTTATTTCTTTAGCCCAGAAGTCCCCAACCTTTTTGGCATTAGGGACCGGTTTAGTGGGAGACAATTTTCCACGAACCCGGTGTGCAGGGGAATGGTTTAGGGGTGATTCAAGCACATTACATTTATTGTGCACATTATTTCTATTCTTATTACTTTGCAATATATAACAAAATAATTACACAACTCACCATTTTGCATAGAATCAGTGGGAGCCCTGAGTTTGTTTTCCTGCAACTAGATGGTCTCATCTGGGGGTGATGGGAGACAGCGACAGATCATCAGGCATTAGATCCTTGTAAGGAGCACATAACCTAGATCCCTCACATGTGCCGTTTACCATAGGGTTCGCACTCCCATGAGAATCTAAGGCTGCCGCTGATCGGACAGGAGGAGGAGCTCAGGAGGTCATGTGAGCCATGGGGAGGGGCTGTAAATACAGAGGATGCCCCCACTCACCTCCTGCTCTGCAGCCCAGTTCCTCACAACAATAAAGGCTGAGGAAATGTAAGTGTCAATCAAGCAATGAAAAAAAAAAGGAATTCTACATCTCAAGAATAAAGACGTTTTAGATGAATAGAATGACCACAAATGCTCACTTGAAGACATAATCTTCTAAATGATGTACTTACGTGGAAAAAGTGATCTACAAAAGAAGTTTTAAAGGCAACAAAAATAGAGGATTTTGGGTATACTAAACACTGCATAGAGATATTACTGCCAACCTTGTGGGGTTAAAACTAATAATTCCATTTATTATATGGATGTGTGTATGTGTATAGACATACACATCTGAATAATGTTTATTATGTGTACACACACATCCGTATAGTAAACA
The DNA here is from genome assembly GCF_000001405.40 of Homo sapiens. Classification (NCBI taxonomy): domain Eukaryota; kingdom Metazoa; phylum Chordata; class Mammalia; order Primates; family Hominidae; genus Homo; species Homo sapiens. The sequence continues at coordinate 493,827 of NT_187576.1, forward strand.
CTGCATAGAAATATTAGTGCCAACCTTGTGGGGTTAAAAATAATTTAGAGCAACACTTAACGGACAACTGTGCCTTAGTCCAAGACTTCAGGTTTGCACAGGTCCTCTCATTTGGGATGAGATAGGAGAAGGGCAGTGGAAAGAGAGAGACAGGGGGCATGGAAATGCCAGTCAACAAGCATGCAAACATCAGTGTCTTTCATCACCTCTTGGACATCCTGAGCTCTTAGAAAGAGGAAATTTGAATATCACCTTTCTCTTACTTCCTCTGTTGTCTCTATTGAGGCAGCTGGAGATAAAGGCAGCTTCCCTGCAGGGAGTGGCGCCCATGGCGGGTCTTGCCCTGGTTGCTGTGTTGATGTGATGATTGGTTGTGGTCAGTTCATTCTTTCTTCCTTCCTCTACACCTGCTACTTGGCATTGTTTTACAAGGAAGTGCTACCCCTTCTACTCACTTATGTACATTTATTCCATTAACTATTTTAGGTATGGACTTGTGGGTATTTATCTTATTCTGCGGGTTATGATGCAATACTATCATTATTGATTTCCAATTGATCCAGCTTTGGTGACCGGGGGCCCCTCTGGCTTTGGAGTGACTCCAGTGTTCCTCCAAACATTCTCCCAGCCTTCTTTTTTTCCCCCTTTTTCAGGGGTGTGGGTATAGCCTTACTTTGCAGCACCACACGTTATTTCCAGACTCAGGTCGTGGAGTCAGCCACTTCTCCAAGCAGACCTGATCCCTTTTATAAGAGAATGGCTTTTATAAATCATGAATTTTACATAGGTGTGCTCGTTGCTACTGAGGTATCATCATTTCTAGGCTGCTCAGTGGACAGTTGTGGAAATAAAGGCATGTATATTATTAACCTGTACACATACACACACTTCCGTATTTATTTCTATGTGTATCTATGTCTGTATCTATATCCATGTATCAGAGAGTGAGTCAATACCGACACTTCCAATTTTAATCCGACACTAGAGGAATCATTCCAGCAAGCCCCCTTCCTTATTTGTAACTTCCTTTTCTGACAGTGAGAACTGGACTCTCATTATCCACAATATATTTACTTATTTGTTCTATTCCTGGCATAGACACAAAGCGGGTTCAGAATTGCTGATGTATCCTTCTCGGAGAAGCAAATCTACTGAGCAGAGCTCAGCCTTTGTGCAGAGTCCTCTCTTCATCAGCCTCTTCTTAGTCTGTTCAGGCGGCTCTGACAAAGTATTACACACGGGGTGACTTGTCGACAGCAGACATTTATTTTGTGGAGGTTGAGGTTGGAGCTCAGGGTGCCAGCATGGTTGGCTTTGGGTTGGTTCAGGCTCAGGGCTTAAAGACTCTTGTGCTTTTTGGGATTGTTGTAAGTTTTTCTGCTATCGGTTTACGTGTTTTTTGTGAAGTTTACTTCTTTGTATTTGATCTTTGTGCTATTTTTTTCTACCTTTGTGTTCTCTGGCTCATTATAGTTTGGTATACAAAGGCTTTTGACTTTTATATGTTAATTTTATGTGTATTCTCATGATTTGTGGGAAATATATTCTACAGACTCACTACAAACCCTGGATTAGCAAACACCAAACCATTGCTCCTGAGGGAAATACTAGGTTAGATTCCTCTGAGCTTTTATCTCAACGTATTCTTCTACTGATCAATACACAAGCTTGTTTAATGTGTTTCTGTTTTACTTCCTGTTTATTGGCAACCAGCACTCTATTTATTATAATTATTATTTTATTATTTTTACTGTAGTCAGAGCAGATAACAGAAGATGTATCTTTTTAACAAATTTTTAAGTGTGCAGTACGGTATCATTAAGTGAAAGCCAAATATTGTGCAGAAGATGTCTAGAACTTTTTCATCTTGCGTAAGTGAGACTTTGAAGAGAACCTGGAGGACATGATGGTAAGTGAAACGGCCAGTCATAGAAGAAAAATACTGTGTGAGTTTTCCTAATTGAGATATCTGAACTACTCAGATTTGTGGATGCAGAGAATAGAATGGTGGCTTCCAAAGGCTGGAGGAGGAAATGGAAGTTGCTGTTGAATGTGTATTTCTGTTTAAAGACAACTGATTTAATATCTATTGTTGACTCCTTCTCTTTGAACTCATGGCCACCATCACTATAACTCCTGCCTGCTCGAGCAAAAGTCTTTTCCATAAAGCACGTAACAGCCTTCATGTACTTAGAAGCAGCCGTCAGCACTTCAGTATTGATTGGGGGCCATTTAAACAGTGAAATCACCAACATACACACTCACACATGCAAAAGCAGGGCACTACATCCACTGTGAAAAGGACACGCGTCTCACCGTGTGGAGCCTTGTTCAACCTCAGCTGGGCGGCTTGAGGCTTTCTGCCCTGTGCACCTGTGTGAGTGACCACCAGAGAGCCGTGGTGTACAATGTTATTATTTTATATGTATATAGATTGTATAGTGATTACCACAAACAAGTTAATGGGGCAGCGGTTGCAGAAAACAGTCTGGTGGTTCCTCAAAAAAACTGAAGATAGAACTACCATATAACCTGCCAGTCTCACTTCTGAGTATGTACCTAAAAGAATTCAATCAGTGTCTTAAAGAGATATTTTATATCCACGTTCATAGCAACACCATTCGTAACAGCCAGAGGGTGGAAGCAACCCAGGTGTCCATCAATGGATGAATAGATCCACATACTGTGGCATCTATGTGCAACAGAACAGGATTCAGCCTTAAAAAGGCATCTATGTGGCTGGGCGTGGTGGCTCATGCCTGTAATCCCAGGACTTTGGGAGGCTGAGGCGGATGGATCACCTGAGGTCAGGGGCTTGAGACAAGCCTGGCCAACATGGTAATACCCCGTCTCTACTAAAAATACAAAAATTAGCTGGACATGGTGGTAGGTGTCTGTAATCCCAGCTACTTGGGAGGCTGAGGCGGGAGAATTGCTTGAACCTGGGAGGTGGAGGTTGCAGTGAGCCGAGGTAGCACCACTGCACTCCAGCCTGGGCTACAGAGTGAGACTCCGTCTCAAAATAAATAAACAAATAAATGCAAGTTGCAATGGGAAGACCACCTACAGAGAAAAGAAGACATCACTATTTATTAAAGAAGACATAAAAATTATTAAAATTATATTTAGACTTTAGTTCAGAAAAATATAGATATTAATAAGCTATTTTGGCAGGCTTTCTATTAAAATCACTTTATATTAAAGTGATACTGCTCAGTTATGAAACAATGATTATTTTAAATAATATTTTGTTTATGTTTATATATTTCTTAAGGTATTTTTGAAATATTAAAATGACTTAAGGCAGATCATAAAAGTTACTTGGCGGAGGGATCTCAAGTGATTTGAACAAAATGACTTTAAGCAGTTCCTGTTGCAATATTTTATTTGATAATATTACTTAAATAATAATGATATAATACTTACACAAAAACATCCAGTCCTTTTTTTTAGAAAAGTAATAAAATTGTTATACTTATGTCCTTTTACATCCAAATAATCTTCTACTATGTTTTTCTAGATGTATTCTGCTACACCAAAGTATAGAAGCTTTGAAAGACAAAATCTAGATGTATTCTGCTACACCAAAGTATAGAAGTTTTGAAAGACAAAAATTGCCATATGTAGTATGGAAGAATAGCAATACCGTTTTTAAAAAACGAGGTGCATTAAAGTAAATGTCATATTTGAATGCATTGATCCATAAATGTGGACAATTGAACAGCACACACATTTACTAACCGTGCCGTGTGCTGATGCTAATCTTCTTCGGGTGGCTCCTAGAGAATGAGGTTGGAGTGTGGGGGACTGGGGAGGTGTGGGGGACTGGGGAGGTGTGGAAGGCCTTCACTTTCTTGGTGTTTGCTTGGAGTGGTAGCAAAATGCTTGTCCTTTATTTATTAAAACATGGATAAAATCGCAAGAAAAAGAAAAGAGCTCTTTTGCTTGGTAGCATAATCTTCTAATTTTTTTCGTAATTTCAATGCAAAAATTTGGAATATTTGGGGCAAAATCTTCTCTCTTCTAAGAATACACTTGGTTCTGCAAAACTGCTTCTTCTGTGTCCCAAGCTCTTGCAGACACCCGGGAACCTGGGGGATACCTTTCCTTAGGGGATAACTCTTCCTTAGGAGAGGAACCCAAGACGACTGTGCCTGTTGCCTTTTAACATCTTATATTTGATGCTGAACCCAGAATGAAACTTAGAGTGAGCTCTTTACCATAAAGTGATGGAGTAAGCTCTAAACGAGGTGTGGGCTTTTCTATTTATTGTGCTTGAAGTAAATATGGTCTTGGTAGGGCACAGCTGGGTCTTTGCTGGACTCACATCACAGTACTGGGAGTGATTACTGAGTGTTCATGGGTCCCACGCACTGTTTCCGTGCTTAACATCTGTTAACTCAGCTCTTAGCAGAATCCCAGAGACAGATATTGTTCTATACGTAGCTTTACAGGCAAGGACCGTGAGGTCTGGAGCGCTTCAACAACTTGCCCCGGTATTATAGGGAAGTAACTGCAGGCATCCACCTTGCAACCCTCACCATCTGCCTGCAGGGTGCGTGCTGTTCACCCCTGCGCTGCGCTGCTGTGCTCTGCCCTGCTACGAGGTTGGGCTGGGGTCGGCGAGACTGAGATTCACCACACCCAGTTGTCCTCTGTCTCCATAGACCATCATCATTCCTACTTCCTTGACTTTAGGTGTGGCCTTGTGACTCGTTATAACCGGCGAACTGTGAGTGGAAACCATGGAGAGCGTGATGGGGCTGAGGTATCTGATTGGCTCTCCTGGTCCTACGCTTGCCCTGGAACCCGGAGGAACAGGGCGTGAGGCTGCCGTCATGAGGGGGCGGAGCCTCTGTGAGCCTCTGACGCTGGTGTGGTGGAGGATTCTCAGCTGATTTTAACAAAATGACTTTAAGCAGTTCCTGTTGCAATATTTAACACTACAACCTTAAGGAACTTTGATTTTAAATAATAATAGATCCTATCACATAGTAATAAACATTCTTTCTTCTCTCACATGCGAGAAAAACATGAAGATGCTTGGTATTAAAAAATCACATGTTCAAAATGACTCACGTTTTTCTTTTTATTTTATTTTTATTAATTTATTTTTTAATTTATTTTTTTAAATTATACTTTAAGTTTTAGGGTACATGTGCACATTGTGCAAGTTAGTTACATATGTATACATGTGCCATGCTGGTGTGCTGCACCCAGTAACTCGTCATCTGGCATTAGGTATATCTCCCAATGCTATCCCTCCCCCCTCCCCCACCCCACAACAGTCCCCAGAGTGTGATGTTCCCCTTCCTGTGTCCATGTGATCTCATTGTTCAATTCCCACCTATGAGTGAGAATATGCGGTGTTTGGTTTTTTGTTCTTGCAATAGTTTACTGAGAATGATGATTTCCAATTTCATCCATGTCCCTACAAAGGACATGAACTCATCATTTTTTATGGCTGCATAGTATTCCATGGTGTATATGTGCCACATTTTCTTAATGCAGTCTATCATTGTTGGACATTTGGGTTGGTTCCAAGTCTTTGCTATTGTGAATAATGCCGCAATAAACATACGTGTGCACGTGTCTTTATAGCACCATGATTTATAGTCCTTTGGGTATATACCCAGTAATGGGGTGGCTGGGTCAAATGGTATTTCTAGTTCTAGATCCTTGAGGAATCGCCACACTGACTTCCACAATGGTCGAACTAGTTTACAGTCCCACCAAGAGTGTAAAAGTGTTCCTATTTCTCCACATCCTCTCCAGCACATGTTTTTTCCTGACTTTGGAATGATGGCCATTCTAACTGGTGTGAGATGGTATCTCATGGTGGTTTTGATTTGCATTTCTCTGATGGCCAGTGATGGTGAGCATTTTTTCATGTGGTTTTTGGCTGCATAAATGTCTTCTTTTGAGAAGTGTCTGCTCATGTCCTTCGCCCTCTTTTTGATGGGGTTGTTTGTTTTTTTCTTGTAAATTTGTTTGAGTTCATTGTAGATTCTGGATATTAGCCCTTTGTCAGATGAGTAGGTTGCGAAAATTTTCTCCCATTTTGTAGGTTGCCTGTTCACTCTGATGGTAGTTTCTTTTGCTGTGCAGAAGCTCTTTAGTTTAATTAGATCCCATTTGTCAATTTTGTCTTTTGTTGCCATTGCTTTTGGTGTTTTAGACATGAAGTCCTTGCCCATGCCTATGTCCTGAATGGTAATGCCTAGGTTTTCTTCTAGGGTTTTTATGGTTTTAGGTCTAACGTTTAAGTCTTTAATCCATCTTGAATTGACTTTTGTATAAGGTGTAAGGAAGGGATCCAGTTTCAGCTTTCTACATATGGCTAGCCAGTTTTCCCAGCACCATTTATTAAATAGGGAATCCTTTCCCCATTGCTTGTTTTTCTCAGGTTTGTCAAAGATCAGATCGTTGTAGATATGTGGTGTTATTTCTGAGGGCTCTGTTCTGTTCCATTGATCTATATCTCTGTTTTGGTACGAGTACCATGCTGTTTTGGTTACTGTAGTTTTGTAGTATAGTCTGAAGTCAGATAGTGTGATGCCTCCAGCTTTGTTCTTTTGGCTTAGGATTGACTTGGTGATGTGGGCTCTTTTTTGGTTCCATATGAACTTTAAAGTAGTTTTTTCCAATTCTGTGAAGAAAGGCATTGGTAGCTTGATGGGGATGACATTGAATCTGTAAATTACCTTGGGCAGTATGGCCATTTTCACGATATTGATTCTTCCTACCCATGAGCATGGAATGTTCTTCCATTTGTTTGTATCCTCTTTTATTTCCTTGAGCAGTGGTTTGTAGTTCTCCTTGAAGAGGTCCTTCATCTCCCTTGTAAGTTGGATTCCTAGGTATTTTCTTCTCTTTGAAGCAATTGTGAATGGGAGTTCACTCATGATTTGGCTCTGTGTTTGTCAGTTGTTGGTGTATAGGAATGCTTGTGATTTTTGCACATTGATTTTGTATCCTGAGACTTTGCTGAAGTTGCTTATCAGCTTAAGGAGATTTTGGGCTGAGACAATGGGGTTTTCGAGATATACAGTCATGTCATCTGCAAACAGGGACAATTTGACTTCCTCTTTTCCTAACTGAATGCCCTTTATTTCCTTCTCCTGCCTAATTGCCCTGGCCAGAACTTCCAACACTATGTTGAATAGGAGTGGTGAGAGAGGGCATCCCTGTCTTGTGTCAGTTTTCAAAGGGAATGCTTCCAGTTTTTGCCCATTCAGTATGATATTGGCTGTGGGTTTGTCATAGATAGCTCTTATTATTTTGAAATATGTCCCATCAATACCTAATTTATTGAGAGTTTTTAGCATGAAGCGTTGTTGAATTTTGTCAAAGGCCTTTTCTGCATCTGTTGAGGTAATCATGTGGTTTTTGTCTTTGGCTCTGTTTATATGCTGGATTACATTTATTGATTTGTGTATATTGAACCAGCCTTGCATCCCAGGGATGAAGCCCACTTGATCATGGTGGATAAGCTTTTTGATGTGCTGCTGGATTCGGTTTGCCAGTATTTTATTGAGGATTTTTGCATCAATATTCATCAAGGATATTGGTCTAAAATTCTCTTTTTTGGTTGTGTCTCTGCCCGGCTTTCGTATCAGAATGATGCTGGCCTCATGAAATGAGTTAGGGAGGATTCCCTCTTTTTCTATTGATTGGAATAGTTTCAGAAGGAATGGTACCAGTTCCTCCTTGTACCTCTGGTAGAATTCGGCTGTGAATCCATCTGGTACTGGACTCTTTTTGGTTGGTAAGGTAGTGATTATTGCCACAATTTCAGATCCTGTTATTGGTCTATTCAGAGATTCAACTTCTTCCTGGTTTAGTCTTGGGAGAGTGTATGTGTCAAGGAATTTATCCATTTCTTCTAGATTTTCTAGTTTATTTGCATAGAGATGTTTGTAGTATTCTCTGATGGTGGTTTGTATTTCTGTGGGATCGGTGGTGATATCCCCTTTACCATTTTATAAATGGGTGATATCCCATTTATCATTGCATCTATTTGATTCTTCTCTCTTTTTTTCTTTATTAGTCTTGCTAGCAGTCTATGAATTTTGTTGATCCTTTCAAAAAACCAGCTCCTGGATTCATTAATTTTTTGAAGGGTTTTCTGTGTCTCTGTTTCCTTCAGTTCTGCTCTGATTTTAGTTATTTCTTGACTTCTGCTAGCTTTTGAATGTGTTTGCTCTTGCTTTTCTAGTTCTTTTAATTGTGATGTTAGGGTGTCAATTTTGGATCTTTCCTGCTTTCTCTTGTGGGCATTTAGTGCTATAAATTTCCCTCTACACACTGCTTTGAATGCGTCCCCGAGATTCTGGTATGTTGTGTCTTTGTTCTCGTTGGTTTCAAAGAACATCTTTATTTCTGCCTTCATTTCGTTATGTACCCACTAGTCATTCAGGAGCAGGTTGTTCAGTTTCCACGTAGCTGAGCGGTTTTGAGTGAGATTCTTAATCCTGAGTTCTAGTTTGATTGCACTGTGGTCTGAGAGATAGTTTGTTATAATGTCTGTTCTTCTACATTTGCTGAGGAGAGCTTTACTTCCAAGTATGTGGTCAACTTCGGAATAGGTGTGGTGTGGTGCTGAAAAACATGTGTATTCTGTTGATTTGGGGTGGAGAGTTCTGTAGATGTCTATTAGGTCTGCTTGGTGCAGAGCTGAGTTCAATTCCTGGGTATCCTTGTTGACTTTCTCTCTCGTTGATCTGTCTAATGTTGACAGTGGGGTGTTAAAGTCTCCCATTATTAATGTGTGGGAGTCTAAGTCTCTTTGTAGGTCACTCAGGACTTGCTTTATGAATCTGGGTGCTCCTGTATTGGGTGCATATATATTTAGGATAGTTAGCTCTTCTTGTTGAATTGATCCCTTTACCATCATGTAATGGCCTTCTTTGTCTCTTTTGATCTTTGTTGGCTTAAAGTCTGTTTTATCAGAGACTAGGATTGCAACCCTTGCCTTTTTTTGTTTTCCATTTGCTTGGTAGATCTTCCTCCATCCTTTTACTTTGAGCCTATGTGTGTCTCTGCACGTGAGATGGGTTTCCTGAATACAGCACACTGATGGGTCTTGACTCTTTATCCAATTTGCCAGTCCGTGTCTTTTAATTGGAGCATTTAGTCCATTTACATTTAAAGTTAATATTGTTATGTGTGAATTTGATCCTGTCATTATGATGTTAGCTGGTTATTTTGCTCGTTAGTTGATGCAGTTTCTTCCTAATCTCGATAGTCTTTACATTTTGGCATGATTTTGCAGCAGCCGGTACCGGTGGTTCCTTTCCATGTTCAGCGCTTCCTTCAGGAGCTCTTTTAGGGCAGGCCTGGTGGTGACAAAATCTCTCAGCATTTGCTTGTCCGTAAAGTATTTTATTTCTCCTTCACTTACGAAGCTTAGTTTGGCTGGATATGAAATTCTGGGTTGAAAATTCTTTTCTTTAAGAATGTTGAATATTGGTCCCCACTCTCTTCTGGCTTGTAGAGTTTCTGCCGAGAGATCCACTGTTAGTCTGATGGGCTTCCCTTTTAGTGTAACCCGACCTTTCTCTCTGGCTGCCCTTAACATTTTTTCCTTCATTTCAACTTTGGTGAATCTGACAATTACCTGTGTTGGAGTTGCTCTTCTCGAGGAGTATCTTTGTGGCGTTCTCTGTATTTCCTGAATCTGAACGTTGGCCTGCCTTTCTAGATTGGGGAAATTCTCCTGGATAATATCCTGCAGAGTGTTTTCCAACTTGGTTCTATTCTCCCCATCACTTTCAGGTACACCAATCAGACGTAGATTTGGTCTTTTCACATAGTCCCATATTTCTTGGAGGCTTTGCTCATTTCTTTTTATTCTTTTTTCTCTAAACTTCCCTTCTTGCTTCATTTCATTCATTTCATCTTCCATTGCTGATACCCTTTCTTCCAGTTGATCGCATCGGCTCCTGAGGCTTCTGCATTCTTCACGTAGTTCTCGAGCCTTGGTTTTCAGCTCCATCAGCTCCTTTAAGCACTTCTCTGTATTGGTTATTCTAGTTATACATTCTTCTAAATTTTTTTCAAAGTTTTCAACTTTTTACCTTTGGTTTGAATGTCCTCCCATGGCTCAGAGTAATTTGATCATCTGAGGCCTTCTTCTCTCAGCTCGTCAAAGTCATTCTCCGTCCAGCTTTCTTCCGTTGCTGGTGAGGAGCTGCGTTCCTTTGGAGGAGGAGAGGCACTCTGCTTTTTAGAGTTTCCAATTTTTCTGTTCTGTTTTTTCCCCATCTTTGTGGTTTTATCTACTTTTGGTCTTTGATGATGGTGATGTACAGATGGGTTTTTGGTGTGGATGTCCTTTCTGTTTGTTAGTTTTCCTTCTAACAGACAGGACCCTCAGCTGCAGGTCTGTTGGAGTACCCTGCAGTGTGAGATGTCAGTGTGCCCCTGCTGGAGGGTGCCTCCCGGTTAGGCAGCTCGGGGGTCAGGGGTCAGGGACCCACTTGAGGAGGCAGTCTGCCCCTTCTCAGATCTCCAGCTGCGTACTGGGAGAACCCCTGCTCTCTTCAAAGCTGTCAGACAGGGACATTTAAGTCTGCAGAGGTTACTGCTGTCTTTTTGTTTGTCTGTGCCCGGCCCCCAAGGTGGAGCCTACAGAGGCAGGCAGGCCTCCTTGAGCTGTGGTGGGCTCCACCCAGTTCGAGCTTCCAGGCTGCTTTGTTTACCTAAGCAAGCCTGGGCAATGGCGGGCGCCCCTCCCCCAGCCTGGCTGCCACCTTGCAGTTTGATCTCAGACTGCTGTGCTAGCAATCAGCGAGACTCCGTGGGGTAGGACCCTCTGAGCCAGGTGCGGGATATAATCTTGTGGTGCGCCTTTTTTCAAGCCCGTCAGAAAAGCGCAGTATTCGGGTGGGAGTGACCCGATTTTCCAGGTGCCGTCCGTCACCCCTTTCTTTGATTAGGAAAGGGAACTCCCTGACCCCTTGCACTTCCTGAGTGAGGCAATGCCTCGCCCTGCTTTGGCTCGCGCACGGTGCGCGCACCCATTGACCTGCGCCCACTGTCTGGCGCTCCCTAGTGAGATGAACCCGGTACCTCAGATGGAAATGCAGAAATCACCTGTCTTCTGCGTCGCTCAGGCTGGGAGCTGTAGACTGGAGCTGTTCCTATTCGGCCATCTTGGCTCCTCCCTCCTATTTATTTTTTTTGGAGATGGAGTCTCCTTCTGTCGCCCAGGCTGAAGTGCAGTGGCTGCACGGTTTTCATATGTAAATGTTCAATGATGTTAAATGTTCATGAAGTTTAAACTGGCCAAGTATCCTAGTATAGTATTCAAGGACAGCATAAATAGAATCAGAATAATGACATGATTGAGGACCCATTAGCTCCATGTGAACTTACTCAAAAAACTCTCTATCCCAGAACTTCCCCCAAATTTTACGATGAGATTAGATGAATATTAAACAGCCATTAAAAAACTGTAATACTATCTTTGAGGCATTTTCAATGTCTTTAATAAGATGGCATTAATCTTTTCAGAGGAGACCATTGGTGAGAAATTTTAGGCAAAAATGTTTACTATTAAATCTCTCGTGCTGTTTTTTAAATTTCCTTTTTGTCTTTACACATTTTCTAAATTGAAAATTAAACATTAATTTTTAAACATATGTTTTTGAGGAAGACGGAGTTACCAGTTCATTAGCAAGAGGCATGCCTTTGTAGGGCAGTGAATTGTACTGCAAACAGATTTCCTAAATTATAAATAATATGAACTGAAAGTGTGAATTTGAAATCTCAGATGGTAAGCAATGATTTATTTTAATAATATAAACTAGAAATATCAACTCCATCCCATTCCCTTCACATATAGTGTAAAATGGATACTTTTTTTAGGGAAGACAGCTATAATCCCCTCCTTACCACAAAATAACAAACCTATAAAAATATAACTGTGAAAGCAATCTATTCAAATGTGCAAATGAAGGTACATAAATTTTTTAAAATCAAATATATAATTTCAAAGGAACTAAATCCTATTCCTTCCTAAACATGATTAAGTGGAGGTTGTTTTATGTATTTTACTGATAGGCAATATGAAGCCAGGTCAGAGTATAATTTCTTTATGCCAGACGAGAATGTATAAAATAAGCCGCCTCACAGTCAGAACCTAATTTGTTTCTCTCTGAGTTTGACGTCAATCAACAATTTGGATTTGAATTTCCAAAAGGGCTTAAAGTTTCATTGTTTATCCCTTTCCATCTTGTTCAAGAAGATTTGAAGTTGTTAGAGGATTTTTCTGTGTATTCTTGGGAGTTTGGCAAGAAAAGAAAGCAAGCTATTTTCTATGCTCGGGGATTCTGAGATATGAGTAAATTATGTGATTTCACCATGCAGAAAGTGAGTTTCAGAACCTCTGCTGGAATCTGGCTTGTCTGCAGAGATTTAAAGTCCAAAATGCTCCCCTAAAACCAAGTCACCTCCCATTCTTTTATCTAAGCATGTGATTTATCCTTTTATTTTCCTTCCCTTATATCTCCTGGAAGAACGATACTGTAATGATTATTCTAGCAGACACACATCTAGTAGATACACAGAAACAGAGTCATGCTCCCGGTGTGGTGTCCCCCTGAAAATCTGTCTAATGTAGACACATGAATCAAATTTAAATAAGGACCCTACCTTGCTTCAAAATGAGTTGGAGCATGTTTCATTTAACAAGTGCCAACTTTGAAGACACGGGAGACCTCATTGGCTTAGGGACCATATGGCGTGACAAATACAATCCTGCACCTTCTAAGGGGGGAGCTCAGGAAGAATCACCTCCTGTGGGAGCAGACTCGGCTCCTTTGAGAAGCGGAATGGCTGACTCTACATCAGCCTGGCGAGGCGGTGGCGCCTGTGGTTCCGTCACACAGTCGTCTGGATGTGCTGTGAAGTTACCATGTGAAAGGGACTTGGTTTCGAGTCAGGAGAATTTGGGTAAAGCAGATTGTCCCCCGTAACATGGGTAGGTTTCCTCCAAATAATTGAAAACCAAAGACTGGGGTTACCCAAAGAACACAATCTGCCTAAAAGATTGCATGATCAAGTTTTTGCCTATATTTCTAGCCTGTCAATCTGCCCTGGAGATTTCAGACTTGCTCTCCGTGCTGGGGGCTGTCCATGTCCAGGGCCTGTCCATGCTGGGGGCTGTGCATGATAGGGTCTGTTTATGCTGGGAGAAGTCCACGATGGAGTCTGTCCGTGGTGGGGGCTGTCCATGTCCAGGGTTTGTCCATGCTGGGGGCTGTCCATGATAGGGTCTGTTTATGCTGGGGGCTGTCCACGATGGAGTCTGTCCGTGGTGGGGGCTGTCCATGTCCAGGGTCTGTCCATGCTGGGGGCTGCCTATGCCGCTGTCTGTCCATGGTGGGGTTTGTTTATGCTGGCGGCTGTCCATGCTGGGGGCTGTCCGTCCTGGGATCTGTCCATGCCTGGGCTCTCTGTGCTGGGCACAGTGTGGGGAGGCTGAGTCATGGAGCTTGTAGCAGGAGGATCGGATGAATATCTCTGAACACACTTGGGGATCAGTGAGGGCTGTTATTTGAAGCTGGGGAAGAGTGAGCTGTTTGTGGGCTAGGTTGGGACAGTTTAATGGATGAGAGATCAGGGAAGGAGAGAGGGAAAACAGGAAGAGAAGTCACTGGGCAGGGAGAGGAGGTGGGGTCGGGTATTTATGGTTAGTGACAGGAAGGGAGCTTCATCCTACTGCAGAATAGAAAGACGCTGTGCTTGTCTGTCAGCGATGGGAAGATGGAGCATTTCTGTGGGAACAGCCGTGTCCCATCATCAGCTGCAATGAGGAAAGGAGGGCTGGGAAGTTTGCGGACAGGGGTAGTGTAAGATGCACGTTGCAAAGTTAGAAGCAAAACTTACAAGAGAAATGAAGCAAGACCTCAAGATAATGCAGAATGATGGGAATACAGGGAGTCCAGGGGCATCTACGGCATAAGGACCTTGGTGTCAGAAAGGCAGAAGCTTCAGAGAATTTATTCGGTGTCAGAAGACAGGCTGTTCTGCCTTGACTTTCTTCTGGAGGAAAACACAGGCCAAGGATCCTAGTATAGTATTCAAGGACAGCATAAATAGAATCAGAATAACGACATGAATGAGGACCCATTAGCTCCATGTGAACTTACTCAAAAAGCTCTCTATCCCAGAACTTCCCCCAAATCATCACTAAGAACGTATTAGCTGGTTCACAATATATTAATTAAATAGAGCAGATGAATGCAACACTGTGTGTCTTCCTCTAGAGAAACGATAAAGGGTATACTAAGGCACTGATACTCTGCAGAAACAGGAGGAATGCTTTCTTTCCATTTTTGGTGCTTATTTTAGATTACAGTTTTGCAAAGACGAGTAAGTTTTGTGTAATAAAGAAAAGTATCATTTTATATAAAAGGTATATTTTCTCACTGAAGAGTATTTATAGCAGTAATCGTTCAGAGCTTAGAGGGTTCAGACATTTGCAGGGTCCACAAAATAGGAAATATATATATGTATTATTTATACATATTACATATTATATAATAAAAATTTATATATATACATTTTTATATTTTATATATATATATATATATTTTTTTTTTTTCAGATCCCAACCCGCAAAACAGAGGTCTTCTCTAGCTTGCTGGTGGCAGACCAGGAAAGGTAACTAAAACATTCAATATACTCATGTGCAACGGCAAATATGAATTTAACTTGAATTGAATTTCAAAGATTAGCTTATAAATGAAAAGACTTTTCCCAGAGTTTTAACCTGCAATCTGAAAACTCAAGCTGTGTTCTTCTCTCAGATTTCAAAGCTGATGATAGTGATTCTACAGTATAAATTTATTTGACAGTTCTGAGGATGATTGATAAGGGACATTCCGAGCATCTTAGCTCTGCAGCCTTAAGCAACACGGTCATTTGGTTGAAATATGCAGTTCTAAGGTCAAATGAGTAAGAATACTTTTTATTAATGACAAAAGCTTAAGAGATGATTTTCCTAGCTACTTTCTCTAAGATTTTAAGGTGTTAAAAATTCTCAAAAATATTCTTTCCATTGTATTTGTCATTTCTTAGATATATCTGCAGTGCCCTCTTAATGCTCTTTCAAAATACAGTGCAATAATATAATGCTTTAAAGCAACTATTTCTCCAGGCTTTTTACAGGAGCTAGCCAAATAGGAACCATGGGTCCAGGAATTTCTAACATTCCTATTAAAAAAGGTTGCCCCACTCTCATTCAAGGTAAATGATGAGGCATTGGGTTATTTAATAAATGTTAAATTGGCCAGTAATATTTTAAATTGTCTATGAATGATGGGCAGACAAAAGGAGTATAAGCTGGAAATCATTTATGAGCTACCCCAGTGATCAGTCTTACAAATGTTTCTATAAATGACTCACCATATTTTTCAAAGTGAAAAAAGATTTAATCACCTAATTTACAGCATAATATGACAAGACAAGTTGGAAATAAGTGTGAGTGAGAGAGAAATTGGATAAAGTTTGAAAAGGAGCTTCATTTACCAATGAATATAGTTCCAGTAGTATCACGTGACATCAATATAATAATTGGTAAAAAAACTCACGGGTGTCATCTTTAAAATGTTTTCATAATATTATAAGATAGGCATTGAGTACTGTGCCCACGTTTTTAAGGTGGCAAATCATGCTCAGGAAGGTTCTATCAATAGTAAGTAATAGAAATGGGGTTCAACTCCAGATCTCATGCCCTCAAAACTAGTTTGTGCACCATTATATTCTGTGGTCTCTGCCTTCCTATGTAAGCCTGTAATATGCACATATGGTCATATACACAGTGATAGCATCGATATTTACATACATTCCTTAGAAATGTTTTATGGCTCTGTGTGTGTATGTAGGAGATATGTGATATTTTCATTGTGGGAATTATATTATTAATAGGATTCAATGTGCTTATATTTCCATTTAAAATTCAAATTTAAATTTAAATATTTAAACATTAATTTGACAAGAAAATGAAGGTTGAAGGTAATTGTGTATGAAAAAATCCACTGATGATTATGAAGAAACTTTGGCGAAACTATAATTTTGTGTTTATAGATGCTCCTCCTTATTATCGTTGTATCAATTTGCATGACTGCAAAGTGTATCTTTAATGCAATTATTTCAATCATAATTTATTAAGTGTATCTAATGCATCTGGAAGCTTTTGCTCAGAAGCACTTATCACACCCTAATGTGTTTATATGCTTTGATATTTATCTTTTGTTTAATAAATTTGACGGCAATATCTGTTCTCAGATGGCTTTGAGTCAAAGAGGAAGAAAAAGGTAAGAAATCAGTTACTCTGCAGTGTGCTGTAGCCTGTGATAAAGAACCCTTCTGAGGGCTTTGAAATCTTGCAGGTTGATGAATAATTAACCAAGTAGACAATGGTGGGTGTGCATTCTAAGCTGAGGAAGTGGCACACTCATGGGCTCACTGGTGTATGAAAGCATGACATATTTGGGTTCAGTGGAGCTGGGATGGGCAAGATACAGGTGAATTAGATGAAGTTGCACCGGTCGAGCTTCGGCTGAGGCATGGGGGTGTTATTATCTTTGTTATTTACTTCCTTTTAATTGTTTTGGCTTTATTTGCTCATTTCTTCCCTAAGTTCTTGAGGTAGAAGCTGATATTATTGATTTGAGGCTTTTTCTGTGTTTGAATGTATTCATTTCATGCTTTAAATGTCCCTGTCAGCTCTGCTTTAGCTCTACCCTACACGTTTTGATACATTTCTTTTTAATTTTCATTCTGTCTTTTAAAAATGTATTTGAGGCTTCCATTTTTATTCTGAATGTTTTAGATGTATCATATTTAGTTCTCAAATGTGTGGAGACTTCTCTGTAATCTTTCTGTTATAATTTCTCGTTTGATTTCCTTTTGGGTAGAGAACACACTCTGTATAATTTCTATTTTTAAAATTTGTTTCATACGTGGTCTATCTTGGTGAATACTCCATTCGACACATTAAAAGAATGTGTATTCTTTTGTTTTTGGGTGGAGTGTTCTACAAATATTGGTTAAATCCTGTTGGTTGATGATGTTGTTGATTTCTCCTATATCATTGCTATTTTTAAGTTGGTCTGTTAATTGAGTGAAGGATGTTGAACTCTCACTTTAATTTGGATTTGTCTATTTCTTCTTTCAGTTAGATTAGGATTGGCTTAATATATTTTTCAGCTTTGTTGTTTGGGGCATACACATTTAAGATTGCTATGTCCTCTTGGTGGATTGACCCTTTTGTCAGTCTTCAGTATCCCTGTCTGATTAATGTAGCCACTCCTGTTTTCCTTTGATTAATGCGTGCATGATACATCATTTTTCTATTCTTTTACTTTGAACCTTCATAAACTATTATATTTGAAGTGTGTTTCTTGTAGGAAGCGTACAGTTTGGTCATGTGTTATAACACTGTCTTTTAATCCGTGTATTTGGACCATTTGTGTTAAGTGTAATTATTGCTATACTAGGACTTAATTTTGCCATTTTATTTTTGTTTTCTATTTGGTCTCTATATTTCCTGTTTCTCTGTGTTTTTTCTTGTCTTCTTTTGAGTTAAATTTTGGTCCCAAATTCTATTGTGATATATTGCTAGCGTTTTCGAATGTATCTCTTTGTATAGTGTTTTTAGTGGTTTCTCTAGGTCTTTATACAGACACAACTTAACATTATGTACTGCTGTTATATTACCAGTTTGACTGATTTATAGGAACCTTACCCTCATTTAAATTTCTTTACCTTTCTCCATTTATTATATAATTCTCTTAAGTATTTTGTCTATACTATATACATATATATATGGTTGGAATGACATCAAACTATGCCATAATTTTTGCTTCAACTATAAAGAGAAGAAAAAAAGTATTATATTTACCTATATTTTTTATTACCATCTTTTTTCTTATTTCCCTGTGATTTAAGTTTCCTTTTTTAGTCATTTTGTTTCTTTTCAGATGATTTCCTTTAGCTATTCTTTAAAATAGGCCTTCTAGAGACATATTCTCTTGATATACTTTTGTCTCATAATATTTTGATTTTTTTCTTTAATTCAGAATGATATTATTACAGGACACAGAATTCTGGTTTGACATTTTTTAGCACTTGAGAAATGTAATACTTCCTTCTGGTCTTTACAATTTCCAGGAACAAATCCACTGTAATTAGAATCACTTTTTATCTATAGGTAAGGTGTTACTACTCTGTCACCACTTTCAGGTATTTTTCTATCTTTATATTTTTCACTCTATGACTATAATGAGTGAATTTCTTTGGGGTTCATTCAGTTTTTTGAATCTGTGGGTTTTGTGTCTCTTGCCATTTGGGAAAAATTTTAATCATTATTTGAGTGCTTTTTTAGACCAACTTTTTTTCTTTTCATTCTGGACCTCTAATAATGTAAATGTTATTTTTTTCTTATATTTTTACTAGTTCCTAAGGTTATATTCAGTATGCTTTTTCCCTCTGTGTTATAGAATGGGCGTATTAGTCAGGGTTCTCTAGAGGGACAGGACTAATAGGATAGACGTCTATATGAAAGGGACTTTATTAAGGAGAATTGACTGACACGATCACAAGATGAAGTCCCACAATAGGCTGTCTGCAAGCTGAGGAGCCTGGAAGCCAGTCCGAGTCCCAAACCTCAAAAATGAGGAACTGACAGTGCAGCCTTCAGTCTGTGGCCGAAGGCCCAAGAGCCCCTGGCAAATCACTGGTGTGGGTCCCAAAGACCAAAAGCTGAAGAACTTGGAGTCTGATGTTCAAGGGCAGGAAGCATCCAGCAAAGGAGCAAGATGATGACCAGAAGACTCAGCAAGTCTGCTCTTCCAACTTCTGTCTGCTTTATTCTAGCTGTGCTGCCAGCTGACTAGATGGTGCCCACCCAGATAGAGGGTGGGTCTGCCTCTTCCACTCCACTGACTCAAATGTTAATCTCCTTTGAACACATCCCCACAGACACACCCAGGAACAGTACTTTGCATCCTTCAATCCAATCAGGTTGACACTCAATATTACACAATGGGCAATTTCTATTGTTCTCTATTTAGAACAATATTATTTCTATTGTTCTATATTTTTTCCACTTTTTTTCCTGTCTCCTCCGTTTTGCTGTTAAGCTCATCTATTGTGTGTATGTTCATGTGTGTGTTTTATTGTGGTTATACTTTTCAGTTCTAAAATTTCCATTTGGTTCCTTTTTATATCTTCTAATTTTTTTGCTCAGACTTTCTATTTGATGAGGCTTCTTTATTTTGTTTCAATTGTGTTCACAATTTTTCATTTTTTAGAATGGCTATTTAAAATCTTTATAATGTAATTCCAATTATCTGTCATCTCAGTGTTGGTATCTATTCATTTTTAAACATTCTATTGAGAACTCCCTGGTTCTTGGTATGATGAATGAGTTTTTTCATTGAAATTTGTACGCTTTGGAAGTTATGTTATATAGCGTAGTCTTACTCATTTCCTTATTTTAGCTATTTCTCTTGACACTGTTTAATATGTGAAGGACAGGTGCTACTCACTACCATCAGGTGAGGGTAGAAATCCAGGTTCCTCTGTTGACACCCAGTGAGGGTTACTGCTTGTAACTTCTGGCCAGGGTAGGATTTCTGGCTCCTCACTAGTTGCCATTGCTACCTTTCTTGCTGGGAAAGGTGAAAGTGTCTCACTAGTTGTTACGCACATGGCCTTCACTGGCTTCCTGTGTGTTTGTGAGCCTTGACCATTTCATTGCTGGGCAGGGTGAAGCCCCCACTCTTGTTTGATTCTGTCTCAGTGGGGTGGGGTGGAAAACCTGTTACTCCAGGACTGTTGTCAAGTCCTGTCCTTCAAATGGTTTCCACTGAAACCTGGGAGGGGAGGAAGTAGTCCTTAACTGCAGGACATCAAAGCAGAAATTCTTAAAAGCAAGCAGAGAATGAAAACAAACTATGTGTTACTCAGAAAAGCCTGAAAATTAACAGACAGAGGACTCTCAAGAGGAACAATAAGTGGCAGAGGCAATGGAATAGTGTGGAGATAAACAGCTCTAAGTAGTTACTTTTTCAGCAATTATGATGAATAAGGTATTGTAATATAGCCACAACAGATTTTAATGTGAAAAGTTATAAGGAACACACTTCAAGAAGAAGGAAAATGATCCCAGGAGGAATATCTGAGATAAAGGAGGAAATGGCAAGCAAACAAACTTATAAACTTGCTTGTAAATAAAAACAAATATCGTTGAAGAGAAGAAAAGCAATGATGTCTAAAATTCTATGTTCTTGGAAAGACGAAATTAAAATATTGGACAGAAAAAACCCAACAAGTCGTAACTCAAGAGAAAGAAATAAGAATTAAAATACCTAAGATTTTATATTTTGTGAAAGCGAGTATAATTTTATTTTATACTTGGTTAACTTAAGTGTGCAATATAAAATATCAAGTGTAACCAAAATAAGAATAGTAACATCTAAGTTATTGAATTTCAACAACAAAAAGTAACAAAGTAACAACAAACAAAAACCCCTAATTATACTAGAAAGAGAAAAGGAAAGACAGAAAATAGAAAGAAACCTACCTTTATTTTTTTTTTTTAATTTTTTGAGAGAGAGTCTCCTTTGGTGGCCCAGGCTGGAGTGCAGTGGCGTGATTTCAGCTCACTGCAAGCTCCGCCTCCTGGGTTCACGCCATTCTCCTGCCTCAGCCTCCTGAGTAGCTGGGACTTACAGGCACCCACCACCATGCCTGGCTAATGTTTTGTATTTTTAGTAGAGACGGGTTTCGCCATGTTAGCCAGGATGGTCTCGATCTTCTGACCTCATGATCTGCGTCCCTCGGCCTCCCAAAGTACTGGGATTACAGGCGTGAGCCACTGCACCTGGCCCAAAACCTACATTTTAAAATTATAGTAAAAACAAGTCTCACTCTATCAGTTATTACTGATTATAATAAATGAAAATGAAAAAATTTATTAGTTAAAAGGCAGGATTATCAGATTATACTTGAGAACTAAGTTCTAGTATGTGCCGTTTACAAAAACACACGTCAAAACAACAGAGAAAAGTGGTTTAAAAATATGTAACACAAATGATAACAACATAAACTGGATAACTTGGTAATATTAGAAAAATTGACTTTAGGAGAAAATCATTAAGAGGGATAAAAAGCTATTAAGAGGCTGGGCGTGGTGGCTCACACCTGTAATCCCAGCACTTTGGGAGGCCGAGGCAGGTGGATCACGAGGTCAGGAGATCGAGACCATCCTGGCTAACACAGTGAAACCCCATCTCTACTAAAAATACAAAAAAAAACAAAATTAGCCAGGCATGGTGGCGGGCGACTGTGGTCCCAGCTACTCGGGAGGCTGAGGCAGGAGAATGGCATGAACCCGGGAGGCGGAGCTTGCAGTGAGCCGAGATTGCACCACCGCACTCCAGCCTGGGCGACAGAGCGAGACTCTATTTCAAAAAAAAAAAAAAAAAAAAGAGGTATTACAAAATGGTATAGTAATCATTTTTCTTGAAGGATATACTAATCTAAATTTGTAGCCACATGTAAAATAATGTGAGGTTATTGAAAACCTAGAAATTTAAAAATTTTTGGGGGGGAATAGGGTCTTGCTTTGTTACCCAGGCTGAGTGCGGTGGTGTGATCAGGGCTCACTGCAACAGAGACTCCCCTGGCCGAAGCAATTTTTCCACTTCAGCCTCCCGGCTACCTGGGTCTACAGGTGCCAGCACAGCTGGCTAATATTTAATTTTAATTTTTTGTAGAGATGGGATCTTGCTATGTTGGCTAGGCTGGTCTCAAATTCCTAGGATCAAATAGTCCTCCTACTTTGGCCTTCTACAGTGCTGGGATTATAGGTGTGATTCATGGTTCCTGACCAAAATAAAATTGTGTGTGTGTGTGTGTGTGTCTGTGCGTGCGCGTGCGTTTGTATATTCTGACAGCAGAAGAATTCCCTGTCCCCATTATTGATTAGGGAGGCAAGAACATAAAAATGGTAAAATAGAAATTTAAACATGATTAACAAACTTATTTCATATAAATATAATTGTAATTTTTTGTTTTTTAATAATTGTAGTCTTAATTTAGGAAATATACATATTTTAGAGTTATATGAACTATTATAAAAATCTATGTTGTATTAGTTCATAAGACTAGTTGCTACACAATACATAGAATCAGCAAAATCCTAGCTATGTTGTCAAACCATAAAATAAATAATTAATATTTAGCAACAAAGAGGAAAATACCAACAACACGTTAGAAATTAAAGCTACATGTACACTAAACAATTTATGGTTTAAGAATAACTAACGTTATAGATTCATCGGGTATTTTAAACTAAATGATACCATGGGTACTATATTTTAAAATGTTCAACAGAGTAATTTAGAAAAAGTAAAACGCAATTATCCAAATTAATAAAGGAGATCATAAAGATAATAAAATAGGTATATGAAAAATAAAAATATTAATGTGAAAATTTTGTCCTCTGAAAAGCTGAAACAAAGAAACAAAACAAACAAACAAAATCGTGATAGGCCTATCTTGAGCTAGATCTAGGAGAAAAAAGGAAGAGAAATTCCAGAATAAATAATTGTAAAAATGAAAAAGTGACATACCATCTATTCAACAGAGATTGACAGGGTAATAAAAGGCTATTTTGCCATAAAATTAGAAAATTGAGATAAAATGTCCAAATAGCTAAGAATATTTTACCAAAATTGAATAAAAAAGGAATAGAAAACCAAAATATCACTGGAATCAGTTTAAAAATTCTTTATTAAGTAAACAATTGGCTGAAATTGTTTTACAGAGTTGTTCTTCCAAGTTGTCACAGAACAGAGCAATATACTTTCTATGAATAATTCTAAGGTACAGAAAGAGAGGGCAAACTCTCAATTTTATTCTGTAACACTAGGAAAATTCAGATGCCAAAACCATACAAGACAGAAAAGGGAATAAATATTACGAGGCAATAAATATTACGAAGGAATAAAAATATTAAAAAAAAATTCCTGTCCAGTCCACCAACCTTACAAAACTCAAGAAGGTTGAAGTTGGAGGAGCCACGTTTTGCTGTTCACAAAATTCCCTTTTTCCACTTTCGTAATGTAAGACAATGCTGGAAAATGAACACTCAGCCAGAAGCCACATTTCTCATCCCCTTTTAAGTGGGTGATACGTTAAGATGGAATTGACCAATGGGATGTGAGTATAGAAGATTTATACCTCTTTCAAACTTGGCTCATGAAAAATTGCATGTTTGAGCATCTGTGCTCTTTTCCTCTTCTGATTGGCTGGAATGAAGACAGCCCTCGTCAGACACTAAATCTGCCAGCACCTTGACGTTGAGCTTCCCAGCCTCCGGAACTATGAAAAATCAATTTCAGGACTTTATAAATTATTCAGTCTAAGAAATTTTGTTATAGCAGCAGGAAAAGCTCAGGACAGTATTCAATAACTATTTGCTGAATGAGTGAACAGTAGTATTTTCGTAGCACATTTAGCTATATTCTAATATTGTTGTTATTCAAATATTCTGTATTCCTATTTGTATGTTAAAGTAATATTTTCATAATCTACAAACAAGTAGGCTGCTTCTAAAATTCATCTATAAAACATATATGAAGAGTGAAATCCCTCACAGTGAGTTTGTTTATACATAAGTAATACAGTTTATTATTGATTTTGAATCATGAAGTGGAGAGTTTATTCAATGTAACAAAGAAATATTGGACAAATCTAATCCCTGAGTCTGTGAGTTTTTAGAGAGCTTTTATTGATTTTCTTTACAGTACATCTGTTTTTCGGGATTAATTAGTACTTCTCCTAGAAGACAGATCATATATCCAAAATAATCTATTTTCTTTTCCTTCAAGAAATTAATATCTAACAAAAAAATGACTGAAGCCTGCTGAGATTACTACACCAATGTGCATTCATCACTTTAATATACCACAGATGTATTTTCCATGTCTAGTGAAGCAAAATGTTGCCTAGATTAAAAGATATGGAAACTGGGGATTCCCAGGCAAGATGGCCAGATAGGACAGCTCCAGTCTGCAGCTCCCAGCAAGACCAACGCAGAAGGTGGGTGATTTCTGCATTTCCAACTGAGGTACTTGGTTCGTCTCATTGGGGCTGGTTAGACAGTGGGTGCAGCCCATGGAGGGTGAGCAGAAGCAGGGTGGGGCATTGCCTCACCCAGGAAGCAAAAGGGGCTGGGTAACTACCTCCCCTAGCCAAGGGAAGCCGTGAGGGACTGTGCTGTGAGAGATGGTGCTGTCAGGCCGAGATACGATGCTTTTCCCACAGTCTTCACAACCCACACACCAGGAGATTCCCTCGGGTACCTACACCACAATGGACCTGAGTTTCAAGCACAAAACTGGGCCGCCATTTGGGCAGATGCCGAGCTAGCTGCAGGAGTCTTTTTTTGTACCCCAGTGGCGCCTGGAACATCAGCGAGACAGAACCATTCACTCCCCTGGAAAGGGGGCTGAAGCCAGGCAGCCAAGTGGTCTTGCTCCAGTGGATCCCACCCCAACAGAACCCAGCAAGCTAAGATCCACTGGCTGGAAATTCTAGCTGCCAGCACAGCAGTCTGGTCAACCTGGGATGCTTGAGCTTGGTTGGGGGAGGGGTGTCTGCCATTACTGAGGCTTGAGTAGGCGGTTTTCTACTCGCAGTGTAAACAAAGACACCAGAAGTTCAGACTGGGCAGAGAACACTGCCAAGCTGCAAAGTCGCTGTAGCCAGACTGCCTCTCTAGATTCCTCCTCTCTGGGCAGGGCATTTCTGAAAGAAAGGCAGCAGCCCCAGTCAGGGACTTATAGATAAAACTCCCACCTCCCTGGGACAGAGCACCTGGGGGAAGAGGCAGTTGTGGGTGCAGCTTCAGCAGACTTAAGCGTTCCTGCGTCCCGGCTCTGAAGAGAGCAGCGGCTCTCCCAGCACAGCATTCAAACTCTGCTAAGGGTCAGACTGCCTCCTCAAGTGGGTCCCTGACCCCCATGCCTCCTGACTGGGATACACCTCCCAGCAGGGGTTGACAGACACCTCATACAGGAGAGCTCCAACTGCCATCTGGCAGGTTCCCCTCTGGGATGAAGCTTCCAGAGGAAGGAGCAGGCAGCAATTTTTGCTGTTCTGCAGCCTCCCCTTGTGATACCCAGGCAAACAGGGTGTGGAGTGGACCCCCAGCAAACTCCAGCAGACCTGCAGAAGAGAGTCCTGACTGTTAGAAGGAAAACTAACAAACAGAAAGCAATAACATCAACAAAAAGGATTCGAAGGTCACCAACAGCAAAGACCAAAGGTAGATAAATCCACAAAGATGAGGAAAACCCAGCACAGAATGGCTGAAAATTCCAAAAACTAGAATGCTGCTTCTCTTCCAAAGGATCACAACTCCTCACCAGCAAAGAAACAAAACTAGACAGAGAATGAGTTTGACAAATTGATGGAAGTAGGCTTCCGAAGGTGGGTAATAAACTCCTCTGAGCTAAAGGAGCATGTTCTAACCCAATGCAAGGAAGCTAAGAACCTTAATAAAAGGTTAGAAGAATTGCTAACTAGAATATCCAGTTTAGAGAAGAACATAAATGAACTGATGGAGCTGAAAACACAGCACAAAAACTTCGTGAAGCATATACAAGTATCAATACTAGAATTGATCAAGTGGGAGAAATCATATCAGAGATTGAAGATCAACTTAATGAAATAAAGCATGAAGACAAGATTAGAGAAAAAAGAATGAAAAGGAATGAACAAAGCCTCCAAGAACTATGGGACTATGTGAAAAGACCAAACCTACGTTTGATTGGTGTACCTGAAAGTGACGGGGAGAATGGAGCCAAGTTGGAAAACACACTTCAGGATATTATCCAGGAGAACCTCCCCAGTCTAGCAAGACAGGCCAACATTCAAATTCAGGAAATACAGAGAACACCACAAAGATACTCCTGGAGAAGAACAACCCCAAGACACATAATCATCAGATTCACCAAGTTTGAAATGAAGGAAAAAATGTTAAGGGCAGCCAGAAACAGAGGTTGGGTTACCCACAAAAGGAAGCCCATCAGATTAACAGTGGATCTCTCTGCAGAAACCCTACAAGCCAGAAGAGAGGGGGGGCCAAGATTCAACATTATTAAATAAAAGAATTTTTAACCCAGAATTTCATATCCAGCCAAACTAAACTTCATAAGTGAAGGAGAAATAAAATCTCTTACAGACCAGAAAATGCTGAGGGGTTTTGTCACCAGCAGGCCTGTCTTACAAGAGCTCCTCAAGGAAGCACTAAATATGGAAAGGAAAAACCAGTACCAGCCACTGCAAAAACAAACCAAAATGTAAAGACCATCAACACTATGAAGAAACTGCATCAACTAATGGGGAAAATAACCAGCTAGCATCATAATGAAAGGATCAAATTCACACATAACAATATTAAACTTAAATGTAAACGGGCTAAATGCCCCAATTAAAAGGCACAGAATGGCCACTTGCATAAAGAGTCAAGAGCCGTCGGTGTGCTGTATTCAGAAGACCCATCTCACATGCAAAGACACACATAGGCTCAAAATAAAAAGATGAAGGAATGTTTACCAACTAAATGGAAAGCAAAAAAAAAAAAAAAAAAAAAAAAGCAGAGGTTGCAATCCTAGTTTCTGATAAAACAGAATTTAAACCAACAAAGATCAAAAACGACAAAGAAGGACATTATATAATGGTAAAGGGATCAATGCAACAAGAGGAGCTAACTATCCTAAATTTATATGCACCCAATACAGGAGCACCCAGATTCAGAAAGCAAATTCTTAGAGACCTACGAAGAGACTTTGAGTCTCACACGATAACAGTGGGAGACTTTAACACTCCACTGTCAATATTAGACAGATCAATGAGACAGAAAATTAACAAGGATATTCAGGACTTGAACTCAGCTCTGGACCAAGTGAACCTAATAGACAGGTACAGAACTCTCCACCCCAAATCAAAAGAATATATATTCTTCTCAGCATCACATAGTACTTATTCTAAAATTGACCACATAATTGGAAGTAAAACACTCCTCAGCAAATTCAAAAGAACAGAAATCATAACAAACAGTCTCTCAGACCACAGTGCAATCAAATTAGAACTCAGGATTAAGATACTCACTCAAAACTGCACAACTAAATGGAAAGTGAACAACCTGCTCCTGAATGACTACTGGGTAGATAACAAAATTAAGGCAGGAACAAATAAGTTATTTGAAACCAATGAAAACAAAGACAAAACATACCAGAATCTCTGGGACACAGCTAAAGCAGTGTTTAGTGGGAAATTTATAGCACTAAATGCCCACAGGAGAAAGCAGGAAAGATCTAAAATCGACACCCTAACATCACAAAAGAACTAGAAAAGTTCTTTTAAATTAAAAAGCTAGCAGAAGACAAGGAATTAACTAAGATCAGAGAAGAGCTGAATGAGATAAACAAAAAACCCTTCAAAAAAATCAATGAAACCAGCAGCTGGTTGTTTGAAAAGATTAACAAAATAGATAGATGGCTAGCCAGACTAATAAAGAAGAAAAGAGAAAAGAATCAAAAAGACACAATAAAAAATGATAAAGGGAATATCACCACCGATCCCACAGAAATACAAACTACCATCAGAGAATACTATAAACACCTCTATGCAAATAAACTAGAAAACCTAGAAGAAATGGATAAATTCCTGGACACATACACCCTCCCAAGACTAAATCAGGAAGAAGTCGAATCCCTGAATAGACCAATAACAAGTTTTGAAATTGAGGCAGTAATTAATAGTCTACCACCCCAAAAAAGCCCTGGACCAGATGGATTCACAGCCGAATTTTACCAGAGGTACAAAAAGGAGCTGGTACCATTCCTTCTGAAACTATTCCAAACAATAGAAAAAGAAAGACTCCTCCCTAACTCATTTTATGAGGCCAGCATCATCCTGATACCAAAACCTGGCAGAGACACAACAAAAAAAGAAAATTTCAGGCCTATATCCCCGATAAACATCAATGCAAAAATACTCAATAAGATACTGGCAAACCGAATCCAGCAGCACATCAAAAAGCTTATGCACCACAATCAAACTGGCTTCATTCCCGGGATGCAAGGCTGGTTAAAGATACGCAAATCAATAAACGTAATCCATCACATAAACAGAAGCAATGACAAAAACCACATGATTATCTCAATAGAGGCAGAAAAGGCCTTTGATAACATTTAACACCCCTTCATGCTAAAAACACTCAATAAACTAGGTATTGATGGAACGTATCTCAAAATAATAAGAGCTATTTATGACAAACCCACAGCCAATATCATACTGAATGGGCAAAAGCTGGAAGCATTCCCTTTGAAAACCGGCACAAGACAAGGATGTGCCTTGTCACCACTCCTATTCAACACAGTATTGGAAGTTCTGGCCAGGGCAGTCAGGCAAGAGAAAGAAATAAAGGGTATTCGAATAGGAAGTGAGGAAGTCAAATTATGTCTGTTTGCAGATGACATGATTGTATATTTAGAAAACCCCATCATCTCAGCCCAAAAACTCCTTAAGCTGATAAACCACTTCAGCAAAGTCTCAGGATACAAAATCAATGTTCAAAAATCACAAGCATTCCTATACACTAATGATAGTCAAACAGAGATCCGAATCATGAGCAAATTCCCATTCACAATTGCTACAAAGAGAATAAAATACCTAGGAATACAACTTACAAGGGATATGAAGGACCTCTTCAAGGAGAACTACACACCACTGCTCAAGGAAATAAGAGAGGACACAAACAAATGGGAAAACATTCCATGCTCGTGGATAGGAAGAATCAATATCATGAAAGTGTCCATACTGCCCAAAGTAATTTATAGACTCAATGCTATTCCCATCAAGCTACCATGGATTTTCTTCACAGAATTAGAAAAAACTACTTTAAATTTCATATGGAACCAAAAAAGAGCCTGTATAGCCAAGACAATCCTAAGCAAAAATAACAAAGCTGGAGGCGTCACGCCACCTGACTTCAAACTGTACTACAAGGCTACAGTAACCAAAACAGCATGGTACTGGTACCGAAACAGATATATAGACCTACGGAACAGAACAGAGGCCTCAGAAACAACACCACAAATCTACAACCATCTGATCTTTGACAAACCTGAGAAAAACAAGCAATGGGGAAAGGATTCCCTATTTAACAAATGGTGTAGGGAAAACTGGCTGGCCATATGCAGAAAACCAAAACTGGACCCCTTTCTTACACCTTATACGAAAATTAACTCAAGATGGATTAAAGATTTAAACTTAGGACCTCAAACCATAAAATCCCTAGAAGAAAACCTAGGCAATACCATTCAGGACATAGGCATGGGCAAAGACTTCATGACTAGAACTCCAAAAGCAATGGCAACAAAAGCCAAAATTGACAAATGGGATCTAATTAAACTAAAAAGCTTCTGCACAGCCAAGAAACTATCATCAGAGTGAATAGGCAACCTACAGAATGGGAGAAAATTTTTGCAATCTATCCATCTGACAAAGGGCTAATATCAAGAATCTACAAGGAACTTAAACAAATGTACAGGAATTAAAAAAAACATCAAAAAGTGGGCAAAGGGTATGAACAGACACTTCTCAAAAGAAGACATTTATGCGGCCAAAACATATGAAAAAAAAGCTCATCATCACTGGTCGTTAGAGAAATGCAAATCAAAACCACATCTCATGCCAGTTAGAATGGCGATCATTAAAAAGTCAGGAAACAACAGATGCTGGAGAGGATGTGGAGAAATAGGAACGCTTTTACACTGTTGGTGGCAGTGTAAATTAGTTCAACCACTGCGGAAGACAGTGTGGCGATTCCTCAAAGATAGAGAACTAGGAATACCATTTAACCCAGCAATCCCATTACTGAGCGTATACCCAAAAGATCATAAATCATTCTACTATAAAAACACATTCACACATATGTTTATTGTAGCACTATTTACAATAGCAAAGACTTGGAACCAACCCACATGCCCATCAGTGCTAGGCTGGATAAAGAAAATGTGGCACATATACACCATGGAATACTATGCAGCCATAAAAAAGAATGAGTTCGGCCAGATGCTGTGGCTCACTCCTATAATCCCAGCACTATGGGATGCCAAGGTGGGCAGGTCATGAGGTCAAGAGATTGACACCAATCTGGCCAGCCTGGTAAAACCCCATCTCTACTAAAAAATTCAAAACTTAGCTGGGTGTTGTGGCGCATTCCTGTAGTCCTAGCTACTCTGGAGGCTGAGGGAACGGAATCGCTTGGATCCGGGAGGTGGAGGTTGCAGTGAGCCGAGACTGTGACAATGCATACCAGCCTGGTGACAGAGCGAGGCACCATCTCAAAAACACAAAAACAAAAACAAAAAAGAATGAGTTCATGTCCTTTGCAGGGACATGGATGAAGTTGGAAACCATCATTCTCAGCAAACTAACACGGGAACAGAAAACCAAACACTGCATGTTCTCACTCGTCAGTAAACATTGAACAACGATAACATATGGGCATGGGGGGAACATCATACACGGGGGCCTGTCGGGTAGTGGGGGACAAGGGGAGGAATAGCATTAGGAGAAATGCCTAACGTACATGACTGGTTGAAGGGTGCAGCAAACCACCACAGCACGTGTATACCTATGTAACAAACTTGCCTGTTGTGCACATGTATCCCAGAACTTAAAGTATAATTAAAAAAACTAAAAATATATGGAAACTGTCATTTGTTGGTCTACAATCTTGGCAGTATTGGTGCTTTGGGACTTTAAATGTAGACATTTTTAAGGTCAAAAATTGATTAGTTTGTGAAAAAAATTATGCCTTGACAATACACTTTGTTTTGGAGAGAAAAAAATTAATCCTATATACTGTGCTCCAAATAAGTTATTAGTTTAGCATTTTTACAGCCCATTAGACAAGCTGTGAAGAGTGAGATAATATTTCCATCTCGAGTGTGATAAAGTTATTCATCAAAAACATAGAAACTTACTCTGAGAAGCATTTTTTTCTCTTTTGAAAGTAATGAAAAAACACTCTTCAGACAATTATATACTAGATAGAAACTAGTGAAAGTAAGCCAGTAATTGTATCTATCTTAGTAGAAATGTTAAGGTCATTAGGCCACCAACCTCACCGAAACACTTCACACTGCATGCTTCCCTATAAATTCTAGTCACTTTCGTAGCCATTGACCTTTATTTGAAAAGTTGCTTTCAACTGTGATGACAAAAATATGAAGTATTACAAGAATAATTTAGAGACCATGATATAATTAGGTTATATTCAGTCTAGAGTCATTTAAACTCAGATTTTTAAGCAGCTGTGAAACTCATATTAAAAAATTACCTATACCATTGAGGTAACAGCCAGCTACTGCCATCCTTGCTAAGTGAAAGAAAACATTAAAATAAAAATTCAAGCTCTCTTTCTCTGCTTATTGGAGCAGAGGGATGTACTGGCTGCATCAGTAGCTCTGTGATATATAACACATGAAGATGCACTGATTTGCTTTAGTATAGAAGAAAATATCTGGAAATACAGAAGCAACTGAAGTCAATAATTGTGTAATACACTGAATTCCACAAAGATACTTCTGTCTTTTTTACCAGCCAATCAAAAGGGTTAAATGAGCGTGTAATAGGATTGCTAGTCTCTGCATACAGGGTGACTTTGATGGTGGCAGTAATCTCTGCAGTCCCCTTGGCCATGTCATGTTGGTTTTAGTTTACAATTTTGACTGGGAGAGGGAGCTTCGGGGGTTTCCACTTGGACCTCTTAACTCAATAGCCATTTTTTTTTTTAAGTTCTGGGATAAATGTGCAGGTTTGTTACATAGGTATACATGTGCCAGGATGGTTTGCTGCACCTACCAACCCATCATCTAGGTTTTAAGTTCCTCTTGCATTAGGTGTTTGTCCTAATACTTTACTTCCCCTTGATCACACCTCCCGACAGGCCCCAGTGTGTGATGTTCCCCTCCCTGTGTCCAGGTGATCTCATTGTTCAACTCTCACGTGTTCTTCCGTATGTGAGAACATGAGGTGTTTGGTTTTCTGTTCCTGTGTTAGTTTGCTGAGAATGATGGTTTCTGGCTTCATCCATGTCCCTGCAAAGGGCATGAGCTCATTCTTTTTTATGGCTGCATAGAATTCCATGGTGTATATGTGCCACATTTTCTGTATCCAGTCTATCATTGATGGGCATTTGGATTGGTTCCAAGTCTTTGCTTCAATAGCCAGATTTTAAGAGGCCAGCATGGTATCTGCCAACTGCTGGTTGTGTTTGCTCCATGGATGCATGCTGAACTTGAAAGACACTGCAAGATGTGTCCATGGTTTGCTGAGTTCCTAGGGCGAGCGCTTAGGCCCCAAACTCTCTGATCCCTGAAGAGACGCTCGACCACTCTTGCCAGTGACCCCTGCATATTCTGGAGGCTATTCATTCCCATTAAGTCAGTGTCAGCGCCAACAGATCTGGAATGTCTGGGTATTTTCCATTCCCCAGGGCAGGTTCACCCTAAGAAAGGGCTGTGGTGACCTTTCAGAGGAGGGTTCACAGGATGGACTTGCATGATGACCCCAGCACTCCCCTCAGACCTGCCAGCTTCCCCTTCACCAGAGGACTGTGGATTGACTCAGGACTGCGAATTCCTGGAGGTCATCACATCTTGACCGGGATGATGCAGGGAAAGCTGCCTCCAGACCTAGAGTTCCCCTAAGAACCTTTCCCTGGCTGGTGACCTCAGCAAGATGGCAGAGTCAGTGCCACAGAAGCACCAATGTGGCAGCTGCCCACATCTGAGAATACTTTTTTGGTAGCGCTGAGTCCCCTGAGATGCCAGGACGCTGTTGGAGTGGGAAACCCTTGTGGCCACAGTGAAGAGGGTAAGCCACCTCGAAAAATCGGACCCTACTGCATCCACTCCCCTGACATGTCCCTGGGCCAAGCCACCACCGTCTTTTGTCTGGATGGCTAGAGCAGCCTCCCAGCAGCTCTTCCTGCATGTGCACTTCCTTTCCCATTAATCTACTCTCAATTTTGCAATGAGTATTGTCCTATCATGATCATGGTTAAAACCTCAGTGTAAAAGCCCATGTCCTCACCGTGGTCTATGTGGCTCTCTGTATTAGATGTCCATCCCCCTCTGACCTCTCTATCCTGTTCTGTACACCCTCTACTTCCCAGGCCTGAATGTCTAGTCCATGCCTGCTCCTCCTTGAGCAGCCCATGTCCCCGTCCCCTCCTGCTTAAGGGCTTTTCACTGTGGATGCCTCTGTACCTTCATATCACCACGTAGATTCCTTCATGCATCTAGCGAAACTCTACGTTACCAGAGAGCCTTCCAATGACCTCTCTATAGGGGTGGAAGCCGCTCTAATCAACGGCCACAAGTGCCCCCAACTTATTACCCTTATTCCACCCAGGTTTAATTATCTTCCATTGTACAAACCACCACCTGGCATATCGTGTATTTTACTTACTTATCGTACTCATTTTGATCTTCCAAACCATGGTAGGAATTCCATGAAGAAACTATTTATCCCCACTGCCTTGAATCGAACACCACTCCACACATAAAGAGGCATTTAATAAATATTTGTTGAAAATAAATGAACAGTTGAATGGGTGAATGAATGAATCTGTGAAAATAATTGTGGTTCTATTTAAGGTATCTGAGACAACAATGGAAGAGAGGCAGTAGATGAAGCTCGGATATCTCTCATTTAAAATGTCCCTTCTTAGTGGACCCAACTAGGTTCTCAAACGAGAAGAACAAATAGTTTTGTCTTGCAGAGTAAAGAATTATTACAGAAATGGAACCCATATCCATTCAGTCCCTGAAGTCAAAGTCCTGGCCATCACCACACTTTCTTCTTCATCTCTAGCATATAATCAGTTTTCAAGAATTTTTGGGTGTCTGTGCTGCCGCTGTCTGCCTTCAGACATGCAAAATTTTCTGCTTGGATTAATGCAAAGCCTCCTAATTTTTCCTTTCTCCCCTAATTTACTCTTGCAGTGATATTTCTAAATGATTTAAATTCCAAAAGAATTTATGGGGAACCTCCCATCTTGCTAACAAGGTTTACCATGTTACTCCTTAATTTAAAATGCTCAGTGGACTTAGATGTGTCTCAAGTTAATTCAGCTTCCTTAGTTTGACTTGCTCTGTCTTTCCTTAGGTAACCTCATTCTCTTATTAATTCAGCAACAGTTGTATCTCAAGCCATTTGGCAGGGAAATAAAGGTGAATAAGGCTGTATCCTGTCCTCAAGAATCTTCAAGCCCAGGCTAGTCACTGATACTTGAAATTATATTGTAATGTGACATGGAGGGTGTTCAATTCCAGGCAGTGGGGATAGAGATTTGCATGTGGGAGAAGGTGGGTTATGAAAGCTTCTTGAGGAGATAATGTCTGAGCAGAATCTTAGATGACAAGGAATACATGGTGAGCTAAAAAATGGGATAAAGATAGAACATCCTGAGCAGAAAAAGGTAACATGAGCCAGAGGCCAAACATGGAAAAAAACATGTTGGCTTCAGGGACTGAATGGAGATAGATTGCATTTCTGTAATAATTCTTTACTCTTCAAGATGAAATTGTATGTTCAATTTAGCAGATAATTACCTATGGGTGAGGAGTGGTGGTAGATGAGGGGGGAAAGCCAGGTGCCTGCGTGTGGGTCAACATAGCTGATAGTCACCTATGAGTGATGCGTGGTGATGGATGAATGAGGAAAGCCAGGCAAAGGTGATTCTTGTATGATCAGGACTTCCAGCTGACTTCAGGAAGGAAGGCCATCTGGGAAACTGATGCCCTAACCCAGATAATAAATTATTAAGTCTTGAACAAAGAAACAGCAGTGTGCTTGGAAATGCAACAGCCTCCTCTGGCTGATTGGGTTTTGGGACGGAAGCAAGGAATGAATTCTACATGCATCCTAGTTTTTCCTGTTGTAAATGAGGAGTATGGTGGGGTCATTCTTTGGCTTCTCTGTTAAAATGGTGAAATGTTATAGTCTTTTATTACTACAGACAAGTGGATGGCTTCATTAACCCTCCACCACCACCAATACAAGACAATGCAAATTGTTGGGAGTTTATCTGAGATTTTGTTCTTAATAAAGTCTTCACACTTTCTGTTTGGTCAAGAAAATAATTTCATCTGTCGGGTTTTCACTTCCAGCAAGTTTTCCAAATGCCCGTCTCTCTTGTTGTGGG
Source organism: Homo sapiens (assembly GCF_000001405.40). NCBI lineage: Eukaryota > Metazoa > Chordata > Mammalia > Primates > Hominidae > Homo > Homo sapiens. Next base: position 529,141 of record NT_187576.1, read on the forward strand.
AAATTTACAGCTGTCCAGGTGATGGATTGAGAGGGATTCTGTACTTAACGACAGGTTAACCTCCAAGTCCTTTCTGCATTGTTCCTTAAGTCTCTGCCACTTCAGAGCCCCCTTATAACGTCCACTTTCCTCTTTCTTGATAGTGAACCACTTTATCTCCTTCCTGCCTCTAGCCTTCCCACTCAATCTCTTCGGGTCAGCTTTACAGAGACATCGTTAAGGAGAGAATCTCACTTTGGCACTCACTTGGGTGACCCATTTATGTGCTTCTTTTAAAATTTTAAAAAAACAACATTCAATAAATATCAAATGGAAAGCATAATTAAGCATGGCTTTCTGTTCTGGTTTTCCAGTGGAAGAAACCTAAAATGATCCTTAGTAAAGTTTGTATACACAAGTTGTAACCTATTTTCCAAAACTGGGTAACTGCATCTAGAAGTTTAAGAAGTCTTTTCTAGCGCTTCATAGAGCACATCGGTTCCTTTTCAACCTCTATCTTAAAAGCTTTGGTGAATTTTCCGCAGTTAAGTACCTCGGGGGAAAATTGACATCATTTAACCTTAAGTAAAATGAATAAATCAGTGAAGAATTAGTTGGTGAATTGCCTAGCAATTTCTCAAGAAATGGAATAAATGTATATCTTAAAAGGAAAAGGACATCCAACTCATGAATATGTTTTCTGTCTGAGACCCAAAGACTCATCTAGCTGCTGCCACCCCTCTCGTAATGGGCTGGATCTCTCCTCCTGTTCCATCAGGTGCTGGTTTTCAGCTTACTGGGGACAAGATTCACTGGGGCTTCTCACAGCTGCTCCTTACCTGTTAGATGGGACGCTGCCTATCTCCCCAGTTTGTCACCGTTTCTCACCATTTCTAAGCTGAATGTGGTCCTTAAGCTTTGTGCCTTAGATGGTCTGCAACAATATTTCTGCAAAAGCTTTAAAGCAACTTTCTTCTCTCTAATCAAGATGAAAAATTGCTAATGTCTTAATCAGTACATGTGGTAGAGAAGTTCCTTGCTAGTGGACTTGCCCAGTGTAAGGCAAATACAAGAAGAATATTTTTCAGCTCCTTTATTGGCCCTTCCACAGGAGACAATAAATTACAGAAGTAATTTCAGTGTGAAATATTCAGTGGGCTAAGGTTTATAATTGGGATGGATGATGACAGTGAAAGACGACATCAATACACAATACTTCCGCTGTCGTAATTCTCCTAGTTAAGGTGGTTATTCATTTTGGGGATTGCTCTATGAAACTGAGCTTCTTTGACTGTCCAGTGGTGGAGGTGGGAACAAGATGAGGTGCTACCTCCTTATTTTTTGCAAAAGCACATCATTTTCCATTGTGCTACTGTTCCCTGTTTGTGTGCAGTGGGTGGATCTCATTTGACAAGTTCAGTTACACAGGGAACACCACATGCAACTTAATGTATACTTAGAGCTCCTGGGTTTAAACCTTGTACAAACTTTCCATGAGTCCATTAAGATCAAAAACAATGTCAAAGCCTAAAATGAATGACTGAAATATTTGGTTTTCTATTAAAATGTGAGCAAGTTTCATCCATTTTCTAGGATCTTAAGTTTAAAGTCCCAATTATCTTGGTAATCTCAATTAAATTTTAGATTAAATGTAATAAAATAAAAAATGTATCCTTAAGAACTCCACATCCAATCCTTACCTGTTAGCATCTGTTGGAATTAACTGACCTACAGGGATAAAGAGAAAAGTCACAAAGTTCTGAACTTTATTAAGAACATGCCCCAGAGTTCTCAGATGGTTTTATAAATGAACGCATCAGACATGGTGATGTAGTCCCTTTTACATCATCCGCGCTGCCAAGAGCTATCATGGTTTCTAATCCAGCTGCAGGCCCATGGCCACGATGGAGGGTGGATGCAATGTTATACTTAAGGCTGAAACAGTCCTTTACATTAGTTTTGTACCCAGTCTTTCAGCCCTTGTTTAGACTCTTTCTGCCCTCTCTGTTGGGAGCCGTTCCTGAGTTATAGCCCTTAGCTTTTTAATTTTTTCTCAAATATACAATCCATTCTCATACTGACAAATACCTCTTTGGTGGAAATATGTTTGTGTGTGACTGTGTGTGTGTGTGTGAGTGTGTGTGAGAGAGCATGTGTGTGTGAATGTGTGAATGAGTTGAGAGAGCATGTGTGTGTGAGAGAGCATATGAGTGTGTGTGAGAGAGCATGTGAGTGTGTGTGAGAGAGCATGTGTGTGTGAGAGAGCATGTGTGTGTGTGAGAGCATGTGTGTGTGAGACAGCATGTGAGTGTGAGTGTGTGTGTATGAGAGAGCATGTGAGTGTGTGTGAGAGAGCATTGAGAGTATGTGTGTGTGAGAGAGCATGTGTGTGAGTGTGTGTGAGAGAGCATGTGAGTGTGTGTGAGAGCATGTGTGTGTGTGTGAGAGAGCATGTGTGTGTGAGAGAGCATGTGAGTGTGAGTGTGTGAGTGTATGAGAGAGCATGTGTGTGTGAGAGCATGTGAGTGTGAGCATGGGAGAGTATGTGAGTGTGTGAGTGTGACTGAGAGCACGTGAGTGTGTGAGTGCAAATGTGTGTGAGAGAGCATGTGAGTGTGTGAGTGTGTGACAGCATGTGAATGTGTGTGAGACCGTGTGTGTGTGTGTGAGTGTGTGAGTGAGAGAGCGTGTGTGTGAGAGTGTGAGTGTGTGTGTGCATGCACATGTGTTTTTCTTCTTTGCTCCCATTCCTCCTACCGCTCTGACACCCTCTGGCTTCATGTGTTTGGAGGGGTTGACAGGTTACTTGCACTTAAAGACAAGACTCAGGTTTCATTCTCACACTTCATTCAGTGCTGACTGGTTCAGGGATGGATATATGGCCTGGACCACTCAGTAAGACCTGAGATCAGGGTTTCCAGAGAGAATTTATCTCCTATTGCCGAACTTGGTGATGTTGGTGAAAGCCTAGAGTTGTTAGTGAGCAATTGGCTACTGCAATGGAGAAGATGTGTGAGCAGGAACGAGAGACTGGGGAGATTCTCTCAGCGGCCATGATATCGTACAAGTCCTGGGATCACCCATGACTGGAGTCAGGACTGCCCCTGGAACTTTCATTAATGTGTCATAAAGGATGTTGATGAAAGATGAAGTATGACCAACGCTGCATGTAGTTGACAAGACCACAGATGGAGAAGGGCTCAGTCACTCAACGAGCTGTGTATCCTTGAAAGATGGTGGCTCAGCATTGGCTGAATGAATGAAGCCCATCGTTTCTACCTTTATAGGCTCAGCCATTTGTATTCTGCTCCCAAGTCCTCCCGGCTTCATTCCCCACGTCTCCCAGTGAGATCCCTGGCCGGTCGTTCATTTTCCATTCCGCTTTCCCCCCAGATAGTCATTTTCACAATTAGGGATCTTTGCTTATGCCGAAACCTTTAACTGAAATAGCCTCTCTAGCGACCTACTTTCCTATCTCAAACTTGGCAATCATTTTTTTTTTAATTTATTATTATTATACTTTAAGTTTTAGGGTACATGTGCACAATGTGCAGGTTAGTTACATATGTATACATGTGCCATGCTGGTGCGCTGCACCCACTAACTCGTCATCTAGCATTAGGTATATCTCCCAATGCTATCCCTCCCCCCTACCCCCACCCCACAACCATCCCCAGAGTGTGATGTTCCCCTTCCTGTGTCCATGTGTTCTCATTGTTCAATTCCCACCTATGAGTGAGAATATGCGGTGTTTGGTTTTTTGTTCTTGTGATAGTTTACTAAGAATGATGATTTCCAATTTCATCCATGTCCCTACAAAGGACATGAACTCATCATTTTTTATGGCTGCATAGTATTCCATGGTGTATATGTGCCACATTTTCTTAATCCAGTCTATCATTGTTGAACATTTGGCTTGGTTCCAAGTCTTTGCTATTGTGAATAATGCCGCAATAAACATACATGTGCATGTGTCTTTATAGCAGCATGATTTATAGTCCTTCAGGTATATACCCCGTAATGGGATGGCTGGGTCAAATGGTATTTCTAGTTCTAGATCCCTGAGGAATCGCCACACTGACTTCCACAATGGTTGAACTAGTTTACAGTCCCACCAAGAGTGTAAAAGTGTTCCTATTTCTCCACATCCTCTCCAGCATCTGTTGTTTCCTGACTTTTTAATGATTGCCATTCTAACTGGTGTGAGATGATATCTCATTGTGGTTTTGATTTGCATTTCTCTGATGGCCAGTGATGATGAGCATTTTTTCATGTGTTTTTTGGCTGCATAAATGTCTTCTTTTGAGAAGTGTCTGTTCATGTCCTTCGCCCTCTTTTTGATGGGGTTGTTTGTTTTTTTCTTGTAAATTTGTTTGAGTTCATTGTAGATACTGGCTATTAGCCCTTTGTCAGATGAGTAGGTTGCGAAAATTTTCTCCCATTTTGTAGGTTGCCTGTTCACTCTGATGGTAGTTTCTTTTGCTGTGCAGAAGCTCTTTAGTTTAATGAGATCCCATTTGTCAATTTTGTCTTTTGTTGCCATTGCTTTTGGTGTTTTAGACATGAAGTCCTTGCCTATGCCTATGTCCTGAATGGTAATGCCTAGGTTTTCTTCTAGGGTTTTTATGGTTTTAGGTCTAACGTTTAAGTCTTTAATCCATCTTGAATTGATTTTTGTATAAGGTGTAAGGAAGGGATCCAGTTTCAGCTTTCTACATATGGCTAGCCAGTTTTCCCAGCACCATTTATTAAATAGGGAATCTTTTCCCCATTGCTTGTTTTTCTCAGATTTGTCAAAGATCAGGTAGTTGTAGATATGTGGGGTTATTCCTGAGGGCTCTGTTCTGTTCCATTGATCTATATCTCTGTTTTGGTACCAGTACCATGCTGTTTTGGTTACTGTAGACTTGTAGTACAGTTTGAAGTCAGGTAGCATGATGCCTCCAGCTTTGTTCTTTTGGCTTAGGATTGACTTGGCTATGCGGGCTCTTTTTTGGTTCCATATGAACTTTAAAGTAGTTTTTTTCCAATTCTGTGAAGAAAGTCATTGGTAGCTTAATGGGGATGGCATTGAATCTGTAAATCACCTTGGGCAGTATGGCCATTTTCACAATATTGATTCTTCCTACCCATGAGCTTGGAATGTTCTTCCATTTGTTTGTATCCTCTTTTATTTCCTTGAGCAGTGGTTTGTAGTTCTTCTTGAAGAGGTCCTTCACATCCCTTGTAAGTTGGATTCCTAGGTATTTTCTTCTCTTTGAAGCAATTGTGAATGGGAGTTCACTCATGATTTGGCTCTGCGTTTGTCTGTTGTTGGTGTGTAAGAATGTTTGTGATTTTTGCACATTGATTTTGTATCCTGAGACTTTGCTGAAGTTGCTTATCTACTTAAGGAGATTTTGGGCTGAGACAATGGGGTTTTCGAGATATACAATCATGTCGTCTGCAAACAGGGACAATTTGACTTCCTCTTTTCCTAATTGAATACCCTTTATTTCCTTCTCCTGCCTAATTGCCCTGGCCAGAACTTCCAACACTATGTTGAATAGGAGTGGTGAGAGAGGGCATCCCTGTCTTGTGCCAGTTTTCAAAGGGAATGCTTCCAGTTTTTGCCCATTCAGTATGATATTGGCTGTGGGTTTGTCATAGATAGCTCCTATTATTTTGAGATATGTCCCATGAATACCTAATTTATTGAGAGTTTTTAGAATGAAGGGTTGTTGAATTTTGTCAAAGGCCTTTTCTGCATCTATTGAGATAATCATGTGGTTTTTGTCTTTGGTTCTGTTTATATGCTGGATTACATTTACTGATTTGCATATATTGAACCAGCCTTGCTTCCCAGAGATGAAGCCCACTTGATCATGGTGGATAAGCTTTTGGACGTGCTGCTGGATTCGGTTTGCCAGTATTTTATTGAGGATTTTTGCATCAATGTTCATCAAGGATACTGGTCTAAAATTCTCTTTTTTGGTTGTTTCTCTGCCTGCCGTTGGTATCAGGATGATGCTGGCCTCATAAAATGAGTTAGGGAGGATTCCCTCTTTTTCTATTGATTGGAATAGTTTCAGAAGGAATGGTACCAGTTCCTCCTTGTACCTCTGGTAGAATTCGGCTGTGAATCCATCTGGTCCTGGACTCTTTTTGGTTGGTAAGCTATTGATTATTGCCACAATTTCAGATTCTGTTATTAGTCTATTCAGAGATTCAACTTCTTCCTGGTTTAGTCTTGGGAGAGTGTATGTGTCGAGGAATTTATCCATTTCTTCTAGATTTTCTAGTTTATTTGCGTAGAGGTGTTTGTATTATTCTCTGATGATAGTTTGTATTTCTGTGGGATCGGTGGTGATATCCCCTTTATCATTTTTTATTGCATCTATTTGATTCTTCTCTCTTTTTTTTCTTTATTAGTCTTGCTAGTGGTTTATCCATTTTGTTGATCCTTTCAAAAAACCAGCTCATGGATTCATTAATTTTTTGAAGGGTTTTTTGTGTCCGTATTTCCTTCAGTTCTGCTCTGATTTTAGTTATTTCTTGCCTTCTGCTAGCTTTTGAATGTGTTTGCTCTTGCTTTTCTAGTTCTTTTAATTGTGATGTTAGGGTGTCAATTTTGGATCTTTCCTGCTTTCTCTTGTGGCCATTTAGTGCTATAAATTTCCCTCTACACACTGCTTTGAATGCGTCCCAGAGATTCTGGTTTGTTGTGTCTTTGTTCTCGTTGGTTTCAAAGAACAAACTTGGCAATCATTTCTAACGATGCAAATGAAATTTCACCTCCTGTGGGTTCGTTTTTCCTTTGAGAATACTGCATATTTTGCACAATGTCTATAACAGCATCCGTGATAGTTTTGCAATCTAATGAAATAGGTATGAGTTTGTTTCAAGCCATTGAGGTGCAAGGCTCGTGAAATGTATTCCTTTAATTTTCTAAGGCAAATTATCTAAACCAAGTGAAGAGTCCTCCATGCATGTGGATGGATATTCAGTATTTCAAGCATTCCCTCCTTTCTCTGCGTTCTAAGGGTTTCTAAACGAAAGCCACCCGTGTCATTAGGTGATCATTGGTAACAGAGCCCCTGGGACATCCCCACATCTCCAAGCAACCACACAGGCCCCCGGATGTCCCTTGCTGCCTCCTCAGAGCCACCGGGGAGCTGAAGTCCAGCCGTCAGGCACCCTCCCCTCCAGCTCCCACCCTATGACCGTCTTAGCAAGTATGTTTGTCTCTGCATTTGAGCCCCCGCCCCCTCACCTTCATTAATGCCTTGCTCCCTCTTTCCTATAGAGTGGCTGAGAGCTTTGCCTTTTTAAGGTTAGGTTTTCATAAACAAAGGCACATTAATTCCTTCAGGGGACAAGGGAAACACTTTACTCAGCGTCTCTAGGCAGGGCTATGCACAATAACTCATTCTTTACTAATGAACCATGGAAAGAAAGAATTTACCACCCAGATTAGACTCTGGCCCGTGTACTTGGTGATGTGCTGGTCTCTTCATTTGTAAGGTAGCCTTCTAAAAAGGAAGACCTGTATCTTATTTTGCTCATAGAGCCAATGCTTATATACAGAAGAATATTGTACACAATATTCTGTATACGACTTTTTATATCGAATGGTCATGGACTAATAATAAATACAACAACAACAACAAAAATACAATTGGCATAGAGTGCTAAATATACACAAATTTAGACAAAGGACCTTAAGTCCCATTGCCTGCAGGGGCCAGCTTGGTGCAGTAAATAAGTGACCCAGGTCGAGGGGATGGGCAGCTGCAGACACCACCCCGGGGACACTGAGCATCCAGGGGATGGGTAACTGCAAACACTACCCCAGGGACACTGAGCATCCAGGGGATGGACAACTGCAAACACCACCCCAGGGACACTGAGCATCCAGTTGTTGACGATCTGGATGGTAGGTCCAATTTTGCCAGATTTCTAACTTTTCAAGACAAGTTATAATAGCACATTTTCAGGGATATCATCTAACTTTTAAATCTTGTCTGTGAACTGATATTGTTTTATAAACATCTGTAAATAAAATGAAATATTTACACAAACCAGATGTGGCCTGAAGGCAGCTAGTTTGAAACTTCTGGAGTAAAATAATATATGAAAAGTATGAAAAACAGGAATCAAATAGCAAGAAAGATGAAGTAGACAGAGAGTTACATCAGACAACAAAAGCAATAATGCAGCGAGGACAATGATGAAAACCATGGAAAATGATGCAAAAACAAGGGAAAGGGTGAAGAAAAGGGAAGATGGAGAGAATTTTATAACATTATTTCAAAAGGCCATGTGAATAGTAGAATATAAATTTAAATTGTCTTTTTCATCTTCTAACAAATGCAAAACTATCAGATGTGATGCTGTGTGACCCATAGTAACTGCAAAGTGAGAAGGATTTATGAATAGAAACATACCACATATAACAGGACGCCAGAGCTATTTTCCCCCTTTCCCTCTATTTCTTTACCCTGTAGCTTAGAAGAGTCAGGCTTGACGAAACACCTTCCTCTTCCTTCTCACTTATTTTTCTGGCCCACAGTAAGCACCAAACAGGTTTCTTCAGGGAATGATGTGGCTGTGTCTCCACTGGGATTCTGCTTTCTGTTTCAAACAAATCCATCTGCAGTCTATAAAATAGCATGATTATCATCGTGTTGGTAGGCTTTGTCTTTTGCGTTTTACTTAACATGTGTGCCAGGAGATTTGGTGATGGATGTATTTTCATAAACTTAATATAAACATAATATCTGCTACAGAAATCTCTACTGTGATCTTAATTGATAATGCCAGGAGAGAAAGTACTGATGGATATTCTGTTTACACCCTGTTCCTTAATCACCAAAAAAAATCACTCTGAAAGCGGGGGGCAAGTGAAAACTGGAGACCATTGCATTTGTGTTTCGGCAAGTTTCAAACAAAACATCAAAAACAGACTTTGCTTACATGTGTCAATGCATGAAGAAGTAGACTGTAAAATGGCCGGCAATGGTCTCCTTCGAGAAATGCAGATGCAAGGATGTAAAAAAAAAAGTTGTACTTGTACTGCCAAGATTTTTTTTAATTGGAATTATTTTTAGTTATTATTTATATGTGAGGGCATAATAATTTCTTTCTTTCTTATGGTTTGTATTAGTCCATTCTCATGCTGCTAATAAAGACGTACCCAGAACTGGGTAATTTATAAAGGAAAGAAGTTTAATTGACTCACAGTTCCACATGACCGGGGAGGCCTCAGCAAACTTACAATTATGGTGGAAGGGGAAGCAAACATGTTCTTCTTTACATGGCAGCAGGAAGGAGAAGTGCCCAGCTAAAAGGGGGAACAGCCCCTTATAATGCCATCACATCTTGTGAGAACTCACTCACTATTATGAGAACTGCATGAGGGTAACCGCCCCCATGGTTAAATTACTTCCCACCAGGCCCCTCCCATGACACATGGGAATTATGGGAACTCCATTTAAGATGAGATTTGGGTGAGAACACAGCCAAACCATATCACAGTTTTCTGGGGTCCTATCCAGGCCCAGGATCTCTGTCTGAGAGAAACACTTTGCATCTCCACGTTTCTGTCTTCATTACCCTCATTAGCACCTACTCAGTCGCTAACCCGCTGAATGTGACATCCTTTCATTTTTATGTTTGCCTTCATTCTTATCTTTGCTTTTCAAAACGTTTTCCTTTGCTGATGAGCTTTTTAGTACTTTGCCTTGCTTCCTTTGCTTGCTAACAATAAACTAATATAAGAGGAGTTTAAGAAAACCTTGGGTATGTGTTAGAAATTTATAAGCAATAACAGGAACAAAACATGTCATTTATCGATAGCATATGTGATTGAATTCCTTTCATCTGTTATAAATCACCTTAATTTCAAACATGCAAAATAGGTCCACTGTTCTACCTTATTAGAAGAATTAGGGTCCTGAGGTTCAAAGAGGTTTACTTACTTGTCCAAGGCTGTATGGTTAGTGACGCTTCAAACCAGAACCCAATCCCAAATGACTGAAGCTAAAAATCAAGCATTTTCCACTGTGAGCCTGCATCTCGTGTTTAAAGCTGATTCACATATAAGAGGTTGTGTCATTAAGGGCTCATCCATCCACAGATGTGTGCTTTCACTCAATAAACATGGCTTTCCTGCTGGTGAGAGGCCAGGCATCTACTCCAACACATCCCAAGGAGCTTCACTAAGAGTGAGGAGATACCAGAAACGTACACACATGCACACGTGCACTCCCAATGTCATTCCTGATGTTTTGAAACGCACATAGAAATGCTCTAAAATCAATTTTTAAAAGCTTGTGAAATTTGTACAGATGTTGGGGCTCAGATCATAGGCATTAAAATGTACATTTATGTTTTGGACAGGTAATCATTGAGTGATTTCCTTCAAGAACTTGCCAGGCTAAAAATGATATTAACATTACTATAGAATAATGCCACTTTAAACACATGTGGCAAACGCTGCTGGAACAAATATTGTATGTTAAAGAGATTGGCAGATAAAATTTTGGCTGACGACTTGGAGTTTTGAATTCCAGTCACACATCTGTTCTCCCATCCTCAAAAAGCTGAATCACCTGGGGCCTTGTTTTCTCATATATCAACTTAATGATGACTATAATTCTGCCTAGCTCCACAGCTCTGTTATCCTAAAATGAAAAACAGCAAACACACCATTGTAGGACTACAGAATCTTTATTTATCATTCACTCTTTCAACTACAAATAATAAGAACCTACATTTGATCAGTTATAGCAATGGGAAAAACACACAAACACCCAAACAGTAATGTTCTGCTCTCCTGAAAGTTCCATTCTCATTAACAGAGATTAGCAATAAGCAAATACAGAAATAACTGTATAGCCTGTCAGAAGGCAGTAATTACTATGGAGAAAAAAAAAGAAATAGAAGAAAAGGGAAAGGGGATGTCAGAAAGAGCCTGATGGAGTGGGGAGCCAGCCTTGCCGTCATTTGAGGACCAAGGTTGGGAGGCAGAGGTAGAGACAGCTGTGACACCCAGAGGCAGGAGTTCTGTGCATGGACCTGATGGAGGGAGGAGTGGGGTGCTCATAATGGCAAGTGAGTGGTAGTGGGTATAGTCACAGCAGGGGACGCAGAGTGATGGAGCATGCAACCCTTGTAGACAGACCATTCTAGGGTCTTTATTTAGATGCATGGAAGCCATTGGAAGCTTTGAGAAGAGGGGGCCATGACTTAGTACAGGTCAAAGAGTCACTCTGGCTGCTGCACTGAGGACAGACATTGGGAGGAGGAGCCCCTGGGGAGCTGCTTGTGGGGAATCACAGTAAACCAGCAGGAAGTTCACAGTGAAAACGGTGTGGGGTGAAGAATGGTCAGATTCTGGATTCACTTTCAAGATGGAGCCAAAGGGACTTGCTGGTTAAATTGAAAGTAGAATGTGAGAGAAAGACAAGCATCAGGAACGTCTTCCATGCTTTTTGACTGAGCTACACAAATGGGGTCTGAAGGGCTGTTGTTGTGGGAAGGTTGAGGGCAAAGCTAGTGGGAAGAAAACCAGGAGAGGATGAGGCAACAGAAGTCCAATGAAGGTGGGGCTTCAAGGGAGAGTTGTGAACTCTTCCCAGTGCAGCTGATGGGGTAAGTGGCATTAAGAACTGACATTTTTATTTGATGTAGCCATGTGGGGGCCATCGTGACATTCCAAAGGGGTGTTTCAGGAAGAAAGACTGATGAGAGATTATTCAACAGCCAAGGGAAAGAGAGAAGTTGGAGCCACAGACATGCCCCCTTTTGAAGAGTTTTTCTTAGGAAGGGATCAGGGAAACTGAACTGTGGCTGAAGTCATGGCATCACGTTTCTTGATTTTACAAAAAAATATTGGCAGTGTCTTTCTATGCACATGGAAATGATGTAGTTATGAAAAGTGATGCAGGAGAAATGTGGAAGAAAGGATGGGGATTTCGGGAGGGCATGAGGGGCGCCTTGCCTTTGCCTGGAAGATGGGCAGATCTCGTACGGCAATGAGAGAAGCAGAGAACAGGATGGAGTCTCACCAGAGCTGGAAGATGTTGTATTTAAAGTGTATTAAGGACATAAACAGACACTTCCCAAAAGAAGATTTTGAAGCATCTTTCTGCCACCATGCAGGCACTTACAAAATGGAAAGAGAGATGTATTTTATTAGGCATTTTATTTATTTGTCCCTACAGGGAAGAACAAACAAGTTTTTTCTACTGAGAGAAGGAATGCCAAAGGTTAATCTGAAAGTTTGAGAAGAGAAAATAAGATGATGAATAAAGCCGCTATAAGCATCTGTGTGCAGCAGGCTTTTGTGTGGACATAAGTTTTCAACTCCTTTGGGCAAATACCAATAGGCATGTTCTGAGGCTTTGGCCATTTTAATAGGTGGGTGAAGGTATCTCGTTGTTTTTTTTTTTGTTTTTTTTGTTTTTTTGTTTTTTTTTTTTTGAGACTGAGTTTTGCACTGTCACCCAGGCTGGAGTGCAGTGATGTGATCTCAGCTCACTGCAACCTCCACCTCCCAGATTCAAACAATTCTCTTGCTTCAGCCTGTCAAGTAGCTAGGATTACAGGTGCACACCACTATTCCTGGCTAATTTTTTGTATTTTTAGTAGAGATGGAGTTTCACTATGTTGGCCAGGCTGATCTCAAACTCCTGACCTCATTATCCACCCACCTTGGTCTCCCAAAGTGCTGGGATTACAGGCATGAGTCACTGTGCCTGGCCTCATTTTTGTTTTAATTGTTTGCCATATTTTTACTTCCCTAAAGTGTCAGACTACATAGCTTATATGTACTGATGATTTCCAAACATCTTTTTTTTTCTAGTTCACTAATCCTCTCGTTATTAACTCAGATTTAATGTTTCTTTATTTAACTTTTAGTTTCAGGGGTACATGTGCAGGCTGGTTCTATAGATAAATTGTGCATCATGGGGGTTTGGCGTACATATTATTTTGTCAGTCAGGTAATGAGCATAGTACCTGATCAGTGGTTTTTCCATCCTCCCTTCCTCCCCACATCCTCATGCGGGCTCTAGTGTTTCCTGTTTCCCTCTTTGTGTACTCGTGTACTCAGTGTTTAGTGCCCATTTTCAAGTCAATGGGACTTAATTCAACTAAAGAGCTTCTGTGCAGCAAAAGAAACTGTCAGCAGAGTAAATAGACAACCCACAGTAAAGGAGAAAATCTTGGCCGACTATTCATCTGACAAAGGTCTGATATCCAGAATCTCCAAGGAACTTAAACAAATTAACAAGCAAAAACAAACAACCCTGTTAAAAAGTGGGCAAAGGACATGAACAGACACTTCCCAGAAAAAGATATTCAAACATCTTTCTGTCACCATGCAGGTCTTTCTAACCAGAACTGGCATTTCTGTTCTCTTAAAGATCTGAAGTTTAGGCTGGGCGCAGTGGCTCATGCCTGTAATCCCAGCATTTTGGGATGCTGACGTGGGCAGATCACCTGAGGTCAGGAGTTTGAGACCAGCCTGGCCAACATGGTGAAACCCCCAGATCTACTAAAAACACAAAAATTAGCCAGGTGTGGTGACAGGCGCCTGTAATCTCAGCTACTCGGGAGGGAGGCTGAGGCAGGAGAATCTCTTGAACCCAGGAGGCGGAGGTTGCAGTGAGCCGAGATTGTGCCACTGTACTCCAGCCTGGGCAACAGAGCAAGACTCCATCTCAAAAAAACAAAAAAAAAGAAAGAAACAAAGAAAAAGAAAAAAAAAAAGATCTGAAGTTCAAAATTTCTTCAAATTACTTATTTACCTGCATAACTAATTTCATCTTCATAAGTCTTTGACTTGTTGGAACACAGTTATTTCAAAGGTACTCCTAACACCACACTATCCCTCCCATCACCCCCTCTTCCTGCTGCCCACATTTTTTTGACCACAAGCAAATTGTGCACATGAAAGCAACATAGCACAATGTTTATGAGCAGTGGCTTCACAGTGAAACACAGCAGAGTCTCCCGTGGGCGCAGCCGTTTTCTACAGCCGTATGGCCTTGGTCAAGACACTTGGATCCTCAGTTTCCTCAGATGTGAAATAAGCTCTGTAATTAAAAGTTGCTCAGCAGGAGAAAGTCAGGCAATACATACACAGCAGTAAGCACAAAAATCGTCTCCCACCAAATACTAGCACTCGTTCGTATTGAAAGCATGACCGTCTCTTCTAAGCTGAGCTCATCGCATATTTTCCCTGCCTTTCCTCCCCTCCTTGATTTCTCCAGCTACGGCTGCATCGTCTTCCACTGGACTGTCGTGCTGGGTGCTTACCTTTTTGAGTCCCTCCAGTTCTCCCTCCTGTTAGCTTAGACCTTTTAAAGAAATGTCCTTCCCTAACACAAGGCTAATGATATCATTTTATGCCTAACTATCTTCCTTAGAAACCAAAATGAAAATCAAGTCCACGCTTCTTTAAGAAACTCTCAAAGATTTTTGTACTTAATTTGGGTCCCACTGACTTTGTGACTTGTCTACGCTTGCAGAGCCGGCAAAGCGTGTTTGTTCAGCAATCCCAGCTCAACATCAGGCAGCCCCTGCTGCGCAGCTCCATCTGCTGGTGACACCTGCACACATCCCTGGAGCACCTGCTCACATCCCAGCTGTTCTCACAGGCCCCAATTCTCCATTTACACCTATGCACCTGCTCCCTTCGGGCGCTTCTGCACACCGCACTGTAGGGAGCATTCACCTGCTTTTCTCCTTTATGCTCCTCCAAACAGGAAGGCTCCAGTAGCCATTAAAGTGGATGGAGCATAGCTAATTTTCCAAATCGTATTGATGATGTCATCCACATTGCAAATAACTATATGGAATGTGAACAACATTAAACACTTCACCTTTCAGTACAGAGCGAATTCTAAGTATGACATAAAGTCATTAGAAGACTGTACATTTTGACGAGATTCAAGTTGCTATGATCATTAAAAGTAAAAGGGACTAGGAAATAACGGTGAACCTAGGAGTGCATTGATAACAATGAAATGCATATCTTTTGTCTATTTAAATCTTAAATCGGCGATTTCAGCATATTCTCTTTAGTAATCTCAGTGGGTTTGTAGTTACTCTGACAAATCTAATATCTTTACAATGTAGATATTCAACCAGCTTATCTATTTGACTGGATGGTACTGTGTTATCTGAATCTATTTTCCTTCTATTTGCTCAAGTGCAGTAGATGTCGCAAGTCATAATTTAAAACTTTGCCATTTGCTAATTCCTCCTTCCATCTGGCTGGATAATCTGAGCTTTTCCTTGTGTCTCCTCTATGTGTCTACCGCCCCAGGCCACAGGTTGAGAGTCTTTTTCCCGAAACTTGCCCTTCATGTCTTCCTCCTTTGACACCTGCTCAAAATGCTTCCCCCTTCAGTCACCACTGACCCCAAACCCTGACCATCTAGGATAAAAGTAGGTCTCAATGACATTTTAGTAACTGGCTGATCTAGTTTTGTTACAGGTTGATCAGAATGAATTTGAATTTTTTTTTTCTAAAAAGAGTGTTTTATGTTTCTAAACTCGAGTAGAGGACTACGCTAAATGACACTACGGTTCCTTTCTATTTCTTCTTCTTTTATGTAGTAGAATTTAAGATTTTAAGAAAGCTGCACTGAAATATTCATATAAAAAGAAAATTTCCATATGAAGCAGAAAAATCGAATCCAATCCAAGTCTTTTTTTTTTATAATACTGCATTTTTAAAGTCAATATTTGCCAAGAATCCTATTCATTTTTTTTTCTGTTTCTTTTATGAAAGCTCATTTATTTCAAGGGCAGAATCTATTTGAATCAGCCATCACTCTTCTTTTACAATAAGTACTGAATTTCATTAGATGTTAGGGCAATGACCTGGTTATGTATACTTCATTTATTGTCAAGTTTATCTCTGGCTCTGCCACAATAAATAACAATAAAATGTTATGAAAAAGGCCTATGATAGAGGCACTACTTGTGGACTATTTAAATCAAAGTACAGTATTACTTTCCTGTTTTTTAATTTTTTTATTTTTATGTATTTATTTTTGAGATGGAGTCTTGCTCTGTCACCCAGGCTGGAGTGCAGTGGCACGATCTTGGCTCACTGCAGCCTCCTTCTCCCGGGTTCAAGTGATTCACTTGCCTCAGCCTCCCGAATAGCTGGGATTACAGGCACCCACCACCATGCCCAGATAATTTTTTTATTTTTACTAGAGACACTGTTCACCCTGTTGGCCAGGCTGGCCTTGACCTCCTGACGTCAGGTGATCTGCCCAGGTCGACCTCCCAAGTGCTGGGGTTACCACCATGAGCCACTGCACCTGGCCAGTATTAATTTCCTATTTGCAGCTGGGTGATCATCCAGTGCATGGTTTCCCAGGTGGAATGGAAATATCAGTGATACTGGCCTGGCAAATCAAGAAAGCCATCACCAATCTCACTTCCTAGGTAAGCAGTGACATTTCTTGCTCTTCTGTGTGATCTTGGAATGTCCAAGATGCTGAGTGCCAATGTCACACAGATGTATGCCAATTGCCACCAATGTCACACAGATGTATGCCAATTCCCACCAGTGTCACACAGATGTATGCCAGTTCCGACCAGTGTCACACAGATGTATGCCAGTTCCCACCAAACCAACGAAACAAACAATTTTGAGGGAAGATGTGACAATCATTCACGACTACTAACTTAGCGGAAAATACTGAAATGTCATCTTACTGAATGAATTTGATTAAATGTCACTTTAGGAATCTACCTTCAAAAATGGTTTTAAAAAATTCTTGTGAAAATGAGCTATGAAGTGAGGTCTTTGAAGGGATCTGATTTGGATTGGGGCCTTAAAGAGCACTCAAAATTCCCTATTGGTTCTGAAACACAAGACTTCACATCCCTCAGACATGGCTGCTGCGGCTCGTGGTTCTGTCTGCACTGCATTTTGCATTTTGCTAACCCAGATGGGGTTTCATATTTGTTTAATGGGCTTTATGTTCAGCATGTGTGTTAAATAATTGGTTTCTCAAAAGTGAAAAAAAAATGGGTCTCCCTTTGTCCCCTTCAGTCAGTAATTTTTTTTCTTCCTCCTTTATAATAAGTCCCAGGTTTATTATTAGCTCTTTTGTGACACTCTGTGGCCTCTATTCTGCAATAACTCACTTGAGCATGGAGTTGCTGCCAGGCCTCTGGCCACACGGTAATAGCTCACCACTTTTGTCATCATCTGGTGTTCAATTTTGATGGCAAGGGGACACATCCTGCCAAATATATCAGTCCATGCTCTGGTCTCATTTTAAAAGATTTTCAGGTTGTAGCAACAAAAGCTGTACTTTTGGCATAAAACTAGTTCAAACTTAAACCAATCCCCAATGTATTGGTTACCAGTCACCAATGTCAGGAATTTACCCTAAAGAGTGGCCATATTAGGACAATACTTTTCGATTTTCTTACAAGTAATTCAATTTATCATAGATAATGACAGATACGATTCAAAAATACTTACACTCAATGCCATTTTAAAAAAAGTAATTTTTCTAAAATTCTGTCATATGGTGAGTGGTTTCACCCAAGCTACAGATATTTAAAAGGCCTTATTTAACATGGAATGATTATGGTTTTCTCACATGACGGAAAATATTTTCATGGCGAGCAACTTTCATCGAGAGATAAACAGAACAAAAATAGATGATACGACCAGAGTGACTGCAGAATTAGTTCAGGCCATCTGGTTTGGGAAAGGCCATATACATGTGATGTAAAGAGCTCAAGCAGTGTGATGCAAATACTGGAAACCCCATAACGGTCCAATGCCGTCCCAGAGCACACCAGAGGTGCGAAGGCGGGAGGGAAATTCTCTGTACTCACAGGAAGCCTTCCAATTGAGATTTAGAATTGTCTTTGTTTTTTTTTCCATGAACTTCTGTTTTAAGTTCTGTGGTACGTGTGCAGGATGGGCAGCTTTGTTATATATGTAAATGTGCGCATAGTCACACGCACAATGTCACCTTCTGTGCACACCCCAATCCCAGGCCCCACACAGAGTCCCCCTCTGTGCACCTCACTCCCAGGCCCCACACAGTGTCCCCCTCTGTGCACACCCATTCCCATGTCCCACACGGAGTCTCCCTCTGTGCACCTCACTCCAGGGTCCCACACAGTTTCCCCCTCTGGGCACCTCACTCCCAGGTCCCACCCAGTGTCCCCGTCTGTTCACACCCCATTCCCATGTCACACACAGTGTCCCCCTCTGTGCGCCTCACTCCCAGGTCCCACACAGTGTCACCGTCTGCACATCTTGTTGTCAGGTACTTGTCTATCTTCCCTGGCAGCACGTCTTCCACCTCATGGCTCGTACCCCACACACTGCAGCCATAGCTTCTGGTTCTTGCCCTTGCTGTATTGCTACAGTCCCTCAATAGAGCACACGTATTTCTAAAATGTAAAATAAGTATTATTTTTGCTAAAGAATATTAACTCATCCATGAGTTAAAAGTAATTTGGATAGCCCCGTCGAATACATTTTCAAGCATTATATTCTCAGCTTTGATTTTCCTCAGTAGCTTGACTCTCTAAGAATAGCTCTCAATATTTCTTTCCATCATTGAGGTTCCAGTCCAAATTTGTAATTCAGAGGAATGTCTGTGATCCAGAAAGTTAAGAAAATTATTTCCCAAGCTGATTATGATTTGGAATTTAATATCGCCTGGTTTATCCTAGCAGAAGTTATTGTTTCTTTTTGTTGTAGTTAACCATAGAAATAATAACACTATTCATAATCATGTCTCATAATTTCTTTGTACATAACTTTTAAGAGGAGTTTATAGTCTGGTTTCTAAACATACTAATTATTTCTACATGTGTGGTCTTGGGTGTCCTCTGTGGCATTCCGGACTTACTCTCGAGGTGGGAGAACTAGAAAGGGCCATATGAAGACGTATCCTTCATGACAGGTGCTGTCCTGAAGGTGGCTGCAGAAGGAGCAGCTCAGAGCAAAGGCAGAAACGCCAGCCAGGGGGAGCCTGCAGGGCAGGGAGGCCCATGAGGTCGGGAGCTGGCAGTAGAGGCAAGGAAAGAGTGACAGAACTGGCTGCCTGCAAGATTCACAGCAAATGCAGACATGCACCGTGTAAGACACAGAAGCACTGTGCTCAGAAAGCCAAGTCCTAAAGCAAGGCACATATGGGCTAGGTTTTTTAATTTTTTAAATATTTTTTAATTTTAATTTTTATTTATTTTTTATTTTGAGATGGAGTCTTGCTCTGTTGCCCAGGCTGGAGTGCAGTGGTGCGATCTTGGCTCACTGCAACCTCCACCTCCCAGGTTCAAGTGATTCTCCTTCCTCAGCCTCCCGATTAGCTGGGATTACAGTGCACCATGCCCAGCTAATTTTTGTATTTTTGGTGGAGATGGGGTTTCACCACGTTGGCCAGGCTGGCCTCGAACTCCTGACCTCAGGTGATCCTCCCATCTCAGTCTCCCAAACTGCTGGGATTACAGGAGTGAGCCTCTGTGCTTGGCAAGGGTCTTTCAGATGTAGAGTCCAGAAGCAGGTGTCAAGAAATGGGTAGACAACTGCAAGACACATGTAAACTCCTGCACTTCTACTTCACAGCAGGAGGAGCCCATCTAGCCTCTGCTGTCCCAGGTGGGCCTTAAGAGGAAATTGGCCGGCAAAGCTGGCAGAGGTTTTGTTACTTAACTACTCACGGCTCACTGTTCAAAAGCGGGTCCAGAACCTGCCAGGATAACATCTGGAGGCTTTTTCCTGTATCTCCATTTAGAAGAAGTCAAGGCCACCAAGGCCCCCTGAACCCTGGAATGCACCTGACAAGTCACGTGGCCTCCTCGCAGCCCTGCGGTAGATCTTGGCAAGGAAAACCTTGAACCTGGTGGCAGGGGTGTATAGTCCTCTTCTTTAACCCCGCAGCCGTGGCTGGCAGCTGCACGAAGGTGCTATACAAAGGCTCCACTGTGGTTTGAGCACTAGAGTAGCAGGTTAAGATGGTTTTTCCAACAGTAATTTTTACATCACAGAATAACTAAATAACTGTCGTCCTTAGTACAGGCTTCCCTGTCAAAGAACGCTTGGCCATTGTGGAGATTATAAATGATAGTGGCCCTTAGAGTGACAAAATGCATATAGTCACAGTTTTATACAAAAATTCTTTTAAGTTCTATACAGAGTACAATACTCATAATTTTGAATATTATACAATTTGTGTAATGACATAATAGATCCAGTTAAATATACTGTAGTATGTGATTTAATTAGGGGGTTATGTTCTGCAATTGAATTATTCAAGGATTTTAAGGATTTTACTGTGTAAAATATGTGAGTACATTTATGAGGATTCCAATTTGCTGGACTTTCTCATTGGTGGTGATCATCTTCAACTTCTGCAGATGGTTTTGTACATTTCTCAAATTTTCTGATGCCTTAAGGATACCTCAGGAGCCCACCTACAAGAATCTGGTCTGCAGCAGAGTGTGTTTTCCAGCCCATTGACACATGTCAGTCATAGGCTCAGGATAACTAGACTAACATGAGGCATTACATGGGAGGATCAAAAGAGGACACCCTGATACAGATATTAATAGAACATCACGAACTTTTCATTGGCAGCAGCAGGAGTGCAAGGTGGACAGCTGATTTGCCCCTACAGTTGGGCTGTAACAGAGAGAAATATTCGTCCAATGACAGATTGAGATATATGCCTCCAAGATTTCAGATGAAGCACCTCATTGGCGAATTGGAAAGAGGGATCCTAGTTACTTCACATATCTGTGTCAGCAAAGCTGTAGGCACCCCCTTCCCTGGGGCAGGTGCACCTCACAGCAGTCCTGTGAGAGGAGACACAATTTGCCTAGAAAATAAGCAATGCAGTGCCGTGCACTCAAGCATGGAATGGAATTCATTCATGACTGCGGCCTCCTCATGGTAACTCGTTTTTCTAGGTAAGTGTTTTCCTCAATCAAGAACTGCAGAGTAAGAGCCATGGTTAGTTACCATTCCGTTCCATTATCGTTTGTGTCTTTATTTCATTTTATTTCACTTTGCCAATTATGTACTCTTAAATTTTCAAATCTTAAATCTTTTTGAGATGAGAATCCTTTTCTCTGCCTACGTGAGTCTACAGTGCTCACTGAATGGAGAAACATAAGTTAACACATGAAAGTACGAGTAGACAACTTACTTGGAATTTTGTTGAGAAAGGGCTGGAAATAAGCACAGTGTTCATTCGATGAGTTGAATGAACCAAGCATTGTGTGGGGACTGGAGCTATCTAGAGAAAAGGTCCTCGCTGAGCACTCAGGCTAGCAGGGCTGTAAAACCCAAGGACGTCAGGACACATGGCGTGATGATGAAGTGAAGGAGGCCCGGATGGTGCTTGGAATAGAGGTGCCCGGTGACACAGGCATTCAATAAATATCCAGTGAGGTGATAAGTGAATCGGTACATCTATAAATAAGTGAAAAGAGGAGCTCAGAGAAGACTCAATCCGTGCGAATGGGAGGGATGCCTGAAGGCTTTATGAAGAAAATGTGCTGGGAAAATGCATTCCAGGTCATTGACAGACATTTTGCAAAGGGATCATCAGCCTAAACTCACCTCTCAGATTTTTCAGTGATTCTGGAACTCCTGAATAAAATGATGTCACTATTTCAATCCTATTAGTTTTCCTCCTTTTACCATTATTTCAACAGTATTTGACTAAGAATTGCTCAGTACCTTGGAAGCCTGTTTGTGGGAATTGATTCAGGCCTCTGAAGAAGCTGAGGGCTCCAGGCATGTTTGCAGGGGTAAGGGTTTGCTTCTCTCCGGTGCCTGGAGCTTGACTGTAAGTTTTTGACTTGAAGTCAGGTTGCAAACTGGCTTCGGACTTTCCCATGCTTCATATTCTCCTGACCATGCCCCCTCAACACTGGAGTTGTAGATGCTGCATTTCCTGGTGACACTGCTACTAACGGCGAATGGATTCATTTCTGATTTACCCCAGACTGGGGGTACAGCTTTTTGAGGCTCACCTTTGCAGTCAGGGAGAAAATCTCCAATTGGATTTCCCTTACTTAGTGGGTTCTGGTTTCAGACGCTGGAGCCTGTGAGAACCAACACTCACATTTTACCTTGCGGGGAAAGACAACTTCAGTGGTCTACTTGTGGCTTTCTCTTACCCTAAAGGTAAGAATTCCTTACTTAATTGCCAGCAAGTGGTGGCGTTTAAGAAATTATTGAATTTTATCTGGATTTGAGGTTGATTCCATGAGGAGGTATGGCCCAGGGATCCAACTTGCTGTGGTATCAAAAATGCATGTGATGATCATTTTTAAAGCAAAAGGAGACTTTTTATCCCCAGTTTGTGCATAATATATTTCTAAGGAGTTAGTAAGAAAATGCAAAGTCTGATTCCCAAACCAAGAATTTCTTCATAAGCAGAATTTAAACCTGACTTCCACCTTGAATTTACATTTTTGGAATCCTGTAAGACTTAGATATGAATTGAAACACACACACACACACACACACACACACGGAAGCTTCAGTATTCCCCTCCAAGGTCCAGAGTCTCAAACACCCTCCCACACATGTGGACATTAGCATAATGGGCAATGAAATAGAGACAATGAGATATTTTGTGTGAAATTGCCTTCCATTGTAGATTTAATATCAATGCAGATTTCTCTCATTTAATATTTGATTTATAAGTCTGATGATAACACCATGTTTTTCAAATTCTCTATCATAAATCAATCTTCTGTAACATATTTACAATGTCTACAATCATACAGGAGAATGGGTCTTTTTCACCTGTTTTATTATAGATGCGTGTGTTGCATGATGTCTCATTAACCCTTCAACTCCACTTATTCTTCCTGAGGGTCATTTCCTACGCAGTTCATAAATGTAGACTTGTAGACGAGTTAAAGTTTATGTGCTTAAGATTTTAAACCATAGTGGTTTCACAAAGAAGGAATAAGTGTGCCTCAAAGAAAATAGATCTTTGTATCTACTTGAAAAGAAATTTGGTCCCAGAAGTTTAAAATATTTATGTAATGGTTTTAAGTTTGTAACATATACCAAGAGTATCTTATTTGAGAAAAAAATCTTTTGAAGACATAAGTTTCATATCTTTTTAAAAATTAATAGACTTTCTTTTCTGAGCAGTTTTAGGTTTACAGAAAAATTAAACAGAAAGTACAGAGTCCCTTGTATCCTCTGACACCACCCCTGGGTCTCCACTCTGTCAAAATCCTGCACTAGTGAGGTGCATTTGTTAAAACTGATGAACTAGCATGATACATTTTAGTAATTAAAGTCCTCAGTTTGCTTTAGGGTTCACTGTTGGTGTTGTAGGGCTCTAGAAGTTTTAACAAATGTGTAATGACATGTACCCACAACTATGGTATCATACAGGGTAGTTTCACGGCCCGAAAAATCCTCTGTGCTCTGCCTGTTCATCCCTCTCTTCCCGCAAACTCCAGTAGCCCCCAATCTTTTTACTGTCTTCATGGTTTTCCTTTCCAACAAATGTCGTAGAGTTGGAATCACACAGTATGTAACCTTTTCAGATGGGCTCCTTTCACTTAGTAGTGTGCATTTGTATTAGTTCATTCTCATGCTGCTAATAAAGACATACATGAGACTGGGTAATTTATAAAGGAAAGCAGTTTAATGGACTCAGTTCTGTGGGCTGGGGAGGCCTCAGGAAACTTACAATCATGGTGAAAGGGGAAGCAAACAGGTCCTTCTTCACATGGTGACAGAAATGAGAAGTTCTGAGCAATGGGGAAAAGTCCCTTATAAAACCATCAGATCACGTGAGAACTCACCCACTATCACGAGAACAGCAGCATGCGGGTAGCTGCCCCCATGATTCAGTTACCTCCCACTGGGCCCCTCGCATGACATATGGGGATTATGAGAACTACAATTCAAGATGAGATTTGGGTGAGGCCACAGCCAAACCATATCAACATTCAAGGTTCCTACATGCCTTTTTGTGGCCATGATAGCTCATTTGTTTGTCTTTCTTTCTCCTTTTTCCTGTTTTAGAGACAAAGTCTTGCTCTGGCACCCAGGCTGAAATGCAGTGGCATGGTCATAGCTCACTGTAACCTTGAACTCTACTCCAACAATCCTCCTGCCTCAGCCTCCTGAGTAGCTAGTACTACAGGTGTGCATTACTACGCCTGGCTAAGTTTTTTGGTTTTGAAACAGGATCTCACTATGTTGCCCAGGCCGGACTTGAACTACTGGCTTCAAACAATCCTCCAGCCTTGGTTTTCTAAAGTGTTAAGATTACAAATGTGAACCACGGCCCCTCGCCTCCCTTCTTTATATCACTGAATAACATTCCATTGCACGAATGTACCACAGCTTGTTTATTCATTCACCTATTAAAGAAATCTTCATTGCTTCCAACTCTTGCCAATTATGAAGAAAGCTACTATACACATCCATGTGAAGGTTGTTGTGTGGACATAAGTTTTTAGCTTACTTAAGTAGATATCTAGGACTATGATTGCTGGATCATATAATATGTTTAGTTTTATAAGAAATCTTCAAACTGTGTTCCAAAGCCACTGTGCTATTTTGCCTTCCCACCAGCCATGCATGAGAGTTCCTTTTGCTCCACATCCTCACCAGCATTTGGTATTGTCAGTGCTTTGGATTTTAGCCATTCTAGTAGGTGTGTTCAGTATGTCATTATTTTAACATGAGCTTTTCTAAAGTCTCTTTCATTTACTTAGTTCCGATCAGCATATTTTTTTTTTTTTTGGTGATATGTACAGATTGTTTGTCCATGTTTTAATTGGGTTATTTTCTTATTGCTGAGTTTTAAGGATTCTTTGTATATTTTGGGTATCAGTGTTTTATCAGACACACCTTTTAAAAACACTTGCTGCTAGTCTCTGGCTTGTCTTCTTATTGTATGAACAGTGTCTTTTGCAGAGCAGAGGTCTCTAATTTTAATGAAGTCCATTTTTTTCTTTCTGGTAAATTACACTCCAGGCAAGCTGAGCTCAAATCATTGACCAGAAGCATTTTAAATAGAATTTTCCCCTATGTATATGAAGTCAATACTAAGGTAGCGTGCATAAAACTCTCTTCCTGCAGGGACACGTGACGATATTCATGTCTGTGCAAAGGACAGCCTCACTCTCTGATGGTCTGATAGTGTGACTATCCACTATGCCTGGCCCACACAGCAAGCCAGACAGCCTTCAGCACCTCCGTATGCCTGACTACAGGCTCTGCATCCCTCCATCAAGGTGGATATGTGCTGTTCCAGGCCAAGTCCTACAGACGGGCTGGGGGTGGTAAGTCAGAGCTGGTTAAGTGATTCGGTCGCCTGGGTGAGCAAGCTGTGGCAAGAATCATAGCATCTTCCCATGGGCCCTGAGCCTGGGGCAGGATCTTAGAGCAGTGGTTCTCTGATTCTGGGATTTCAGGGCACGTGAGAATCACCTGCAGGGCTCCTGATAACTCAAATGCAGGACCCCCCATCCCCCAGTGGCTGATCCTGGAGACCTTGAATAGGGCTCCCTCTGAGTTTCTAAAGAACCATCAACTCTCACCAATGCCGATACCTCTTTCTGGAAACAGCATCAGAGGCATGGCTGGCTTTCTATTTCTTTCTTTCCCGTATGACAGCCTGGCCCACCCAGGCTCTATTCTGGGTATGAATGCACCGTCATAAGATTATCTTTCTTTTTAAAATTAAACCAGTATCTGATGAGTGAGCCAGGCCATGGAATAGTCCAGAACAATTCAAATATGGCTTAATATGGTGGGACCAACTCTTCACTGATTTTCTTCACTGATTTCACACGATACACACAGAGGTTCATGTGCTTTTAGAAACCCTTTTGGTTTATCATCCTCACACGTCTATGCACCCTAGGAATTATATATAAGATCTAGGGAAATAAAGGGGAGATTAATGTTATTAACCTAAGCCTGACTTTACCATAAAGCTTGAATAATGCAATTATGTCAGTGACAAGAAATCGTTCATCCGGATTTCCAATGCCAGAGTCATGCCAGAAGCACTGAGCGAGTTGTCTGTCTTCTTTGTGCTGGTGTGGTCTGGCTTCTGAAAGGAAAACTAAACTCTACCCCTTAATTTATAGAAACTGGACTGAATTCTAATTTTCTTGCTGAATTATGCAATGTTTCACGTTTTATTTTACAGTAGATATTAGAATTGAATGAAAATGTATCCCTGTTTTTCTAATAAGAGGCTATCACTATAACATGGCTTTTGTGGTCTTGTGTATGTGCACAAGTACACACACAGATAAGCATATGCACAGCTATTTATTCTCTTTTTGATTCCTTTTTTCTCCTCATCTGCATTACCTTTCCCCTTCCATTTTTGCCTTTTTCAAAATCTGCTCCTCTACTCTTGTCTTTGCTTCAGATGAGCATTAATGTCTTTAGTCACTGGGTCTTTGCATCTGAGGCTGGTACACTTGCCTGCATTAAATCAAAATGCATTCAGATAGGAAGTTTAGAATTACAGAACATTCTGTGTAGCCCAAGACTTTCAAAATCTATTTATGCAAAACCCTAGAGTGAATGTTATCACAACTATATTTACTGCTTGTTTCAGGACTTTTGTGCTGAGTTCAATGTGGCACGGGGGAAATTTTAATACCTGCAGGGGTTGAGCTTGTGTTGAGGTGATGTCCCACTAACAAAGGACATTAATTGGTTTATGGAGAAAAAGTAAATGTAAGAAATATAATAAATAGCAAGGATATTATAGGAAAGCACTTTCTACACATTGAGAAGGTCTCCATGCACTTATGGGTCTGCCAGGGGGACACAGACTCACAAGCAGCAAAGGGTGTGGACATACAGTGGGAGAACATCGCAGGTGGTATTTAGATTGCTGCACTTATTTGTGTTAATTTCAAAATGCAGGAGTGCTGCAACTGTGGGTTTCCTTTGTTAAGCAAAAGAGGGTGAGTTTTTTGAGCTGTCAAGAGAATTTGTCTCAGTAAGTGACAGATGTGACTAATCTTTTCACTCCAATATCCAATTTATTATTTCAGAAAATGCTGTGATAGTTGACCACCTTTAGTGAGTAGCAAGGACTTCATCCTTCAATAATCAAACTATGATATCATAATAAATTTTTAATAAAAATGTAATGCATAAATGGAAATGATCAATTTCCCATGTTAACTTAGAAAAAAAAGAGTACCTTTATATCAGCAGGCATCTAACCACTTATTTTGATTACAGTTAGAAAATGTGATGGAAAGCCTTTATTTTCTTCTGTAAGTAGGTGTCTGTATGTGTAAGAAGCCCAGATGTAAGGAATAAAGACAATTTATGTAACTTCTTAATGATGCACAAAAATCATACTGAAGCAGTTGAATCTAATTGCTTCTCGAATCTGTTGCACTGCTGAGCTACATTGTTATGGATCTGAAAAAACAGAAAGGTATCCATGACTTTCATACTTTGTAATCAGTGCTGGTTATTTCCTCTTTTCAAATCTGCTGGCTGTGAAAATGGACAATGCACACATACTGTGAGATAATATTCAACATAAAGCCAAATCTGAGATGAGCTGCATGTGCAAGGAAAGCACTCAATGATGACAAACAGGAAGCCTCCACCTCCACCTGCCATTACAGGTGACAGCCTGGCGGATGACAGAAGCAGTCAGTCCTTGCCCTCAGAAAGCCAACAATCTACTTGGAAAAAGAAGACATATGTTGATGGCTAAACAGTAGGTGTAAAGTCTAAGTTTCCAGAGAATGCAGAGAAGAAAGGAATGTTTGGATCAGAAGAATCAGGACTGACTTTCCGGAATGCGTGAGAATTGAAAAGCATCACAAGACAGACTGAAGTTTAATAGAATTAAGGAAGGGATGGGCTTTCCACAAGGATTTCCAGGTTGGGCAAAGAACATGAGCAGAAGTAAACTTGGTCCCCTCAACATCAATGAATCTAGTGCAGTGTCTTACCAATGCAAGCATGCACAGTCCCCACATATAAATACACACACTCACACCTCTCACAGACACAAAGAGACCCTACCTATACACACACATGTACACCCTACACACACGTACACACTATATACACACACACCCCTCTCACAGACACACACACACACCATACACACACACACACCTCTCACAGAGACCCTACATATACACACATGCACACCCTACACACATTCACACCTCCCACACACAACCCTTTCACACACACACTACATATATACACATGCACACACTACACATACAGACACACATAAATATACACAGATGACACACCCAAGCCCCACACCTACACACACACACCACACACACAGACACATTCGCACACAGAGACACATAATTCAAAAGAATACATTATTTTTACCTAAATTGGTGGTTTTTAATGATGACTCACCTGCCCTCTAAGCTTGGGAACTTCATGGGCAGTTTTGTTCTTTACAGTGTCAGGAACAGCTATGCTGGGATGCTCCACACCGCTGGATGAGTAGGTTTCCAGTGCAGGACCACATCCCATTTCTATAAAACTTCCGAATCTTTCTGAAGATGAGAAAACCTTCTTGTAACTACCTGAGTCCAGAATATGACTGCACTTCTTTTTCATATGAGATAAATCATTTTTACATGGTTTTTGCACACAAAAATAGGTTGAGAAAACGCTGTGTAATCTTTGATTATGAACTTTAGCACAAGTTCCTTTTTCTTGAAAAAAATACCTCCAGTTTCAATGACATGATGGCATTTTATTTGTTATTGAAGCAATTCCCATTTGTGTTTCTCTAGG
Source organism: Homo sapiens (assembly GCF_000001405.40). NCBI lineage: Eukaryota > Metazoa > Chordata > Mammalia > Primates > Hominidae > Homo > Homo sapiens. The sequence continues at coordinate 557,924 of NT_187576.1, forward strand.
CAGCGTTCATAAGAGTTCCTCACAAAGCTGCAAGCAGCCAACAATTTCATTGTTTTCAGTGTAAAACACAGTGGTCAATTAGAGGGAAATGCATGCCCATTCTGCTGTAAACTGTCCTTTTTTTTAATTTTTTATGCATATTATATTTATAAATGTTTTGATTTGATTTTACTTTTTTATGATATGCCTAGGTCAGTATGAATTTCAATAGAGGACAAAGAGAAGGGCTGATAAAACGTTTCATATAAAAAGGATGAATTGGGCAGGATAAATTTGAAAATCACTGATATCAATATTTGTGTATATATTAGAATTCATGTATTCAAAATTAAAATTATATATGTATATATAAAATACAACACAAAAACCCACGTATGTGCATATGGCTTAATGAAGTCATCTCTGTCTCTCATAATGTTTTAAAAACAGAGAAAAACCAAAATCACATCTTATCATAATCCATCCAGGCTGCTAACAGAATACTATAGGCTGGTGGCTCATAAAGAGCTGAGATTTACTCCTTACAGTTCCAGAGGGCGAAGTCTTAGATCAAAGCGTGGCAGACATGGTGTCTGCTGAAGACAGTGTCCTGGTTCATGGCCAGCGCTTTCTGGCTGTGTGGGAAAGGGTGATGGCTCTCTCTGGGGCCTCTTTTAAAAGGGCACAAACCCCATCCTGAGGGCTCTACGCCCATGACCTGATAACCTCCTTCTTCCCATCTCTCCAGGCACCAGAACACCTGCGACACTCCATCCTTTACTTCTTTCAGGTTTCCAACCTCTATTTAAAATGCTCCTGTAACCCTCATCAGTCTGTATCTACTTACCTTGTTTGGTTTGATTTTGTTTATAATCATGTTTCATCCGACAGTACACTCTATATTGTGCCCATGTATGGCATATCAGAAACACACAGTACATTCTTGGTGGATGAAATAAACAGGTAGGAACCCAAACGTACACATCTCGGCCAAAAATTGGGTACCAATTGGTTTACGGCCTGAATATTACCAAAATTTTAACATATCTGTATGTCATTAACATTTCAATGCAAAGGCTGAGTAATATGGCATTATTAATATATTCATGGTATTTTGAGCTAAGAGTTCTAAACAAATTTATCTAAAGTAAATTATAAAAATTTGAGCAAAATCTTAGTGAAAATAGTAAGTCATTATACATATATTATTTCAAGAAAGCACAAAATTGAGCCAAATATGAAATAATAACTCTTTCGTGCTAAAAGTACCTTTCCAAAGCCTGATGTTGCACTTTTCTATTGAGAAATAATTTGGAAACTGTTTACTTCATGTTTTTTTCTGATTTAGTGGATTTTGATTAGATATTATTTCTTATCTGTTTTCCTAGCTGCTGTACTTTGTACTATTTCGTTCAGCAATTTCTACTCATACACATTAGCAAATCAACTAACTTGTACTCTTCATCTTTTATTAATAAAGGTGATTTGTCTTTGGTTCTTTCATGCTTTTCATATTTTCTTCAAGTTTCTTAATGTAACATTTTTGGTATGCCTGCGAGATAAACTTATTAAATAATATTCTCTTCCACTTCTAATATTCATGTTGATAAGCTCATTATTTCTTTGGTTTCAGAAAAAAATGGCAACAAAATGGATCAGTATATTTTAAAAATAGCCTAACAATTATCATGCCTTTTTCTTTGCTGAGTTATACTTACAGCTTGGAGGATTTAATTTTTTTTATAAATCTTTTTATTATACTTTAAGTTCTAGGGTACATGTGCACAACCTGCAGGTTTGTTACATATGTATACATGTGCCATGGTGGTTTGCTGCACCCTTCAACCAGTCATGTACGTTAGGCATTTCTCCTAATGCTATTCCTCCCCTTGTCCCCCACTACCCGACAGGCCCCCGTGTATGATGTTCCCCCCTTGCCCATATGTTATCGTTGTTCAGTGTTTACTGACGAGTGAGAACATGCAGTGTTTGGTTTCCTGTTCCCGTGTTAGTTTGCTGAGAATGATGGTTTCCAACTTCATCCATGTCCCTGCAAAGGACATGAACTCATTCTTTTTTGTTTTTGTTTTTGTGTTTTTGAGATGGTGCCTCGCTCTGTCACCAGGCTGGTATGCATTGTCACAGTCTCGGCTCACTGCAACCTCCACCTCCCGGATCCAAGCGATTCTGTTCCCTCAGCCTCCAGAGTAGCTAGGACTACAGGAATGCGCCACAACACCTAGCTAAGTTTTGAATTTTTTAGTAGAGATGGGGTTTTACCAGGCTGGCCAGATTGGTGTCAATCTCTTGACCTCATGATCTGCCCACCTTGGCATCCCATAGTGCTGGGATTATAGGAGTGAGCCACAGCATCTGGCCGAACTCATTCTTTTTTATGGCTGCATAGTATTCCATGGTGTATATGTGCCACGTTTTCTTTATCCAGCCTAACACTGATGGGCATGTGGGTTGGTTCCAAGTCTTTGCTATTGTAAATAGTGCTACAATAAACATATGTGTGAATGTGTTTTTATAGTAGAATGATTTATGATCTTTTGGGTATACGCTCAGTAATGGGATTGCTGGGTTAAATGGTATTCCTAGTTCTCTATCTTTGAGGAATCGCCACACTGTCTTCCGCAGTGGTTGAACTAATTTACTCTGCCACCAACAGTGTAAAAGCGTTCCTATTTCTCCACATCCTCTCCAGCATCTGTTGTTTCCTGACTTTTTAATGATCGCCATTCTAACTGGCATGAGATGTGGTTTTGATTTGCATTTCTCTAACGACCAGTGATGATGAGCTTTTTTTTCATATGTTTTGGCCGCATAAATGTCTTCTTTTGAGAAGTGTCTGTTCATACCCTTTGCCCACTTTTTGATGTTTTTTTTTATTCCTGTACATTTGTTTAAGTTCCTTGTAGATTCTTGATATTAGCCCTTTGTCAGATGGATAGATTGCAAAAATTTTCTCCCATTCTGTAGGTTGCCTATTCACTCTGATGATAGTTTCTTGGCTGTGCAGAAGCTTTTTAGTTTAATTAGATCCCATTTGTCAATTTTGGCTTTTGTTGCCATTGCTTTTGGAGTTCTAGTCATGAAGTCTTTGCCCATGCCTATGTCCTGAATGGTATTGCCTAGGTTTTCTTCTAGGGATTTTATGGTTTGAGGTCCTAAGTTTAAATCTTTAATCCATCTTGAGTTAATTTTCGTATAAGGTGTAAGAAAGGGGTCCAGTTTTGGTTTTCTGCATATGGCCAGCCAGTTTTCCCTACACCATTTGTTAAATAGGGAATCCTTTCCCCATTGCTTGTTTTTGTCAGGTTTGTCAAAGATCAGATGGTTGTAGATTTGTGGTGTTGTTTCTGAGGCCTCTGTTCTGTTCCGTAGGTCTATATATCTGTTTCGGTACCAGTACCATGCTGTTTTGGTTACTGTAGCCTTGTAGTACAGTTTGAAGTCAGGTGGCGTGACGCCTCCAGCTTTGTTATTTTTGCTTAGGATTGTCTTGGCTATACAGGCTCTTTTTTGGTTCCATATGAAATTTAAAGTAGTTTTTTCTAATTCTGTGAAGAAAATCCATGGTAGCTTGATGGGAATAGCATTGAGTCTATAAATTACTTTGGGCAGTATGGACACTTTCATGATATTGATTCTTCCTATCCACGAGCATGGAATGTTTTCCCATTTGTTTGTGTCCTCTCTTATTTCCTTGAGCAGTGGTGTGTAGTTCTCCTTGAAGAGGTCCTTCATATCCCTTGTAAGTTGTATTCCTAGGTATTTTATTCTCTTTGTAGCAATTGTGAATGGGAATTTGCTCATGATTCGGATCTCTGTTTGACTATTATTAGTGTATAGGAATGCTTGTGATTTTTGAACATTGATTTTGTATCCTGAGACTTTGCTGAAGTGGTTTATCAGCTTAAGGAGTTTTTGGGCTGAGATGATGGGGTTTTCTAAATATACAATCATGTCATCTGCAAACAGACATAATTTGACTTCCTCACTTCCTATTCGAATACCCTTTATTTCTTTCTCTTGCCTGACTGCCCTGGCCAGAACTTCCAATACTGTGTTGAATAGGAGTGGTGACAAGGCACATCCTTGTCTTGTGCCGGTTTTCAAAGGGAATGCTTCCAGCTTTTGCCCATTCAGTATGATATTGGCTGTGGGTTTGTCATAAATAGCTCTTATTATTTTGAGATACGTTCCATCAATACCTAGTTTATTGAGTGTTTTTAGCATGAAGGGGTGTTAAATGTTATCAAAGGCCTTTTCTGCCTCTATTGAGATAATCATGTGGTTTTTGTCATTGCTTCTGTTTATGTGATGGATTACGTTTATTGATTTGCGTATCTTTAACCAGCCTTGCATCCCGGGAATGAAGCCAGTTTGATTGTGGTGCATAAGCTTTTTGATGTGCTGCTGGATTCGGTTTGCCAGTATCTTATTGAGTATTTTTGCATTGATGTTTATCGGGGATATAGGCCTGAAATTTTCTTTTTTTGTTGTGTCTCTGCCAGGTTTTGGTATCAGGATGATGCTGGCCTCATAAAATGAGTTAGGGAGGAGTCTTTCTTTTTCTATTGTTTGGAATAGTTTCAGAAGGAATGGTACCAGCTCCTTTTTGTACCTCTGGTAAAATTCGGCTGTGAATCCATCTGGTCCAGGGCTTTTTTGGGGTGGTAGACTATTAATTACTGCCTCAATTTCAAAACTTGTTATTGGTCTATTCAGGGATTCGACTTCTTCCTGGTTTAGTCTTGGGAGGGTGTATGTGTCCAGGAATTTATCCATTTCTTCTAGGTTTTCTAGTTTATTTGCATAGAGGTGTTTATAGTATTCTCTGATGGTAGTTTGTATTTCTGTGGGATCGGTGGTGATATTCCCTTTATCATTTTTTATTGTGTCTTTTTGATTCTTTTCTCTTTTCTTCTTTATTAGTCTGGCTAGCCATCTATCTATTTTGTTAATCTTTTCAAACAACCAGCTGCTGGATTCATTGATTTTTTTGAAGGGTTTTTTGTTTATCTCATTCAGCTCTTCTCTGATCTTAGTTAATTCCTTGTCTTCTGCTAGCTTTTTAATTTAAAAGAACTTTTCTAGTTCTTTTGTGATGTTAGGGTGTCGATTTTAGATCTTTCCTGCTTTCTCCTGTGGGCATTTAGTGCTATAAATTTCCCACTAAACACTGCTTTAGCTGTGTCCCAGAGATTCTGGTATGTTTTGTCTTTGTTCTCATTGGTTTCAAATAACTTATTCGTTCCTGCCTTAATTTTGTTATCTACCCAGTAGTCATTCAGGAGCAGGTTGTTCACTTTCGATTTAGTTGTGCAGTTTTGAGTGAGTATCTTAATCCTGAGTTCTAATTTGATTGCACTGTGGTCTGAGAGACTGTTTGTTATGATTTCTGTTCTTTTGAATTTGCTGAGGAGTGTTTTACTTCCAATTATGTGGTCAATTTTAGAATAAGTACTATGTGATGCTGAGAAGAATATATATTCTTTTGATTTGGGGTGGAGAGTTCTGTACCTGTCTATTAGGTTCACTTGGTCCAGAGCTGAGTTCAAGTCCTGAATATCCTTGTTAATTTTCTGTCTCATTGATCTGTCTAATATTGACAGTGGAGTGTTAAGGTCTCCCACTGTTATCGTGTGAGACTCAAAGTCTCTTCGTAGGTCTCTAAGAATTTGCTTTCTGAATCTGGGTGCTCCTGTATTGGGTGCATATAAATTTAGGATAGTTAGCTCCTCTTGTTGCATTGATCCCTTTACCATTATATAATGTCCTTCTTTGTCGTTTTTGATCTTTGTTGGCTTAAAGTCTGTTTTATCAGAGACTAGGATTGCAACCTCTGCTTTTTTTTTTTCTTTTTTTTGCTTTCCATTTAGTTGGTAAACATTCCTTCATCTTTTTATTTTGAGCCTATGTGTGTCTTTGCATGTGAGATGGGTCTTCTGAATACAGCACACCGACGGCTCTTGACTCTTTATGCAATTGGCCATTCTGTGCCTTTTAATTGGGGCATTTAGCCCGTTTACATTTAAGTTTAATATTGTTATGTGTGAATTTGATCCTTTCATTATGATGCTAGCTGGTTATTTTCCCCATTAGTTGATGCAGTTTCTTCATAGTGTTGATGGTCTTTACATTTTGGTTTGTTTTTGCAGTGGCTGGTACTGGTTTTTCCTTTCCATATTTAGTGCTTCCTTGAGGAGCTCTTGTAAGACAGGCCTGCTGGTGACAAAACCCCTCAGCATTTTCTGGTCTGTAAGAGATTCTATGTCTCCTTCACTTATGAAGTTTAGTTTGGCTGGATATGAAATTCTGGGTTAAAAATTCTTTTATTTAATAATGTTGAATCTTGGCCCCCCCCCCTCTCTTCTGGCTTGTAGGGTTTCTGCAGAGAGATCCACTGTTAATCTGATGGGCTTCCTTTTGTGGGTAACCCAACCTCTGTTTCTGGCTGCCCTTAACATTTTTTCCTTCATTTCAAACTTGGTGAATCTGATGATTATGTGTCTTGGGGTTGTTCTTCTCCAGGAGTATCTTTGTGGTGTTCTCTGTATTTCCTGAATTTGAATGTTGGCCTGTCTTGCTAGACTGGGGAGGTTCTCCTGGATAATATCCTGAAGTGTGTTTTCCAACTTGGCTCCATTCTCCCCGTCACTTTCAGGTACACCAATCAAACGTAGGTTTGGCCTTTTCACATAGTCCCATAGTTCTTGGAGGCTTTGTTCATTCCTTTTCATTCTTTTTTCTCTAATCTTGTCTTCATGCTTTATTTCATTAAGTTGATCTTCAATCTCTGATATGATTTCTCCCACTTGATCAATTCTAGTATTGATACTTGTATATGCTTCACGAAGTTTTTGTGCTGTGTTTTCAGCTCCATCAGTTCATTTATGTTCTTCTCTAAACTGGATATTCTAGTTAGCAATTCTTCTAACCTGTTATTAAGGTTCTTAGCTTCCTTGCATTGGGTTAGAACATGCTCCTTTAGCTCAGAGGAGTTTATTACCCACCTTCGGAAGCCTACTTCCATCAATTTGTCAAACTCATTCTCTGTCTAGTTTTGTTTCTTTGCTGGTGAGGAGTTGTGATCCTTTGGAAGAGAAGCAGCATTCTAGTTTTTGGAATTTTCAGCCATTCTGTGCTGGGTTTTCCTCATCTTTGTGGATTTATCTACCTTTGGTCTTTGCTGTTGGTGACCTTCGAATCCTTTTTGTTGATGTTATTGCTTTCTGTTTGTTAGTTTTCCTTCTAACAGTCAGGACTCTCTTCTGCAGGTCTGCTGGAGTTTGCTGGGGGTCCACTCCACACCCTGTTTGCCTGGGTATCACAAGGGGAGGCTGCAGAACAGCAAAAATTGCTGCCTGCTCCTTCCTCTGGAAGCTTCATCCCAGAGGGGAACCTGCCAGATGGCAGTTGGAGCTCTCCTGTATGAGGTGTCTGTCAACCCCTGCTGGGAGGTGTATCCCAGTCAGGAGGCATGGGGGTCAGGGACCCACTTGAGGAGGCAGTCTGACCCTTAGCAGAGTTTGAATGCTGTGCTGGGAGAGCCGCTGCTCTCTTCAGAGCCGGGACGCAAGAACGCTTAAGTCTGCTGAAGCTGCACCCACAACTGCCTCTTCCCCCAGGTGCTCTGTCCCAGGGAGGTGGGAGTTTTATCTATAAGTCCCTGACTGGGGCTGCTGCCTTTCTTTCAGAAATGCCCTGCCCAGAGAGGAGGAATCTAGAGAGGCAGTCTGGCTACAGCGACTTTGCAGCTTGGCAGTGTTCTCTGCCCAGTCTGAACTTCTGGTGTCTTTGTTTACACTGCGAGTAGAAAACCGCCTACTCAAGCCTCAGTAATGGCAGACACCCCTCCCCCCACCAAGCTCAAGCATCCCAGGTTGACCAGACTGCTGTGCTGGCAGCTAGAATTTCCAGCCAGTTGATCTTAGCTTGCTGGGTTCTGTTGGGGTGGGATCCACTGGAGCAAGACCACTTGGCTGCCTGGCTTCAGCCCCCTTTCCAGGGGAGTGAATGGTTCTGTCTCGCTGATGTTCCAGGCGCCATTGGGGTACAAAAAAAGACTCCTGCAGCTAGCTCGGCGTCTGCCCAAATGGCGGCCCAGTTTTGTGCTTGAAACTCAGGTCCATTGTGGTGTAGGTACCCGAGGGAATCTCCTGGTGTGTGGGTTGTGAAGACTGTCGGAAAAGCATCGTATCTCGGCCTGACAGCACCATCTCTCACAGCACAGTCCCTCACGGCTTCCCTTGGCTAGGGGAGGGAGTTACCCAGCCCCTTTTGCTTCCTGGGTGAGGCAATGCCCCACCCTGCTTCTGCTCACCCTCCATGGGCTGCACCCACTGTCTAACCAGCCCCAATGAGACGAACCAAGTACCTCAGTTGGAAATGCAGAAATCACCCACCTTCTGCGTTGGTCTCGCTGGGAGCTGCAGACTGGAGCTGTCCTATTTGGCCATCTTGCCTGGGAATCCCCAGTTTCCATATCTTTTAATCTAGGCAACATTTTGCTTCACTAGACATGGAAAATACATCTGTGGTATATTAAAGTGATGAATGCACATTGGTGTAGTAATCTCAGCAGGCTTCAGTCATTTTTTTGTTAGATATTAATTTCTTGAAGGAAAAGAAAATAGATTATTTTGGATATATGATCTGTCTTCTAGGAGAAGTACTAATTAATCCCGAAAAACAGATGTACTGTAAAGAAAATAAAAGCTCTCTAAAAACTCACAGACTCAGGGATTAGATTTGTCCAATATTTCTTTGTTACATTGAATAAACTCTCCACTTCATGATTCAAAATCAATAATAAACTGTATTACTTATGTATAAACAAACTCACTGTGAGGGATTTCACTCTTCATATATGTTTTATAGATGAATTTTAGAAGCAGCCTACTTGTTTGTAGATTATGAAAATATTACTTTAACATACAAATAGGAATACAGAATAGTTGAATAACAACAATATTAGAATATAGCTAAATGTGCTACGAAAATACTACTGTTCACTCATTCAGCAAATAGTTATTGAATACTGTCCTGAGCTTTTCCTGCTGCTATAACAAAATTTCTTAGACTGAATAATTTATAAAGTCCTGAAATTGATTTTTCATAGTTCCGGAGGCTGGGAAGCTCAACGTCAAGGTGCTGGCAGATTTAGTGTCTGACGAGGGCTGTCTTCATTCCAGCCAATCAGAAGAGGAAAAGAGCACAGATGCTCAAACATGCAATTTTTCATGAGCCAAGTTTGAAAGAGGTATAAATCTTCTATACTCACATCCCATTGGTCAATTCCATCTTAACGTATCACCCACTTAAAAGGGGATGAGAAATGTGGCTTCTGGCTGAGTGTTCATTTTCCAGCATTGTCTTACATTAGGAAAGTGGAAAAAGGGAATTTTGTGAACAGCAAAACGTGGCTCCTCCAACTTCAACCTTCTTGAGTTTTGTAAGGTTGGTGGACTGGACAGGATTTTTTTTTTAATATTTTTATTCCCTCGTAATATTTATTGCCTCGTAATATTTATTCCCTTTTCTGTCTTCTATGGTTTTGGCATCTGAATTTTCCTAGTGTTACAGAATAAAATTGAGAGTTTGCCCTCTCTTTCTGTACCTTAGAATTATTCATAGAAAGTATATTGCTCTGTTCTGTGACAACTTGGAAGAACAACTCTGTAAAACAATTTCAGCCAATTGTTTACTTAATAAAGAATTTTTAAACTGATTCCAGTGATATTTTGGTTTTCTATTTCTTTTTTATTCAATTTTGGTAAAATATTCTTAGCTATTTGGACATTTTATCTCAATTTTCTAATTTTATGGCAAAATAGCCTTTTATTACCCTGTCAATCTCTGTTGAATAGATGGTATGTCACTTTTTCATTTTTACAATTATTTATTCTGGAATTTCTCTTCCTTTTTTCTCCTAGATCTAGCTCAAGATAGGCCTATCACGATTTTGTTTGTTTGTTTTGTTTCTTTGTTTCAGCTTTTCAGAGGACAAAATTTTCACATTAATATTTTTATTTTTCATATACCTATTTTATTATCTTTATGATCTCCTTTATTAATTTGGATAATTGCGTTTTACTTTTTCTAAATTACTCTGTTGAACATTTTAAAATATAGTACCCATGGTATCATTTAGTTTAAAATACCCGATAAATCTATAACGTTAGTTATTCTTAAACCATAAATTGTTTAGTGTACATGTAGCTTTAATTTCTAACGTGTTGTTGGTATTTTCCTCTTTGTTGCTAAATATTAATTATTTATTTTATGGTTTGACAACATAGCTAGGATTTTGCTGATTCTATGTATTGTGTAGCAACTAGTCTTATGAACTAATACAACATAGATTTTTATAATAGTTCATATAACTCTAAAATATGTATATTTCCTAAATTAAGACTACAATTATTAAAAAACAAAAAATTACAATTATATTTATATGAAATAAGTTTGTTAATCATGTTTAAATTTCTATTTTACCATTTTTATGTTCTTGCCTCCCTAATCAATAATGGGGACAGGGAATTCTGCTGTCAGAATATACAAACGCGGGCTCGTGCACAGACACACACACACACACAATTTTATTTTGGTCAGGAACCATGAATCACACCTATCATCCTAGCACTGTAGAAGGCCAAAGTAGGAGGACTATTTGATCCTAGGAATTTGAGACCAGCCTAGCCAACATAGCAAGATCCCATCTCTACAAAAAATTAAAATTAAATATTAGCCAGCTGTGCTGGCACCTGTAGACCCAGGTAGCCGGGAGGCTGAAGTGGAAAAATTGCTTCGGCCAGGGGAGTCTCTGTTGCAGTGAGCCCTGATCACACCACCGCACTCAGCCTGGGTAACAAAGCAAGACCCTATTCCCCCCCAAAAATTTTTAAATTTCTAGGTTTTCAATAACCTCACATTATTTTACATGTGGCTACAAATTTAGATTAGTATATCCTTCAAGAAAAATGATTACTATACCATTTTGTAATACCTCTTTTTTTTTTTTTTTTTTTTGAAATAGAGTCTCGCTCTGTCGCCCAGGCTGGAGTGCGGTGGTGCAATCTCGGCTCACTGCAAGCTCCGCCTCCCGGGTTCATGCCATTCTCCTGCCTCAGCCTCCCGAGTAGCTGGGACCACAGTCGCCCGCCACCATGCCTGGCTAATTTTGTTTTTTTTTGTATTTTTAGTAGAGATGGGGTTTCACTGTGTTAGCCAGGATGGTCTCGATCTCCTGACCTCGTGATCCACCTGCCTCGGCCTCCCAAAGTGCTGGGATTACAGGTGTGAGCCACTGCGCCCAGCCTCTTAATAGCTTTTTATCCCTCTTAATGATTTTCTCCTAAAGTCAATTTTTCTAATATTACCAAGTTATCCAGTTTATGTTGTTATCATTTGTGTTACATATTTTTAAACCACTTTTCTCTGTTGTTTTGACGTGTGTTTTTGTAAACGGCACATACTAGAACTTAGTTCTCAAGTATAATCTGATAATCCTGCCTTTTAACTAATAAATGTTTTCATTTTCATTTATTATAATCAGTAATAACTGATAGAGTGAGACTTGTTTTTACTATAATTTTAAAATGTAGGTTTTGGGCCAGGTGCAGTGGCTCACGCCTGTAATCCCAGTACTTTGGGAGGCCGAGGGACGCAGATCATGAGGTCAGAAGATCGAGACCATCCTGGCTAACATGGCGAAACCCGTCTCTACTAAAAATACAAAACATTAGCCAGGCATGGTGGTGGGTGCCTGTAGTCCCAGCTACTCAGGAGGCTGAGGCAGGAGAATGGCGTGAACCCAGGAGGCGGAGCTTGCAGTGAGCTGAAATCATGCCACTGCACTCCAGCCTGGGCCACCAAAGGAGACTCTCTCTCAAAAAATTAAAAAAAAAAAAAAAATAAAGGTAGGTTACTTTCTATTTTCTGTCTTTCCTTTTCTCTTTCTAGTATAATTAGAGTTTTTGTTTGTTGTCACTTTGTTACTTTTTGTTGTTGAAATTCAATAACTTAGATGTTACTATTCTTATTTTGGTTACACTTGATATTTTATATTGCACACTTAAATTAACCAAGTATAAAATAAAATTATACTCGCTTTCACAAAATATAAAATCTTAGGTATTTTAATTCTTATTTCTTTCTCTTGAGTTACGACTTGTTGGGTTTTTTCTGTCCAATATTTTAATTTCGTCTTTCCAAGAACATAGAATTTTAGACATCATTGCTTTTCTTCTCTTCAACGATATTTGTTTTTATTTACAAGCAAGTTTATAAGTTTGTTTGCTTGCCATTTCCTCCTTTATCTCAGATATTCCTCCTGGGATCATTTTCCTTCTTCTTGAAGTGTGTTCCTTATAACTTTTCACATTAAAATCTGTTGTGGCTATATTACAATACCTTATTCATCATAATTGCTGAAAAAGTAACTACTTAGAGCTGTTTATCTCCACACTATTCCATTGCCTCTGCCACTTATTGTTCCTCTTGAGAGTCCTCTGTCTGTTAATTTTCAGGCTTTTCTGAGTAACACATAGTTTGTTTTCATTCTCTGCTTGCTTTTAAGAATTTCTGCTTTGATGTCCTGCAGTTAAGGACTACTTCCTCCCCTCCCAGGTTTCAGTGGAAACCATTTGAAGGACAGGACTTGACAACAGTCCTGGAGTAACAGGTTTTCCACCCCACCCCACTGAGACAGAATCAAACAAGAGTGGGGGCTTCACCCTGCCCAGCAATGAAATGGTCAAGGCTCACAAACACACAGGAAGCCAGTGAAGGCCATGTGCGTAACAACTAGTGAGACACTTTCACCTTTCCCAGCAAGAAAGGTAGCAATGGCAACTAGTGAGGAGCCAGAAATCCTACCCTGGCCAGAAGTTACAAGCAGTAACCCTCACTGGGTGTCAATAGAGGAACCTGGATTTCTACCCTCACCTGATGGTAGTGAGTAGCACCTGTCCTTCACATATTAAACAGTGTCAAGAGAAATAGCTAAAATAAGGAAATGAGTAAGACTACGCTATATAACATAACTTCCAAAGCGTACAAATTTCAATGAAAAAACTCATTCATCATACCAAGAACCAGGGAGTTCTCAATAGAATGTTTAAAAATGAATAGATACCAACACTGAGATGACAGATAATTGGAATTACATTATAAAGATTTTAAATAGCCATTCTAAAAAACGAAAAATTGTGAACACAATTGAAACAAAATAAAGAAGCCTCATCAAATAGAAAGTCTGAGCAAAAATAATAGAAGATATAAAAAGGAACCAAATGGAAATTTTAGAACTGAAAAGTATAACCACAATAAAACACACACATGAACATACACACAATAGATGAGCTTAACAGCAAAACGGAGGAGACAGGAAAAAAAGTGGAAAAAATATAGAACAATAGAAATAATATTGTTCTAAATAGAGAACAATAGAAATTGCCCATTGTGTAATATTGAGTGTCAACCTGATTGGATTGAAGGATGCAAAGTACTGTTCCTGGGTGTGTCTGTGGGGATGTGTTCAAAGGAGATTAACATTTGAGTCAGTGGAGTGGAAGAGGCAGACCCACCCTCTATCTGGGTGGGCACCATCTAGTCAGCTGGCAGCACAGCTAGAATAAAGCAGACAGAAGTTGGAAGAGCAGACTTGCTGAGTCTTCTGGTCATCATCTTGCTCCTTTGCTGGATGCTTCCTGCCCTTGAACATCAGACTCCAAGTTCTTCAGCTTTTGGTCTTTGGGACCCACACCAGTGATTTGCCAGGGGCTCTTGGGCCTTCGGCCACAGACTGAAGGCTGCACTGTCAGTTCCTCATTTTTGAGGTTTGGGACTCGGACTGGCTTCCAGGCTCCTCAGCTTGCAGACAGCCTATTGTGGGACTTCATCTTGTGATCGTGTCAGTCAATTCTCCTTAATAAAGTCCCTTTCATATAGACGTCTATCCTATTAGTCCTGTCCCTCTAGAGAACCCTGACTAATACGCCCATTCTAGAACACAGAGGGAAAAAGCATACTGAATATAACCTTAGGAACTAGTAAAAATATAAGGAAAAAATAACATTTACATTATTAGAGGTCCAGAATGAAAATAAAAAAAGTTGGTCTAAAAAAGCACTCAAATAATGATTAAAATTTTTCCCAAATGGCAAGAGACACAAAACCCACAGATTCAAAAAACTGAATGAACCCCAAAGAAATTCACTCATTATAGTCATAGAGTGAAAAATATAAAGATAGAAAAATACCTGAAAGTGGTGACAGAGTAGTAACACCTTACCTATAGATAAAAAGTAATTCTAATTACAGTGGATTTGTTCCTGGAAATTGTAAAGACCAGAAGGAAGTATTACATTTCTCAAGTGCTAAAAAATGTCAAACCAGAATTCTGTGTCCTGTAATAATATCATTCTGAATTAAAGAAAAAAATCAAAATATTATGAGACAAAAGTATATCAAGAGAATATGTCTCTAGAAGGCCTATTTTAAAGAATAGCTAAAGGAAATCATCTGAAAAGAAACAAAATGACTAAAAAAGGAAACTTAAATCACAGGGAAATAAGAAAAAAGATGGTAATAAAAAATATAGGTAAATATAATACTTTTTTTCTTCTCTTTATAGTTGAAGCAAATATTATGGCATAGTTTGATGTCATTCCAACCATATATATATGTATATAGTATAGACAAAATACTTAAGAGAATTATATAATAAATGGAGAAAGGTAAAGAAATTTAAATGAGGGTAAGGTTCCTATAAATCAGTCAAACTGGTAATATAACAGCAGTACATAATGTTAAGTTGTGTCTGTATAAAGACCTAGAGAAACCACTAAAAACACTATACAAAGAGATACATTCGAAAACGCTAGCAATATATCACAATAGAATTTGGGACCAAAATTTAACTCAAAAGAAGACAAGAAAAAACACAGAGAAACAGGAAATATAGAGACCAAATAGAAAACAAAAATAAAATGGCAAAATTAAGTCCTAGTATAGCAATAATTACACTTAACACAAATGGTCCAAATACACGGATTAAAAGACAGTGTTATAACACATGACCAAACTGTACGCTTCCTACAAGAAACACACTTCAAATATAATAGTTTATGAAGGTTCAAAGTAAAAGAATAGAAAAATGATGTATCATGAAAGCATTAATCAAAGGAAAACAGGAGTGGCTACATTAATCAGACAGGGATACTGAAGACTGACAAAAGGGTCAATCCACCAAGAGGACATAGCAATCTTAAATGTGTATGCCCCAAACAACAAAGCTGAAAAATATATTAAGCCAATCCTAATCTAACTGAAAGAAGAAATAGACAAATCCAAATTAAAGTGAGAGTTCAACATCCTTCACTCAATTAACAGATCAACTTAAAAATAGCAATGATATAGGAGAAATCAACAACATCATCAACCAACAGGATTTAACCAATATTTGTAGAACACTCCACCCAAAAACAAAAGAATACACATTCTTTTAATGTGTCGAATGGAGTATTCACCAAGATAGACCACGTATGAAACAAATTTTAAAAATAGAAATTATACAGAGTGTGTTCTCTACCCAAAAGGAAATCAAACGAGAAATTATAACAGAAAGATTACAGAGAAGTCTCCACACATTTGAGAACTAAATATGATACATCTAAAACATTCAGAATAAAAATGGAAGCCTCAAATACATTTTTAAAAGACAGAATGAAAATTAAAAAGAAATATATCAAAACGTGTAGGGTAGAGCTAAAGCAGAGCTGACAGGGACATTTAAAGCATGAAATGAATACATTCAAACACAGAAAAAGCCTCAAATCAATAATATCAGCTTCTACCTCAAGAACTTAGGGAAGAAATGAGCAAATAAAGCCAAAACAATTAAAAGGAAGTAAATAACAAAGATAATAACACCCCCATGCCTCAGCCGAAGCTCGACCGGTGCAACTTCATCTAATTGACCTGTATCTTGCCCATCCCAGCTCCACTGAACCCAAATATGTCATGCTTTCATACACCAGTGAGCCCATGAGTGTGCCACTTCCTCAGCTTAGAATGCACACCCACCATTGTCTACTTGGTTAATTATTCATCAACCTGCAAGATTTCAAAGCCCTCAGAAGGGTTCTTTATCACAGGCTACAGCACACTGCAGAGTAACTGATTTCTTACCTTTTTCTTCCTCTTTGACTCAAAGCCATCTGAGAACAGATATTGCCGTCAAATTTATTAAACAAAAGATAAATATCAAAGCATATAAACACATTAGGGTGTGATAAGTGCTTCTGAGCAAAAGCTTCCAGATGCATTAGATACACTTAATAAATTATTATTGAAATAATTGCATTAAAGATACACTTTGCAGTCATGCAAATTGATACAACGATAATAAGGAGGAGCATCTATAAACACAAAATTATAGTTTCGCCAAAGTTTCTTCATAATCATCAGTGGATTTTTTCATACACAATTACCTTCAACCTTCATTTTCTTGTCAAATTAATGTTTAAATATTTAAATTTAAATTTGAATTTTAAATGGAAATATAAGCACATTGAATCCTATTAATAATATAATTCCCACAATGAAAATATCACATATCTCCTACATACACACACAGAGCCATAAAACATTTCTAAGGAATGTATGTAAATATCGATGCTATCACTGTGTATATGACCATATGTGCATATTACAGGCTTACATAGGAAGGCAGAGACCACAGAATATAATGGTGCACAAACTAGTTTTGAGGGCATGAGATCTGGAGTTGAACCCCATTTCTATTACTTACTATTGATAGAACCTTCCTGAGCATGATTTGCCACCTTAAAAACGTGGGCACAGTACTCAATGCCTATCTTATAATATTATGAAAACATTTTAAAGATGACACCCGTGAGTTTTTTTACCAATTATTATATTGATGTCACGTGATACTACTGGAACTATATTTATTGGTAAATGAAGCTCCTTTTCAAACTTTATCCAATTTCTCTCTCACTCACACTTATTTCCAACTTGTTTTGTCATATTATGCTGTAAATTAGGTGATTAAATCTTTTTTCACTTTGAAAAATATGGTGAGTCATTTATAGAAACATTTGTAAGACTGATCACTGGGGTAGCTCATAAATGATTTCCAGCTTATACTCCTTTTGTCTGCCCATCATTCATAGACAATTTAAAATATTACTGGCCAATTTAACATTTATTAAATAACCCAATGCCTCATCATTTACCTTGAATGAGAGTGGGGTAACCTTTTTTAATAGGAATGTTAGAAATTCCTGGACCCATGGTTCCTATTTGGCTAGCTCCTGTAAAAAGCCTGGAGAAATAGTTGCTTTAAAGCATTATATTATTGCACTGTATTTTGAAAGAGCATTAAGAGGGCACTGCAGATATATCTAAGAAATGACAAATACAATGGAAAGAATATTTTTGAGAATTTTTAACACCTTAAAATCTTAGAGAAAGTAGCTAGGAAAATCATCTCTTAAGCTTTTGTCATTAATAAAAAGTATTCTTACTCATTTGACCTTAGAACTGCATATTTCAACCAAATGACCGTGTTGCTTAAGGCTGCAGAGCTAAGATGCTCGGAATGTCCCTTATCAATCATCCTCAGAACTGTCAAATAAATTTATACTGTAGAATCACTATCATCAGCTTTGAAATCTGAGAGAAGAACACAGCTTGAGTTTTCAGATTGCAGGTTAAAACTCTGGGAAAAGTCTTTTCATTTATAAGCTAATCTTTGAAATTCAATTCAAGTTAAATTCATATTTGCCGTTGCACATGAGTATACTGAATGTTTTAGTTACCTTTCCTGGTCTGCCACCAGCAAGCTAGAGAAGACCTCTGTTTTGCGGGTTGGGATCTGAAAAAAAAAAAAATATATATATATATAATATAAAAATGTATATATATAAATATTTATTATATAATATGTAATATGTATAAATAATACATATATATATTTCCTATTTTGTGGACCCTGCAAATGTCTGAACCCTCTAAGCTCTGAACGATTACTGCTATAAATACTCTTCAGTGAGAAAATATACCTTTTATATAAAATGATACTTTTCTTTATTACACAAAACTTACTCGTCTTTGCAAAACTGTAATCTAAAATAAGCACCAAAAATGGAAAGAAAGCATTCCTCCTGTTTCTGCAGAGTATCAGTGCCTTAGTATACCCTTTATCGTTTCTCTAGAGGAAGACACACAGTGTTGCATTCATCTGCTCTATTTAATTAATATATTGTGAACCAGCTAATACGTTCTTAGTGATGATTTGGGGGAAGTTCTGGGATAGAGAGTTTTTTGAGTAAGTTCACATGGAGCTAATGGGTCCTCATTCATGTCGTTATTCTGATTCTATTTATGCTGTCCTTGAATACTATACTAGGATCCTTGGCCTGTGTTTTCCTCCAGAAGAAAGTCAAGGCAGAACAGCCTGTCTTCTGACACCGAATAAATTCTCTGAAGCTTCTGCCTTTCTGACACCAAGGTCCTTATGCCGTAGATGCCCCTGGACTCCCTGTATTCCCATCATTCTGCATTATCTTGAGGTCTTGCTTCATTTCTCTTGTAAGTTTTGCTTCTAACTTTGCAACGTGCATCTTACACTCCCCCTGTCCGCAAACTTCCCAGCCCTCCTTTCCTCATTGCAGTTGATGATGGGACACGGCTGTTCCCACAGAAATGCTCCATCTTCCCATCGCTGACAGACAAGCACAGCGTCTTTCTATTCTGCAGTAGGATGAAGCTCCCTTCCTGTCACTAACCATAAATACCCCACCCCACCTCCTCTCCCTGCCCAGTGACTTCTCTTCCTGTTTTCCCTCTCTCCTTCCCTGATCTCTCATCCATTAAACTGTCCCAACCTAGCCCACAAACAGCTCACTCTTCCCCAGCTTCAAATAACAGCCCTCACTGATCCCCAAGTGTGTTCAGAGATATTCATCCAATCCTCCTGCTACAAGCTCCATGACTCAGCCTCCCCACACTGTGCCCAGCACAGAGAGCCCAGGCATCGACAGATCCCAGGACGGACAGCCCCCAGCATGGACAGCCGCCAGCATAAACAAACCCCACCATGGACAGACAGCGGCATAGGCAGCCCCCAGCATGGACAGACCCTGGACATGGACAGCCCCCACCACGGACAGACTCCATCGTGGACAGCCCCCAGCATAAACAGACCCTATCATGGACAGCCCCCAGCATGGACAAACCCTGGACATGGACAGCCCCCACCACGGACAGACTCCATCGTGGACTTCTCCCAGCATAAACAGACCCTATCATGCACAGCCCCCAGCATGGACAGACCCTGGACATGGACAGCCCCCAGCATGGAGAGCAAGTCTGAAATCTCCAGGGCAGATTGGCAGGCTAGAAATATAGGCAAAAAATTGATCATGCAATCTTTTAGGCAGATTGTGTTCTTTGGGTAACCCCAGTCTTTGGTTTTCAATTATTTGGAGGAAACCTACCCATGTTACGGGGGACAATCTGCTTTACCCAAATTCTCCTGACTCGAAACCAAGTCCCTTTCACATGGTAACTTCACAGCACATCCAGACGACTGTGTGACGGAACCACAGGCGCCACCGCCTCGCCAGGCTGATGTAGAGTCAGCCATTCCGCTTCTGAAAGGAGCCGAGTCTGCTCCCACAGGAGGTGATTCTTCCTGAGCTCCCCCCTTAGAAGGTGCAGGATTGTATTTGTCACGCCATATGGTCCCTAACCCCAATGAGGTCTCCCGTGTCTTCAAAGTTGGCACTTGTTAAATGAAACATGCTCCAACTCATTTGGAAGCAAGGTAGGGTCCTTATTTAAATTTGATTCATGTGTCTACATTAGATTTTCAGGGGGACACCACACCGGGAGCATGACTCTGTTTCTGTGTATCTACTAGATGTGTGTCCGCTAGAATAATCATTACAGTATCGTTCTTCCAGGAGATATAAGGGAAGGAAAATAAAAGGATAAATCACATGCTTAGATAAAAGAATGGGAGGTGACTTGGTTTTAGGGGAGCATTTTGGACTTTAAATCTCTGCAGACAAGCCAGATTCCAGCAGAGGTTCTGAAACTCACTTTCTGCATGGTGAAATCACATAATTTACTCATATCTCAGAATCCCCGAGCATAGAAAATAGCTTGCTTTCTTTTCTTGCCAAACTCCCAAGAATACACAGAAAAATCCTCTAACAACTTCAAATCTTCTTGAACAAGATGGAAAGGGATAAACAATGAAACTTTAAGCCCTTTTGGAAATTCAAATCCAAATTGTTGATTGACGTCAAACTCAGAGAGAAACAAATTAGGTTCTGACTGTGAGGCGGCTTATTTTATACATTCTCGTCTGGCATAAAGAAATTATACTCTGACCTGGCTTCATATTGCCTATCAGTAAAATACATAAAACAACCTCCACTTAATCATGTTTAGGAAGGAATAGGATTTAGTTCCTTTGAAATTATATATTTGATTTTAAAAAATTTATGTACCTTCATTTGCACATTTGAATAGATTGCTTTCACAGTTATATTTTTATAGGTTTGTTATTTTGTGGTAAGGAGGGGATTATAGCTGTCTTCCCTAAAAAAAAGTATCCATTTTACACTATATGTGAAGGGAATGGGATGGAGTTGATATTTCTAGTTTATATTATTAAAATAAATCATTGCTTACCATCTGAGATTTCAAATTCACACTTTCAGTTCATATTATTTATAATTTAGGAAATCTGTTTGCAGTATAATTCACTGCCCTACAAAGGCATGCCTCTTGCTAATGAACTGGTAACTCCGTCTTCCTCAAAAACATATGTTTAAAAATTAATGTTTAATTTTCAATTTAGAAAATGTGTAAAGACAAAAAGGAAATTTAAAAAACAGCACGAGAGATTTAGTAGTAAACATTTTTGCCTAAAATTTCTCACCAATGGTCTCCTCTGAAAAGATTAATGCCATCTTATTAAAGACATTGAAAATGCCTCAAAGATAGTATTACAGTTTTTTAATGGCTGTTTAATATTCATCTAATCTCATCGTAAAATTTGGGGGAAGTTCTGGGATAGAGAGTTTTTTGAGTAAGTTCACATGGAGCTAATGGGTCCTCAATCATGTCATTATTCTGATTCTATTTATGCTGTCCTTGAATACTATACTAGGATACTTGGCCAGTTTAAACTTCATGAACATTTAACATCATTGAACATTTACATATGAAAACCGTGCAGCCACTGCACTTCAGCCTGGGCGACAGAAGGAGACTCCATCTCCAAAAAAAATAAATAGGAGGGAGGAGCCAAGATGGCCGAATAGGAACAGCTCCAGTCTACAGCTCCCAGCCTGAGCGACGCAGAAGACAGGTGATTTCTGCATTTCCATCTGAGGTACCGGGTTCATCTCACTAGGGAGTGCCAGACAGTGGGCGCAGGTCAGTGGGTGCGCGCACCGTGCGCGAGCCAAAGCAGGGCGAGGCATTGCCTCACTCAGGAAGTGCAAGGGGTCAGGGAGTTCCCTTTCCTAATCAAAGAAAGGGGTGACGGACGGCACCTGGAAAATCGGGTCACTCCCACCCGAATACTGCGCTTTTCTGACGGGCTTGAAAAAAGGCGCACCACAAGATTATATCCCGCACCTGGCTCAGAGGGTCCTACCCCACGGAGTCTCGCTGATTGCTAGCACAGCAGTCTGAGATCAAACTGCAAGGTGGCAGCCAGGCTGGGGGAGGGGCGCCCGCCATTGCCCAGGCTTGCTTAGGTAAACAAAGCAGCCTGGAAGCTCGAACTGGGTGGAGCCCACCACAGCTCAAGGAGGCCTGCCTGCCTCTGTAGGCTCCACCTTGGGGGCAGGGCACAGACAAACAAAAAGACAGCAGTAACCTCTGCAGACTTAAATGTCCCTGTCTGACAGCTTTGAAGAGAGCAGGGGTTCTCCCAGTACGCAGCTGGAGATCTGAGAAGGGGCAGACTGCCTCCTCAAGTGGGTCCCTGACCCCTGACCCCCGAGCTGCCTAACTGGGAGGCACCCTCCAGCAGGGTCACACTGACATCTCACACTGCAGGGTACTCCAACAGACCTGCAGCTGAGGGTCCTGTCTGTTAGAAGGAAAACTAACAAACAGAAAGGACATCCACACCAAAAACCCATCTGTACATCACCATCATCAAAGACCAAAAGTAGATAAAACCACAAAGATGGGGAAAAAACAGAACAGAAAAATTGGAAACTCTAAAAAGCAGAGTGCCTCTCCTCCTCCAAAGGAACGCAGCTCCTCACCAGCAACAGAACAAAGCTGGACGGAGAATGACTTTGACGAGCTGAGAGAAGAAGGCCTCAGATGATCAAATTACTCTGAGCCATGGGAGGACATTCAAACCAAAGGTAAAAAGTTGAAAACTTTGAAAAAAATTTAGAAGAATGTATAACTAGAATAACCAATACAGAGAAGTGCTTAAAGGAGCTGATGGAGCTGAAAACCAAGGCTCGAGAACTACGTGAAGAATGCAGAAGCCTCAGGAGCCGATGCGATCAACTGGAAGAAAGGGTATCAGCAATGGAAGATGAAATGAATGAAATGAAGCAAGAAGGGAAGTTTAGAGAAAAAAGAATAAAAAGAAATGAGCAAAGCCTCCAAGAAATATGGGACTATGTGAAAAGACCAAATCTACGTCTGATTGGTGTACCTGAAAGTGATGGGGAGAATAGAACCAAGTTGGAAAACACTCTGCAGGATATTATCCAGGAGAATTTCCCCAATCTAGAAAGGCAGGCCAACGTTCAGATTCAGGAAATACAGAGAACGCCACAAAGATACTCCTCGAGAAGAGCAACTCCAACACAGGTAATTGTCAGATTCACCAAAGTTGAAATGAAGGAAAAAATGTTAAGGGCAGCCAGAGAGAAAGGTCGGGTTACACTAAAAGGGAAGCCCATCAGACTAACAGTGGATCTCTCGGCAGAAACTCTACAAGCCAGAAGAGAGTGGGGACCAATATTCAACATTCTTAAAGAAAAGAATTTTCAACCCAGAATTTCATATCCAGCCAAACTAAGCTTCGTAAGTGAAGGAGAAATAAAATACTTTACGGACAAGCAAATGCTGAGAGATTTTGTCACCACCAGGCCTGCCCTAAAAGAGCTCCTGAAGGAAGCGCTGAACATGGAAAGGAACCACCGGTACCGGCTGCTGCAAAATCATGCCAAAATGTAAAGACTATCGAGATTAGGAAGAAACTGCATCAACTAACGAGGAAAATAACCAGCTAACATCATAATGACAGGATCAAATTCACACATAACAATATTAACTTTAAATGTAAATGGACTAAATGCTCCAATTAAAAGACACGGACTGGCAAATTGGATAAAGAGTCAAGACCCATCAGTGTGCTGTATTCAGGAAACCCATCTCACGCGCAGAGACACACATAGGCTCAAAGTAAAAGGATGGAGGAAGATCTACCAAGCAAATGGAAAACAAAAAAAGGCAAGGGTTGCAATCCTAGTCTCTGATAAAACAGACTTTAAGCCAACAAAGATCAAAAGAGACAAAGAAGGCCATTACATGATGGTAAAGGGATCAATTCAACAAGAAGAGCTAACTATCCTAAATATATATGCACCCAATACAGGAGCACCCAGATTCATAAAGCAAGTCCTGAGTGACCTACAAAGAGACTTAGACTCCCACACATTAATAATGGGAGACTTTAACACCCCACTGTCAACATTAGACAGATCAACGAGAGAGAAAGTCAACAAGGATACCCAGGAATTGAACTCAGCTCTGCACCAAGCAGACCTAATAGACATCTACAGAACTCTCCACCCCAAATCAACAGAATATACATTTTTTTCAGCACCACACCACACCTATTCCGAAGTTGACCACATACTTAGAAGTAAAGCTCTCCTCAGCAAATGTAGAAGAACAGACGTTATAACAAACTATCTCTCATACCACAGTGCAATCAAACTAGAACTCAGGATTAAGAATCTCACTCAAAACCACTCAGCTACGTGGAAACTGAACAACCTGCTCCTGAATGACTACTGGGTACATAACGAAATGAAGGCAGAAATAAAGATGTTCTTTGAAACCAACGAGAACAAAGACACAACATACCAGAATCTCGGGGGTGCATTCAAAGCAGTGTGTAGAGGGAAATTTATAGCACTAAATGCCCACAAGAGAAAGCAGGAAAGATCCAAAATTGACACCCTAACATCACAATTAAAAGAACTAGAAAAGTAAGAGCAAACACATTCAGAAGCTAGCAGAAGTCAAGAAATAACTAAAATCAGAGCAGAACTGAAGGAAACAGAGACACAGAAAACCCTTCAAAAAATTAATGAATCCAGGAGCTGGTTTTTTGAAAGGATCAACAAAATTCATAGACCGCTAGCAAGACTAATAAAGAAAAAAAGAGAGAAGAATCAAATAGATGCAATGATAAATGGGATATCACCCATTTATAAAATGGTAAAGGGGATATCACCACCGATCCCACAGAAATACAAACTGCCATCAGAGAATACTACAACCACCTCTATGCAAACAAACTAGAAAATCTAGAAGAAATGGATAAATTCCTTGAAACATACACTCTCCCAAGACTAAACCAGGAAGAAGTTGAATCTCTGAATAGACCAATAACAGGATCTGAAATTGTGGCAATAATCAATACCTTACCAACCAAAAAGAGTCCAGGACCAGATGGATTCACAGCCGAATTCTACCAGAGGTACAAGGAGGAACTGGTACCATTCCTTCTGAAACTATTCCAATCAATAGAAAAAGAGGGAATCCTCCCTAACTCATTTTATGAGGCCAGCATCACCCTGATACCAAAGGCGGGCAGAGACACAGCCAAAAAAGAGAATTTTAGACCAATATCCTTGATGAACATTGATGCAAAAATCCTCAATAAAATACTGGCAAACCGAATCCAGCATCACATCAAAAAGCTTATCCACCATGATCAAGTGGGCTTCATCCCTGGGATGCAAGGCTGGTTCAATATACGCAAATCAATAAATGTAATCCAGCATATAAACAGAACCAAAGACAAAAACAGCCAATATCAAACTGAATGGGCAAAAACTGGAAGCATTCCCTTTGAAAACTGGCACAAGACAGGGATGCCCTCTCTCACCACTCCTATTCAACATAGTGTTGGAAGTTCTGGCCAGGGCAATTAGGCAGGAGAAGGAAATAAAGGGTATTCAATTAGGAAAAGAGGAAGTCAAATTGTCCCTGTTTGCAGATGACATGATTGTATATCTCGAAAACCCCATTGTCTCAGCCCAAAATCTCCTTAAGCTGATAAGCAACTTTAGCAAAGTCTCAGGATACAAAATCAATGTACAAAAATCACAAGCATTCTTATACACCAACAAAAGACAAACACACAGCCAAATCATGAGTGAACTCCCATTCACAATTGCTTCAAAGAGAATAAAACACCTAGGAATCCAACTTACAAGGGATGTGAAGGACCTCTTCAAGGAGAACTACAAACCACTGCTCAAGGAAATAAAAGAGGATACAAACAAATGGAAGAACATTCCATGCTCATGGGTAGGAAGAATCAGTTTTGTGAAAATGGCCATACTGCCCAAGGTAATTTACAGATTCAATGCCATC
Organism: Homo sapiens; assembly: GCF_000001405.40. Taxonomy (NCBI): domain Eukaryota; kingdom Metazoa; phylum Chordata; class Mammalia; order Primates; family Hominidae; genus Homo; species Homo sapiens. The sequence continues at coordinate 583,613 of NT_187576.1, forward strand.
CCCATCAAGGTACCAATGCCTTTCTTCCCAGAATTGGAAAAAACTACTTTAAAGTTCATATGGAACCAAAAAAGAGCCCACATCACCAAGTCAATCCTAAGCCAAAAGAACAAAGCTGGAGGCATCACACTACCTGACTTCAAACTATACTACAAGGCTACAGTAACCAAAACAGCATGGTACTGGTACCAAAACAGACATATAGATCAATGGAACAGAACAGAGCCTTCAGAAATAACGCCACATATCTACAACTATCTGATCTTTGACAAACCTGAGAAAAACAAGCAATGGGGAAAGGATTCCCTATTTAATAAATGGTGCTGGGAAAACTGGCTAGCCATATGTAGAAAGCTGAAACTGGATCCCTTCCTTACACCTTATACAAAAATCAATTCAAGATGGATTAAAGACTTAAACGTTAGACCTAAAACCATAAAAACCCTAGAAGAAAACCTAGGCATTACCATTCAGGACATAGGCATGGGCAAGGACTTCAAGTCTAAAACACAAAAAGCAATGGCAACAAAAGCCACAATTGACAAATGGGATCTAATTAAACTAAGGAGCTTCTGCACAGCAAAAGAAACTACCATCAGAGTGAACAGGCAACCTACAAAATGGGAGAAAATTTTTGTAATCTACTCATCTGACAAAGGGCTAATATTCAGAATCTACAATGAACTCAAACAAATTTACAAGAAAAAAACAAACAACTCCATCAAAAAGAGGGCGAAGGACATGAACAGACACTTCTCAAAAGAAGACATTTATGCAGCCAAAAATCACATGAAGAAATGCTCACCATCACTGGCCATCAGAGAAATGCAAATCAAAACCACAATGAGATATCATCTCACACCAGTTAGAATGGCCATCATTAAAAAGTCAGGAAACAGCAGGTGCTGGAGAGGATGTGGAGAAAGAGGAACACTTTTACACTGTTGGTGGGACTGTAAACTAGTTCAACCATTGTGGAAGTCAGTGTGGCGATTCCTCAGGGATCTAGAACTAGAAATACCATTTGACCCAGCCACCCCATTACTGGGTATATACCCAAAGGACTATAAATCATGCTGCTATAAAGACACATGCACATGTATGTTTATTGCGGCATTATTCACAATAGCAAAGACTTGGAACCAAGCCAAATGTCCAACAATGATAGACTGGATTAAGAAAATGTGGCACATATACACCATGGAATACTATACAGCCATAAAAAATGATGAGTTCATGTGCTTTGTAGGGACATGGATGAAATTGGAAATCATCATTCTCAGTAAACTATCGCAAGAACAAAAAACCAAACACCGCATATTCTCACTCATAGGTGGGAATTGAACAATGAGAACACATGGACACAGGAAGGGGAACATCACACTCTGGGGACTGTTGTGGGGTCGGGGGAGAGAGGAGAGATAGCATTGGGAGATATACCTAATGCTAGATGACGAGTTAGTTGGTGCAGCGCACCGGCATGGCACACGTATACATATGTAACTAACCTGCACAATGTGCACATGTACCCTAAAACTTAAAGTATAATAATAATAAATTTAAAAAAAAGAAAGTCTTCTTGTACTAAGAGCTCTCTTTTATTAATTATATTAATAATTAATAAGTGAAATTATAGAATTATATATAATAAGTGAAAGCTGCTGAATCAATTGAGATAATCACATTTTCTCTTTAATCTGTTATTGAGCTGAATAACATTTAATTGTTTTCTACTACTCCTCCATCTTTGCAGTAGAGAACCAAACTGACTTGGAAATGTGCATATCTGTAAAATGATGTTGACTTCCCTTTGCTAACACTATGCTTTTGGTTTTGGAATTGCACATATCATTGAGATTGTCCTGCCATTTTCTTTTCTACTACTGTCCTGTGACTTTGGCATCGAGATTGCACTGCTCATTAAATTAGGTGAATAAAATGCCCCCTCCTTCTATTCTGTTTTGTTTTTCTACTTGTGTAAAATTGGAACTGTGATATCCTTTGGCTGTGTCCCCACCCAAATCTCATCTTGAATTGTATTCCCCATAAACCCCACATGTCATAGGAGGACGTGGTGGGAGGTAATTGAATCCTGGGGGCCGTTTCCCCCATGCTGTTCTCGTGATAGTGAGTGAGTTCTCAAGAGATCTGATGGTTTTATAAGCATCTGGCATTTCCCCTGCTGGCACTCCTTCTCTCTCCTGCCACCCTGTGAAGATGTGCCTTTCACCATGATTGTAAGTTTCCTGAGGCTTCCTCAGGCAGGTGGAACTGTGAGTCAGTTAAACCTCCTTTCTTTGTGAATTACCCAGTTTCGGGTATTTCTTTATAGCAATGTGAGAACAGACTCACACAAACTGTCTTTAGAATCTTGGTAGAAGTCATCCATGTAATTATCTGAGTGCTAGCACTCACCTGTAAACTTATCTGGGGCTGGAAAATCCCTGTGGCAATCTTTTAAACTACTAACTCAATTTCCTTGATAAAATTATTCAGACCTCTACATTCTTAATTCACTTTTGGCAAAATATACTATTTAATAATTTTTCTACTTTTATAAGATTTGCATTTTATCTGAGATTTATAGAGTATTCCATTTTATCTTGGATTACTAAAAACTAACAAAATTTTTCATATTTTCTAATTTTGATATCTCATACAATTGCGATTATGCCAACATGTTATTCTCTAATATCACCAATTTTCCTTTCCCTTTCTCATCTCGATCAAAGTTGCCAAAATCATGCTCCTTTCGTCGGTCGTTTTAAAAACATCTGGCTCTGTTAAGGCTTTGCTTTACCTCTGCTATTGATGAAGCTTTAAGGCCTTTGTCATTACTGTTGCCTTCTTCCAACTTTTATGAGGTTGGGTCTTGCTCTTTTTCTTACATCTGAAGGTGTGCACTTCACTCATTAACTTTCAACTTTTTTCTGTTCTCATATTTGTTTCTAATGCGTAAAATTCTCATATAAGCCCTGCTCTATTGGGCCTCTGAGTTTTGATGTGTTATTTACTTCTGTTGCCTTCTGGTGGCATCAGAGGGCACAGTGAACACGACCCACCCTCTTGACGTGAACATGTGATGTCCTACTGATCACACCCCAGAGTCCCCACTGCGCTTTTTACTTAACTTTTGTGTGGATCGCATAGGTTGTATTATGACCATTGGTCTATGTGTCTCAAAACTAGCGCGTGAATTTCTTGAAAACAGAATTGTGTTTCTCCTATATTTGTATTCAGAGGTCCTAGGCCAGCATTGTGCTGGCTCAAAATAGGCACTTAGGAAATGTTCCTGGAATATACATTTGCAACGTAAAATGGGTAAGACAAAGTGTGCATTGATGCAGGAGAAATAAGACCTGTTTGGTTACGAAGGCACAGAAATGTATATAAACCACTTCAAAATGTGTATTTATTAACTATATTTAACTTGAAAAGATGCACTCACTGAAGCATCCACTAGGATGAATGGAAATTATACCAGCCTTTAAATTCAGCCGTCAACCTGGTCCTTCTCACAGCAAAGTCAAAGGTCAGCACATAATGGTTGTGCATTATAATATTCTCAAGAGCAGTCCTCTCACAGGGATGCTGTTTGAATTAGCTAATTGATGATTGCCAAGGGCTTTGGCGAGGCAAGGCTCTGCATAACTGATAATTACTATTATTATCACAGGGACTAAGATGTTCTGCATTGCTCTGTGAACAAAGGGCCAAGAAATGAATTTGCTATAAGATATAATGTAGCTAACAAAAAAGAAGTGTGAAAAGATAGAACATACGACGTCTCAAGTAGCTGAGATTTGTTTAGGAAGTTGTTTCTGCTTTGTGTTCCTGATAAGGACATCAAAACAGGCAAAATAATGGACTTTTTAGATACCCATAAAAGCATCCCAAAAGATTGCTCATTTCCTTTGTGTTAAAAATATGCGACTTTGCACGCAGAGAAGAGTTCTCAAGATTGCCAGACACTGAGCACAAGTCGTCAGAAGTTTAGACAATAAAGGGACATCTGAAAGACACCTGAGACAAGACAGAGAAAAATATCCAGCTTTAAAGGTGTCATACCCAACGTGTGTATTTTCCTGCACCAATTTTTTAAAAAAATGCCAAACTGATTATTTCCTTAAATAAATTTGGGACATTCTGACCAGGCACGGTGGCTCATACCTGTAATCTCAGCACTCTGGCAGTCTGAGGCAGGCAGATCGAAGCCAGGAGATCAAGACCAGCTTAGGTAACAAGACAAAATCCCATCTGTACAAAAAATACAAAAAATTAGCCGCGTGTGGTGGCACACACCTGTAGTCCCAGCTACTCAGGGGACTGAGGCAAAGGGTCACTTGAGCCCAGGAGGTTGAGGCTGCAGTGAGCCATGACGGTGCCACTGCCCTCCAGCCTGGGTGACAGAGCGAGACCATGTCTCAAAAAATAAAAGTAAAATAGTAAATTTGGGGCATTCTTTCTGTCCTCCTGGCAGACAGGGTTGGTTGGTTTGATTTGGTTTTATTTTTTCCCTGGGTCATCGGATCATGAGAACATACACGAGTCTTCAGCCTCAATGGGTGGCTCCATCCTGCCCACTGGAGAGGTCAGTTTCTCAGCGCAGCTCATTCCAGCTCACAGGCCTCACCGTCAGGCCTGCCAGGATCGCAGCAACCTGCCTGGAAGACGAGCTGATGAGCTACTGGCCGGGTTTCCAGTGATACCAAGTTGAGCCCTTTTGTCTGACACCTCTGTCTGAAGCAGGGAGAGAGTAGGAGGACGGAGACCAAAATGGGGAATCCAAGGATGGCACAATTTAAAACAAACACTGTGAGGCTACCACGCCCCGCCGTGCTGGGTTATGGATCAGAGGGTCTGAGAACTGCAGCTGGCATGGTGAGATTATTTTCCACGTGAGCTCCCGTGGAAGGAACTGAGCACTGTTCCTGGGGTTCCAGTGCCCTGTGCTGTGATGAGTCAGGGGAGCTCTCCCTCCTGCTCCAAGCTCCTGAGCTGCCCTCACTGAGGACCACTTTACCAGTGTTCTCCTGCAGTGTTTTCCTGGATCCTTTCGGCTTTTCCGGGCACTGACAGGGATAGGAATGGGAGAGAGAAGAGAGAAGAAACAAAATCCACAACAGAGCCTTCGTCAAATTCCATAATTACAGAGGCTTTGGGGATTTCCAAAAGATTATTGTTGGGGGAGTAACGGCTGATTCCGAGAGCCCAAGCCGAAGCTAATTCTACAGAGGTGTTCACAGCAATGTCGTTGGTCTGATTGGTTCGAGAAAAGGCAAATAAAAAAGGCAACAGTTAATGATCTCGGCTACTAACAACATGGTAGCGTCGCTTTCCCACACCCTGAAGCTGAGGGACATTTTCTTCTTGGGGTAGCCAATTAGTAGCATTAATGGGACAGGAATCAGATTAATCATGGCACGAGCCACCCGCTAATGCATTCCACCCATTATTCTCAGCATTCACTCATCAAGCAGTCTCCAAGAGCCTCCAAGGAAATAATAAAACGGGTCGATCTGAATGCCTCTCATCTCCCTTCTTCATCTCATCTACCTCTGACCTGGTAGTTAAGGAGCCACAAAATGGACAGGCCAGGGGCTATAGAGGAATCTGAGGAGAAGGATCAGGATAATGGGCAAACTGGAGATGTGATTAATTACAGAATGCACTTTTACTTTCCCCGGGTGAATTAGCTATAAACCATAAGCCTTCTCCCTGCTGCCATGGCCTTCACCTATTTTATCCTCAAAAAGAGATAAGCAGAGAAAATTGCAGCTTTGCAAGTGACATTTGCCCCTTCCTTGGCACTAAGGATTGGCAGGTTGCAATAACACACTCCAGACAGGGCTCCTCAGGCTGTACCGTGCATGTGAGCGGCCAGGAGAACCGACAGAAATGCAGGTTCCGAGGCAGTGAGTTGGGGACGGGGCCAGTTGCCACATGTCTGTGGTCTTTTAGCTGCAGGACAAACCAGACTGAAAGTCCTGCAGCTTCCAGCCCATCCGTGCACACACCATGTCTGGAAAATATGTATGGAACGGAGAAATGGGCAGTCACTGGAAAGAGAGCCACTGGCGACTTGACTTCTCTGTGAGGAATCCTGTAGCCCAGCCCAAGACAATGAAGAGGTTCCTGATGAGAACGTGTGGCTCTATCTGCCTGGTCACTGCCGAGCTGACAATGAGGATGCCCATCCAGCACCCAGGGTGTGACGACACCACACTCGCGAAACACCCCAGAACTCCTTCTACATCCCTGGCAAAGGGCAGGGCTCACGTTCCAAAATGACTCTGGATCCAAGGGGGCTTCTGGTTCACCCCGATGCTGACTTGTTCCCTGGGTTCTCACAGCCTGAGTTACCTTCCGGAAGAGCTGGGTGCCCTAACTCACGCACATGGGGGCTGCCGGGGGCCTTCCCAGCCCTTTCATTCTTGTGGTTTCATGACCCAGAGACATCGGGGGTTCCCCATGCTCACTCACATGAAATAGCTACCATTCTGGGGTTTTGATTTTTTGGGGGTTTTTTTGTTTGCTTTTTGTTTTTTGTTTTGAGACGGAGTCTCGCACTGTCGCCCGGGCTGGAGTGTAAGGGCGCGATCTCGGCTCACTGCAACCTCCGCCTCCTGGCTTCAAGCGATTCTCCTGCCCCAGCCTCCCAAGTAGCTGGTACTACAGATGCCCACCACCACGCCCAGCTACTTTTTGTAATTTTAGTAGAGACGGGGTTTCACCATATTGCTCAAGCTGGTCTCGAACTCCTGACCTCAGGTGATCCGCCCACCTCGGCCTCCCAAAGTGCTGGGATTACAGGCATGAGCCACTGAGCCCGGCCTATACTTGGGTTTTAGATGGATTATTTTGTAGGAGAAAGGTGAAATTATTCTTAGTATTTTATCTACTATAGACAAACTATTATTTTTATGTCTTTTGCAGACCTAATGACTATAGTAAACTCTTTTAATAAGCTTCCTATTATGGAACATATATTTAACGAACAAATAGATTATTTAAATAAGTGCCAAATAGATATCTAAGCAAGATCATTCCATATGCAATAAATAAATACATAAATGAGACCCAGTATTAAAAATACGTTTAGCCATTTAAAGCTTTTAACTAGTATTTAAAATGACCCAGAATTCAAGTCCCTGTCTCTGATTTGGCTATTTTTATATATTTACATCTTTAGGCAAAATAACATTTTCTCCTGCATCGAAAATCACATGCAATGGACGATATTAATCAGGTTAATCCCACAGCACCGCAGGCCGAAGCGGAAACTCTATCACGCCTTTGAGACAGGCGCTCAACGCAGTGGATTACCATGTGTGTTTGTACGGTGCGTCCCCAGTGACAGCACCATCTCTTCGGCCTGAGGCTCTGTGACTCTCGGCCACACTTGTCACCTTTGAGGGAAGTGGGCTTCAGCCCTGACGGGTGGTGTTCGAGACCCCACGCTCCAGGGGCCCCATCCAGGCTGGCTGTGGCTGTGGGCGCCTTTCCTGGGGCGCCACGGTCCGTGTTGCCCTGAGCCGTCCGGGGTGACCGGCGACAGCCACTGCTCGGGAGTCCTGCCGTGGACTCGCTGCCCGTGGTCCCAACCAGCAGACCAGGGTGGAATGAGAGGACGGCGATCTCAGCCAGGGGCTGTGTTAGAGACCACAGAACCCTTCATTCTCCCTCAGGACCTTCCTGAAGCCCTGCTGCCTCTGTGACAAGACAGCCAATCGTCCTTCTTGGCTCACTCCCTCGGGGAATTCCTCTTTCAAGCCGAACCTGACTGTCTCCACCTGTGGAGGGGACACGGCCCGCACCCCCTGTCTCAGGTGTCCGGGGCTGCTGATTCCGGATCCTAAGACTAACGGCGAAAACAGCATCTGCTTCTCTGGCACCCCGAGCCATAAAACCACCCAAATATCTTAAGTAACAGCATTTTAGAAACTAATGAAATAAAGTGAGACTTGAGAAAAAAAAAAAAAAAGCTGATATGAGCTCTGAGAGAACTTGCTCTATCACTATTAGCACAGTGCCACCTAATGGAAACGTGACATAAATGTACAGCCTTGAAAATTTAGAAGATTACAAAACACCCTATCAAGTTATACAGAAGGCACTTTTCCTCCACGTGTGTACCCTTTTTCAAGAAAATAATGATCTGTATGTTTTAAATGATTATAATTTTAGTTGGACAAAAATATGCACAGGCCAGACATTCACAGAATTCTTCTAAGTCACCATGAAAAGACACTCAGAATTTTTATTTTTGTTTTGCTCTTTTGTAAAACACATAAAGATAGAACTTGACATTTTTCTTCATATTTTAAAAATACTGGGCTGGAAGCGGTGGCTCACACCTATAATCCCAGCACTTTCAGAGGCCAGGGTGGGTAGATCACCTGAGGTCAGGAGTTCGAGACCAGCCTGGCCAACATGGTGAAACCCTGTCTCTACTAAAAATACAAAAATTAGCCCGGCATGGTGGTGGGTACCTGCAATCCCAACTACTCAGGAGGCTGATGCCAGAGAATCGCTTGAACCCAGGAGGCAGGGGTCACAGTGAACCGAGATCATGTCACTGCACTCCAGCCTGGGCGACAGACCAAAACTGTTTCTCAAAAAAAATAAAAAATAAAAATAAATACTATCAATGGGGCACTCTAGTATCTTAAAAACTTTGTTTTAAGAAATATCAAAATTAGGCTGGGCACGGTGGCTCAGGCCTGTAATCCCAGCACTTTGGGAGGCCAAGGAGGGTGGATCACAAGGTCAGGAGACTGAGACCATCCTGGCTAACACAGTGACACCCCATCTCTACCAAAAATACAAAAAATTCGCCAGGTGTGGTGGCAGGCACCTGTAGTCCCAGCTACTCGGGAAGCTGAGGCAGGAGAATGGCGTGAACCCGGGGAGCACAGCTTGCAGTGAACCGAGATCGCGCCACTGCACTCCAGCCTGGGCGACAAAGCAAGACACTGTCTCAAAAAAAAAAAAAAAATCACAATTAATTTACCATAAAATGGCATAGTTTTAAACTGAGTTTTTATTAGAAGTAGATTTTCAAAGATGTTGCAAAAGATTTAGAATGAATTTAAGGAGATCTGTCTTTGCCCACGTTATATAAATGACGATTCTAGGTGAATGTTGTAAAGCTCAAGGTCATCTGTCACGAAATCTTTACCAGGTTTGACACAATGTCTGTCTTTAATCCATTTTAAATCTTCACATGGTCTAGGTGACTCAGAATAAAATATACAACATTTTATTGCATATTGTGTTATTTGCAATTTTATGTCATTTCCTTTACATTTCAGCAGAGATTTCCTGATTGCTTTTGATGTTTAAGTACCTGTGTGAACATAATTATGTGTTAAAATATCTCTGTATGATATGATCACTCTTTTAGAACAAGAACTCCTTTAATACACCTCAGGTTTTCCCAGGTATGAAAGATTCTATTAATCACTGGAAGAAGAGTCTCTGGCCAAGTGCACAGCCCCTCTCAGCTCAGCTTCATAAACAAGGCACATTCATGACAAACGTTCTACCTAAAGTGTCTCTATTTAGCCTTTCATGACAAATGTTCCATTCAAAGAATATTTTTCTACTTAAATATTAAATATGTAAATTAGAATATTAAATATTCTATTTAAAGAAATGTTCTATTTAAATGCTCTATTTAAATAGCACGTTCATGGCACATGTTCTGTTTAAAGTGTCTTTCTATTTAGCCTTTCTATTACTATAGTTAAAGAAAAAATATAAAAACATGAAATTCTACTTTGGTATCTAAACCTCTTAATCAACTTACTCAACACACATCCACATAGCATCACCATGGGCCACCCTGTGCAGATGGGACGAACCCCCAAAAATTGAACAGTAGAAACACTGAAATTGCAACAGAAAAAAGGAATGATTACTTCAATTGTATCGTTGTGAAAAAAACTTCTGTAACAGCAAACGTAAAAGTTTCCTAGGCCAAGATAATCTGCCGGAAACTAAGCAGATGGTACCGAGCTGAATTACCTTGTAGTTACTTCTTCTGAGGCAGGTTGGAGCTCATCACAGTTAACTGAAAGCTCCCCACATAAAGTCAAAACATAAAAATGAGATGCACATTGTCGATCAGTTGTAGCGGCCTTGCAGCCTCTGCCAACCTTTGATTAAGATGCTTTGAGGTTAAGAACTTCCTATTTCATGAACAATGGCATCCCGTGGCTGTTACATGATGCAGATAAAATGTGCAGAAAGACCATGAGGACAATATACACCATTAATTTGTGTGATGAGAACAGGAATAAGAAGTTCCTATAATACTAGAATGTTTCTGTAAAACACACGGTTTATGTTCTGAAAATTCTGCCTTTAATCTCAGTTTAGTATGGTCTTCTAGGAAATAGGGATCCTCATAAGAATTTTGCAGAATCCCATGAATTTGAAAAATTAAATAAAAAATACACATTAATCATAGGAAAAGTTTCACATCTAGGAAAAATGTAAAAGGTAGTCCCAAGATGTTTTTTATTAATATAGCAAAAATTTAAAATATGCTGTAAGCTCAAGATCTAAATGCAGGAGGAGCACTATATTGAATAAACTGATAAGAAAGAGATTCTAATGTTCATTCCATTTGTTTATGTATTTATTTGTTTGTTTATTTTTGAGATGGAGTCTCCCTCTGTCACCCAGGCTGGAGTGCAGTGGTGCAATCTTGGCTCACTGCAACCTTTGCATCCTAGGCTCAAGCAATTCTCCTGCCTCAGCCTCCCAAGTAGCTGGGATTATAGGCACGTGCCACCACACCCAGCTAATTTTTGTATTTTTTGTAGAGACAGGGTTTTGCCACGTTGGCCAGTCTGGTCTCAAACTCCTGGCCTCAAGCCATCTGTCCACCTTGGCCTCTCAAAGTGCTGGGATTACAGGTGTGAGCCACCGTGCCAAGCCTCTAATGTTCATTTTAGAGAAATAAAATGTAACACCACAAAATTCAAAATCAAGTCTTAAGAGAGATGTTAAACTTTGGGGGATGGCAAGAGAAGGACATTTCCCGTTGACTCCTTTAGACCCTGGGCTGCAGACCTTGCCAAGAACAATCGGTCAGTTTCAACCTTGCTAGGCTGGTGCAGTTGTTTTTAAAGAGTCACAGAGGCCGTATCTCAACTCACGTTCAGCTGAAACATCTACCGTAGACAAAGCTGTTCAAAGGAGCCACTTGACCTTTTTCACAAAACAGGTCTGATTTTCCAAGTGAGACCTCGGAGGAGAAGGTGGTAACTGGCAGCCATGCGGTCCCACAGGAAGTACCTATAGAAGGGAGGCTGTCAACCATGAAGACTGGCCATCCATCGAGGGGCCCGGTGTCACTAAATATTACGGTAACACAGATAACAGGCTTGTGGAAAATCTCCAGAAACGAATGTTTTGGTTTCTCAGAAATAGTTTTAATAAAAATGCCCCAATTCTATAATTTAGCATGTCATTCATTGCTTTAAACAACAGACAGTTCAATTCTGTGTTTCCTCTAAAATAAAACACATGGAAACACATGGGGTGAAATTTGTGCTGTACTTGCGGGCACAGCAGGCCGACTTCTCCATGTGTTCAACACCACAGGGAATGTCTTCCTTTCCACTTTTATCTTTCTTGTCAGCACTAATTTATCTCTGCTGCCAGATTTCTCCCAAAATATGACTCGATTCCACTTCTAATCTCCCAAACCCCAACATTTAATCCCATTACTCTTTGAGTAAAATGTATTCTTTTCAACTGAATACTCAGTTACATTTTCATGAGATATTTTCTTGTGTTTTTAACAAGTGTTGCTAACAATTGTGTTGAAAAAAAACTCAGTGCCATATATACTTCAAAGTCAATTCTAATGGTTGCTTAGTTTTATGTGTTCAAATTTTTTAGATTCCCCAGAATTAGTGTTTGGTTTTAAAACAGAGTCCAGTGATAGGTCAGAAAAGAGAGACTTTCATGCAAAAATACAACAGACGTAGGAAATCTAACAATATATCTAAATTCTGACTCAATTCAGGCAATGCAGTTACATCAAGTGGTGACATAATCAGAGCTAGAGACGCAATGAGGAGTTCAGAGAAATGCCGAGCTCTCCAATCTGCTATCACGAGTAATCACTGAGAAAACAGAATGCTAGATTGAAAGATGCTGCAGCTCTGTGACCCTTTCAAAATTATCCAAAGACAGTAAATTAAAGAAGAAATTGCCTCCAGAATGATGGTAGCTCTCAAACAAAGAGTCAGGTGTGTTGGCAAAAGCCTGTGGAAACCAGGGATTCCACACTTTTCTCAGCAAACTCATGGTTGTCACCACCTCCTTGGCATCAGCCTCAGGACTTGGCTACAAAGAATGTCCAGGCAGACCTGGGAGAGTCCAAACCAGGGTTTATTTGTTTATTGTGACAAAATACACGAACACAGAATATACCCTTTTAATCACTGTAAGTGCACAATTCAGTGGCACTAAAGACATTGCTGTGCAACCATCACCAACATCCATCTACAGAACCTTTTCATTTTGCAAAACCAAACTCTTACCATTAAACAGTAACTCCCCGTTCTCCCCACCTCCTGCCGCACGTCACTCCCATTCTGCTTCCTGTCTCTGTAAATCTGATGACTTTAGGGACCTAATATAAGTGGGATCATACAGTAGTTGTCCATTTGTGACTGGCTTATTTGACTTAACACAATGTCTTCAAGGTTCTGCCATGTTGTAACATGGGTCAGAATTTCCTTTTTTTTTTTATGAAGCTGAATAACATTCCCTTATGCTAGGGGTGGTGACTCATGCCTGTAATTTCAGTACTTTGGGAAGCTGAAGTGGGAGAGTCCCTTGAACTCAGGAGTTTAAGACCATCCTGGGCAACATAGTAAGATGCCAACTCTACAAAAAGCAAAAAAATTAGCTGGGCATGGTGGTACACACCTCATGTCCCAGATATTCAGGTTGAGCTGGGAGGGTTGGTTGAGCCCAGGAAGTCAAGGCTTCAGTGAGCCATGATGACACCCTTCACTCCAGCAACTGGGCAACAGGGTGAGACCCTGTGTTTAAAAAAAATTCATTGTATGCGTAGACTGTATTTCACTCATGCATTTACCCAACAGTGGACACTGGATTGCTTCCATGTTTTAGTTATTGTGAATAATGCTACTATGAACAAGCCTAAGTTTTTAAGATATTTGATACTTGGTCTGCATCTGTATACCACGTGATTATTGTAAGAATCTGGAAGCATGAAATCACATACACACACATTTATCCCAGAAATGCTTCCAATCAAACCCTTGAATCCTTGGGATTCTGAGAGGGAACAGGTAAAAGAAGAAAATATCTAATGTACATTGAAAGCTGGGTGTGATTGTCCGACAGGTTCTTCCTGCCCACCACACAGACAAATTCACTGAGACCCTGGTATTACAGTCAAGAAAGAGTAATTAATGCTAGGCAAGCCACTCAAGAGACGGGATTTATTACTGACATCAGCCTCCTTGAGGGCTCAGAGGCTAGGGTGTTTATGGATAATTTGGTGGCAAGGGGCTAGGAACTGGGTGCTGCTGACTGTTTAGGGATGCAGTCGTGAGGGGGTGGAGAGAGGGTCTCGTGGGCTGAGTCGGCCTCTGGGTGGGGGCCACAGGACTGGTTGAGTCGTGAGTCATGGATGTGCATGGGGTCCATTGGTTGCCAGAATGAAAAAGTCTGAAAAACATCTCCAAAGACAAATCTTAGGTCCTGCAACAGTGATGTTATCTATAGGAGCAACCGGAGAAGTCACAAATCTTGTGAGCTCTGGCCACATGACTCCTGAGCAGTAAGGGATTCTAGAAACTATGCCCACGTTTAGCAGAGCCCAGGCCCCTCCCATAATCCTGATCTTGTGGCCTTCCATTAGTTTCCGTCCCTGACCAAGGAGGGATCTGTTTTAGGGAGGGACTATGGCCATCCTTGTTTGCAAGTGAAATGGTAAACTACATTCCTCCCATAATTAGCTTGGCCTATGTCCGCAAATGAGCAAGGCCAGCCAGCCTGTGAGGCGGAAGCCAGGTGGAGTGGGACACACTAGGCTTCTCTTCACTGCCATCATCTTTGCAAAGGTGGTTTCATGAGTCGCAGTGAACACACTAAAAGCTATGGGGAGAATTAACTGCTTATGGTACACCTTCTCCAGAATCTCACTGCAGTAGCATCAAGCTTTGTGTACCAAGACAGGAGGGTGGGTTTTTCACAGGCTGATCGGATGAATCCTGCGGCAGCGAGGGTCCAAAAAGGACATGCATCTCTCGTCTCAAGAAGTTTGCAATCTGGATGAGACAGGAATGGTGCAAATATTTCTGGATGAGGTGTAAATCGTGCCAGATATGATGGTGGGATGTGCAGTCTTGGGAGGACATCTGACTCGGAGAAGAAGGACTTCCTGGAGGAGGTGATGTTTTTGAGCTGGGTTCCGAAGGATGAGAAAGAGATACCCAGAGAAAGAGTAAAGCAAATATTTCACATGGAAATGGAAAGTCCAGAGCTCTAACCATAAAACAGAGTGAAGTAGATTAGAGAACCTGCAAGTTAAATATGGCTAAGGAGAGAGAGCAAGGTGCGGACGGTGATGATGTTGAAGGAGACAGCAGGAAAACACAGGAGGTCCGCAGGGGTAGGGAGCCATATAGAGGAGATGGGCCTCCACGCTGGTGGCAGTGGGACCACTGGCAAGGACTGAATGAGATTTAAATTTAAAAATGTCCTTCTGTCTGCACTGTAGAGAATCCCAAAAGCTTGCAGGCCGGTAAGGAGGGCAGAGCTTAGGAGACCAGGGATGGAATCAAGGTCAGGGATAATGGAGGCCAGGCTGGCTGTACAGAGAAAAATGCACATTTGGAGCATTCTTGAGAATCCAAGTCCTCGCTGATGAGTTCATGTGGGAAAATGAAGGGGAGGGGGGCTTCAGGGGTCCTTTGGCTTGTGAATAGAGAAACTAGGCCCTTGGTGATGTCGTCTCTTAGACAGAGAGTACCAGGCAGAGACGAACACAAGATCAGAAAGGTGATAAAGTCTGCAGCTATCAGCCTTTCCATGGTGTACCCTGAAAGGACAGGAATATCCGCTTTGGGGATCGTAGGCAAAAATAGAACTGGGAGAGGGATTATTGGGATTAAATGTCCTCAGATTTATGGGACACGGATTAGTTGTCCACCAATAAAACAGGGGCCAGCGTTTAAGAGTAATGGTTCAGGTCTGGACCCCAGATTCTCCCCTTCCTGACCCACGTGGCTTGGTCCTTAGCGCTTCGCTCCTGGGCAGAGCTTATTTCCACGATCGGGGCTAAGCTAAAGACATTGTTCTCATCAGATTTAACTCCTGTAGGAGTTCTCACAGTCTCCCACATCAAGAAAAATAATGTGCGTCTATGGTGTCTCCCGACATGAGGTGATTTCTCATTTCAATTTTTAAAGTCATTCTTTCTGAAATGTTCTCATCAAATAGCTGTAGTTAAATATTAGACATTTTCTACTTTATTAAGTTATTTATTGTTCAATGCCATTTTCAATTATTCCAAGTTTTGTTTTTTAAGGGTTTCTCATTAAATTGAGGGACAGCTCCTGTAATTTGTCTATCTCCAGTTTAATAATCAAACCGAAAAGGTACAGGACTTTTTTTTTTTTCCAGAGAGGTTTGTGGTTTGAGGATACTCATCATGAAATATGCATCATAGAAGAGCTTTCAAAGCAGTGGCCAATCTGTATGCAAAATCCCATGCTAAAACCCGTAACTGTCTAAGTCAGATACAAAGTAATTCAGGAAAAAAAAATAGGACGTTGCAAACCACAAAGATCTCAGGTGGCCTTATGGGGCTAATAAATCAGTTCTAAAAACGCACTCTGGCTGGACTCCTGCTTGGAGCTCTGGGTTGAAGACTCCAAGCATTCATTTTACCAACTATGAAAAAATCCAGTCCAGTTTTAAGTTAGAGAAGAGAAGAAAAAGAACGCATTGCTTTCAGATGCTTTTGGCTCAGCTATAATTCAAAACCAGCCTCGATACTGACACTTACCCTTCTGCTAGTAGAGCTGAGAGCTCAGTCTTCAAATCATCATTTTTTTGATACAAAAACCATAAAAATGGTCATTACTTATTGCAAATACCTACACCAATTCATGTTCCTATGGATGATTTTTGCCCGGTTTTAAAACCAAACTATACAACAAATTGTGTGTTATTAAGGTGAGCGCTTACTAACTCTCTTAGCTTGAAAATGGAAATGTCTCCTTGATCCAATTAAAGCTTCCACTAAATTTTGGAAATGCCAATCATAAGATTTGGGTCATCTCTGTAGCAGACACCCTCAAACTCAAGAAGCTTTTAGGAACTAC